>NC_000008.11:33193435-33496466 GCF_000001405.40 Homo sapiens
AAAACTCTGCAGCTACCTGCTTCAATCAGCTAAAGTTCAGTCTGCTCATTCATTCACTCAACATTTGTTGATCCCAAAACAAAGAAATGATAAATGTTTGAGGTGATGCGTCACCTAATTACTCTGATTTGATCATTACTCATTATATGCATGTATCAAAATGCCACATGTACCCCATATATACAATTATTACATATCAATGAAAAATTAAAGAAAATATTTGTAGAGAATTCACCATGAGCCATATCTTCACATCCAGCATGCCCAAATTCAAATTACAGTTACTACATGCTGTCATAAGTTTTGTTAAAGGGGATTTAATAGATTAAGCAAACAGATGTTAGACTTAAGTGGGACTCGATGCTAGAATTCATTCATTCAATCATTCATTCAACAAATATGTCTAAGAACCTACCATGGGCCATGCATTGTATTAAATAATAGGGATTATTTAATAGGGATACAGGTCACTACAAGATAGTCTTGACTGCTGCTTTAATGGAGTTTACAGTTTAATGGGGGAGAGAGAGACAGAAATTAGGTAAAACAACAAACAAAGCAGTAAGTGTGAACTGTGATAAGTGAAATGAAGGAAGGCAAACAGGGGTCTGAAAGATAACAGAAGAGAAACGAGCTTAGATTGGGTTTTCAGGAACAGCTCCTCTGCAGAAGTACTACTTCAACAGAGACATGGGAATGGAATAGACCATGGGGATGGGAAGTAGATAGGTCAAAACCGAATCCTTCTAGAGGGTAGAAAAGCAGCCAGTCAGTCTGTCCCTGAAGAATGAGCAGAGAAGGCAGTCTTGACATTGACTATGAATGGGATTCAATACAGGGATCAGGAGTCAAGGCCAGTGCAGGGCTTGACTGTAAGACAGAAACACAGCCATAGAGAGTCTAAGGCAGAGTGGAAGGCTGACTCCAGTGACAGATTCAGTGAGCTTTACTTGATTGGAAACTTGAAAGAACAAGCCTCTGGTCTTCTTCTGGAGACACCTTTGCAGCATGGTCCCTTCTTGATCTCAAAGAGACCAATTCAGTTAAGACTTTGATACTCCTGTCCAAAGCCCTGTCTTCATCTACCCAGAGGCCTTCAGAACCCATGTTGGCCAAGAGTGTGACATCCCCTCTGCAGATTTGGAGATCTGCTGGGGAATTCAAGTTCCCTGCGGTCTTGGGAAAGCTGGTCTTCTGGTTCAATGGACTCTTCCATTGGTCTTTCCCCACAGTCCACGTTAGCCTTTTCCTTTGGCCCTGTAGCATCCTCAGCAGAGATTGTGACCACAAGGCATTTGATGTAGCCTTGTCAAACCAAAGGGAAAGAGAGCTCTGAGTGCTGAAATTGCAAAACTCTAACCCAAATATTACAAGCCCACAGAATAGCATATCAGGTACCTGAATATTTCAATAAGAGTTATTTTTAAAGTATTCTGTACAGACAAATGGATGACATTGGATGTAGTTATATGAGTTGAAGAGAAATTTAATGTATTTAAATACACAGCTTTTGGCTTAACTAAGCACC
Source organism: Homo sapiens (assembly GCF_000001405.40). Lineage (NCBI taxonomy): Eukaryota > Metazoa > Chordata > Mammalia > Primates > Hominidae > Homo > Homo sapiens. The sequence continues at coordinate 33,194,964 of NC_000008.11, forward strand.
GGAGCACATTTTCTCAGGCTATATTTAGGCTGTGAGTTTCCAGGTTTAAGGAACTATGAATTATTGAAAAGCACTTTGCAAAAATTTGGCAGCAATCCCTGAGCCACAGACTGAATCTGATTTTCAAACTTCTAATATTTCTTCAGTGTAACCATCTATGAAAGGAGTGTTCAAGAGAGATCAGAATGTTAAATGGGGTGAGGGTTTTGTAATAACCAAGCCAGTGACATGGCAAAATACAGAAGGAATACAGACTAGCAGTGAGAAGATCTGTGTTTTGATTCCAGTTTTACCTTGAAAGCCATGAAGCCTTGGGTAGCACTGAATCATTCTGAGTCTTGTTTTTTTCATTTATAAAGTGGAGAAAACAATGTCTACCCTTCCTGGGCTATTGGCCAGAGTAATTATAAGAAACCAATGTGTGTGTGTGTGTGTGTGTGTGTGTGTGTGTGTGTGTGTGTACATATAAACTAAAACATCAAAAAATGTAAAGAATAATAATTGGATGATAAAATATGGAATCAACCTAAGTGTCCATCAGTGGATAAACAGATAAAGAAAATGTGTCATACATACACAACAGATACTGTTCAGCCTCAGAGAAGAATGAAATTCTGTCATTTGTGACAACATGGATGTGCCCAGAGAACGTGATACAGAAAGACTAATACTTCATGATCTCATATGCGGAATCTAGAGAAGTCAAACTCATAGAGGCAGAGTAGAATGGTGTTTACCAGAGGTTGGGGGCAGGGAGATGTTGGCCGAAGGATACAACATTTAAGTAAAGAGGAATAAATTTGGAAGATCTATTGTACAACATGGTAACAATAATTAATAACAAAGTATTTTATGTGTGAAAATGGCTGAGAGTATTAGGTTGGTGCAAAAGTAATTGCGGTTTTTGCCGTTAAAAGTACTTTTAATGTAATTTACATTAAAACCACAATTACTTTTGCACGAACCTAATAGTTTTTCAGTGTTCTTATCACACAAAAAAGTATGTGAGGTAATGCATATGTTAAGTACCTAGATTTAGTCATTGCACAATTACATATTTTAAAACACCATGTTGTACATAATAAGTATATGCAACTTTTCGCTGGGCGCGGTGGCTCACGCCTGTAATCCCAGCACTTTGGGAGGCCGAGACAGGCAGATCACGAGGTCAGGAGATCCAGACCATCCTGGCTAACACGGTGAAACCCCGTCTCTACTAAAAATACAAAAAAATTAGCCGGGCGTGGTGGTGGGCTGGGCGCCTATAGTCCCAGCTACTTGGGAGGCTGAGGCAGGAGAATGGCGTGAACCTGGGAGGTGGAGCTTGCAGCGAGCCGAGATCGTGCCACTGCACTCCAGCCTGGGCGACAGAGCGAGACTCCGTCTCAAAAAAAAAGAAAAAAAAAGTATATGCAACTTTAATTTGTCAAATAAATATATAAATAAATAATAGGGAAGCTATAAGAAAAACATCAATCTCGGTGGAAGCTTAAAGTTTGGCCAGGCACGGTGGCTCTCATCTGTAATCCGAGAACTTTGGGAGGCCGAGGTGGGTGGATCACTTGAGGTCAGGAGTTGGAGACCAGACTGGCCAACAGGGTGAAACCCCATCTCTGCTAAAAATACAAAAATTAGCCAGGCATGGTGTTACATGCCTGTAATCCCAGCTACTAGGGAGGGTGAGGCGGGAGAATTGCTTGAACTCAGGAGGCGGAGGTTGTAGCGAGCCAAGATCGCACCACTGCACTCTAGCCTAAGCGAAGAAGCGAGACTCCATCTCAAAAAAAAGAAAAAAAAAGAAAAAGAAAAACATCAAAGACGTGCTTCCTTTACTTTAACATTTTCAATTTCAGAGGTGAGTAACCGCCATCATACTTAGTCTCCAGGTGATTTTCAGGTGCCCTCTGGGCATGACAGGTGAATAAAGCTAATTTTTTTTTTTTTTTTTTTTTTTGAGACAGAGTCTTGCTCTGTCGCCCAGGCTGGAGGGCAGTGGCGCGATCTCGGCTCACTGCAAGCTCCACCTCCCAGGTTCACGCCATTCTCCTGCCTCAGCCTCCCAGGTAGCTGGGACTACAGGCGCCCACCACCACGCCTGGCTAATTTTTTTGTATTTTTAGTAGAGACGGGGTTTCACCGTGTTAGCCAGGATGGTCTCGATCTCCTGACCTTGTGATCCGCCTGCCTTGGCCTCCCAAAGTGCTGGGATTACAGGTGTGAGCCACCGCGCCCGGCCAAAGCTAATTATTTCTCTTGTATGCCGTTTCCTGAATTGCACAAAAGTTTGCTTTTCTGGCAGCCTTTCTTCATAGTTTCTTTCTTGATCTGTGTAAATCCATCGTTAGTTCTAGATTATGACTTGAGATGTTTTCTGCAACACCTAAGAATCTCACATTCACCTTCAACTTCTTGGCACAGAGACTTTCTGTCCCTCCAGGAGGCTGCTCAAATTCTGGGAAGCAGGTAGTCCCTTCCCAACATGATAACTTTCTCCTAGTTCTACTGCCAGGGAAATCTGTCCCTTGTCTCCACCTGTCTCCTGTCCTATGTGTTGGGGTTCAATCAGGCTGGTGGGAAAAATATTAAAGATAGTTATAGTAATAGTCAAAAACTCTCTTGGAAGGCCTAAGAGTTTGCATAGTTTCAGATTGCTTGCCTGAAGGCAGCCAGGGTCTCTTTGCAGGAGCCAGAAACATTAGGGTGCAAGTACAAAGGAATGTGGGAAGTTTATCTTACTAACCTGTTTACTTATATGGGCTTAAAACTAACCTTCGTCTTACTGCGGGTACTTTACTGCCTCCTACTGCAGGGGCGGCCAAGGGGTGGGGGGGATCAGGCAGAATTTTATTACCCGCAAATGGTGTTTGCTTTAGGCCTTTAATCTTTACCCTCTAGTGGTGTTTACTCACAACTTTTGTTATTTAGTCTTACTGAATAAATGCAAGCCCGACTAGCGGATTAGGGCCGAGTCGCAACTGTTTACAGAACTTAGTTTGGGTGTAAGCCGCTCGGACCCTCAGCTGGACTGGCAGAACAGAATATCTGTGTGTCAGTGTACTTTATTCATCCATTGCCGAATCAGGAGTCTGCAGGAACAGAGCCCCCCATCCTCCCCCCCCGCCCCCCCACCCCGCAGCTACTGGCCCCGCAAAAGGAGCACTGCCTTACTATGTATTTCTAAAGCTGGGAAGTATTTCAAACTTCCCATGCTCCTCCTCTCAACTATTAGAGGGATCACATCGTGGATGGCTTCCTGAACAGTGCCTTCATCAGGTGAGAGATGAGCCGTATAGCACACATCATTCTTTATGTGAATGGAGATGTTCCTTCCTTCAGAAATCTTCCTACGCCATTTTGTATTCCCAAACTAAGTGATGATAATTCGAGCTTTAAAGAACTGGTATTCAAATTTTCCCTTGTTAAATTCTGCATATATCGATTGGTCTTCCATCCCCTTTGTACCTACTTATATCCATTGGTGTCTTTTGCCAACATCCTATTACAGATGGAAAGGACCATCCCAGATTTACCTCTATATTAGGTAAGAAAATAACACCATCAGCACTGTGACATTCAGATTTATACTCCTGTTCCTTATGTATCATTTTTTTCCCCAAATGAGCACACAAATTGTGCTATTGAATTGTCAGTGTGAAACTGACTTTGAAGGCATTGAATTGTGACTGCCCCAAGGTCAGACCATTTGAAAGATCTCAGAAAGGACCCAATTCTTAGATCATAACTTTGAAGACAATAGTCTTTTCTTCGTAAAATTCCCCTTTTCCTCTCTCCTCACCTCCTTTTACTTTTGCATATACAAATTTCATCAACTGCTGCTTTTTAAAATCAGTCAAATCTGGTCTAGAAACAAAACAACAAATTGAGCCTGAAGCTGATGAAGGCTTTATATCTAACTTCCAAATCACAGGAAATGCAGGGGACTGAAGACCATGTTAAACAACATTATAAAGATGCAATAGACACAATGCATATGTGGGAAATGTCACAGGACAAAAGACCTAGTTTCTTAAACAACAATAACAACAAATTACAAGGATAAAAGGGGAGAAATGGAGGTGAACTTATAGAGTAAGAAGGATTTTGAAAGACTATCAAATATTTGCCATATATGATCTTTATATCCTGATTCAAACAGGATGGCTGTAAAAAAGAATTGTGAGACAATCAGATAAATTTGAACATGGCTAGATATGCAATATTAAGAAAATAATATTTTAAGGGTAAAAATGTTTTTTGTAATTATGTTTTTTAAAAGCATACTTATCCTCCAAAAATCCATTCTGATACATTATAAGGGAAATTATACATTTGAAATTTGCTTCATAATGATACCAGTAGGGTGAAAGTGGTAGGATTAGAGAGAAAAGAGTATTGTCCATGATTTAATAATTTCGAAGTTGAGTGATGGTACAAGAGTGCTTATTAGACTATTCCATATATATATTTACATATATATATTTGAAATTTTCCATATTAAAATGCGTTTAAAAGCCAGCTGAATATTTTACTAACCAGATGATTGAGTAAACACCATTTCAACTGGCTGTGTTGATGTAATGTAGATTTGGTCTGAGTAAGGTATTTGATTTATTCTTTCCCTTATTTACCAAGAGTATAAAAACCAAAAGGCCCAGATGTGTAATGCTAATGGAAGCTCTGCAATACCTACATACCACAGAATTTATTTGCTTTGTGATGCACTACAAAGTGAGCGGAGAAAATGCGTAACATTGTTCTTTGATTTAAGCAGGGAGGGCTGCTTTCTTCTCTGTAGGAGGAATTAAGAAAAATGCAACATAATCATCCACCCTTGCTTTGAAGTATAATAGCTTTGTGTTGTTACTCAGGCCCCTGTGAGCAAGTGTGATGGAGCCTATGTACTATGGGGAGATAAACTACAGCTAGAATTTATTAGAATGCCATCTAAGCTATAGAAATAGAGACTGAGAAGGGATTCAGTGATGACTTCAATAGATTTTGTTACATTTTATGTCTTTTAAAGAATGTGATACAAACAGGATGAAACTTTAGCATGTTTGTTCTCTGGGTCAGGTATATGAATATTTGTTACATTTTTCTCCATTTTTCCTTTTACGATAAAATATTTTAGTATAAAATATTTAAGGTTTTTCTGAATTTGCTTTAACATGCAGCTTGAGAATTAGAAGAATAAATGTAATCAATACAATTTTGCACTCTGGGTGGACATCAGAGACAGACTTTAACAGGAATTGTGATTTACAATATCACGGAAGAGCCTCTTTTCTCTCATTCCCTTCACACCACCCCTGAAAAGAGACCAAAGATGTAATCAGATTAGTAAGTGTTATGTCTTAAAATGCAAACGCTGTCAGGAAGTTAAGATATTGGCTGTCACTCAACTCTTTGTGTAATCATCTAAGATGTGTTCTTTCTGTGGCCCATCTCATTCATTCCAAACATGAGGACTATTAGCTCCTTAGGAGCTGCAAAATTCATTTTTCATAAACCCATATATATACTAAACATTGCATATAGACTGAATAAATAGTATGTCTCACAAATATATGTGCTGTCATTTTTCAAATAAATATAGTAATGGGATTAATAAAATACAAATTTTTCAAAAATGAATAGAATCCAAAAAGTTTGGGTCATCATATATTTTCTCAATTGATAGGTTAATAAAATACAAAATTAATCATGAAGGGTATCAAAATTTGGAAAGCTCTCCAAATTATCTGAGAGGGCTGTATTTCATTCTTTCTTTGGTCACATAATATTCCATGGCATAGATGAACTGCAATTTATTTAGTCAGCCTTTCCTGTATTGGTGAGCTTTCTCTGTATCCAATGCTTGGCCAATACTAACAATGGTACAATAAACATCCTCTGACATATGATCTTGCAAATAGACACCTTTGTTTCTATGAGTTAGATTCCAGTAATAGAATTGCAGAATTAAAGAGGAATTGTATTTTAGGTTAAAATAGATGTTGCTATATTGCCTTCTGGAAAGGATGTAAGGTTTTGCAATCTCACAATGTACAAAAGAGCCAGGTGCAGTAGCTCATGCTTATAAACCCAGCTACTCAGGAGGCTGAGCCAGGTCAGGAGTTTGAGACCAGCTTGGACAACATAGTGAGACCCCATCTCTAAATAAACAAACAAACACACTAATGAAAATGTACAAGAGAATCCATTTCCCCAATTCCCCACCAGTAATGGGTTTTATAGTTATTTTTAATTTTGCCAATCCAATGGATATAAATGATATTTTGTCATTATTTTCATTTTAATTTTTCTTACTACTTATGAATTCAAGCATCTTTTCATGTTTAGTTGACCATTAAGTTTTTTTTAATTTGAATTGTTTATTCAAACCCTCTCTGCATTTTTCTATTGTGTGTCTTTTTCTGTCACTCTGTAAGTAATCTATATATTACAGAAATGCTTCGTATCTGATGTCTCCCTCTCCTACCTCTCAAGTCACTTTCTATCATACTGATCTTTTTCATTTTGTCCGTAGTAATTACCACTATTTGAAATTATTTTATTAGTCATTTGTTTCTTGTCTGTCTCTGTCACTTTCAATAGAATATAAATTGCATGAAAGCAGAAAATCCTTTCTTCTTCAATATCTCTATCACCTCTGATAGTGCATAACACAGGATAGGCCCTGAACAATTTTTGTTGAATAAATAAATGAATTAATGATGGCAGTTAATTATGCATAGATTCATAAAATATAATGCTTGACTCAAGGTACTAGGGATAAATGTCATAATTATGACAACAATATATCCCACATTTTCTGGAATCACTTTGATTATTCTGTTCCCTTAATTATACTTGCACTTGTGACACCATGTGTTTGAGTTGGTTCATACATACATGTATAAATCATGTGTGAACACAGAAGAGAAAGCAATGAATAATTATTGAGGGACTGTTAGGAATGGGAACAGCATCACTAGTGATAGCAAGAATTTGCCATAAAAGCAGGAGGAAAGGCATGAAGGCGGAACAGCTTGGTCACGAACAAAGAGGTGGGAAATCAAGAGGCATTTACGAGCAAGTAATCTGGTGTCATTAAAGAATGTAATGTGTTATTTGAGATAGTGAGAAGAGTGAAATGAATTGTGAATGGAAAGGTGATGGTGATAAGGTTATAGAAAATTTACATTTTCAACTAAGGAGTTTACTCATCATTCTTTATAGAAAATGTAGAGTCATCAGAAGTGTTTTAGCAGGGGAAGTGACATAAATTTATAATATAGAAAGAACGCTCTGGTGGCAATGCTATGAATTGATTAGAAGGGAAAGAGAAGATTTTATTAATAACATTCCTTCTCACAGCTCTAAAATAACTTGTGCCAAGCTAGTCCAAGTATATTCTATGGGCAGCATTTTTAATAGAACTAGCAGAGTCAGCACACATTTCCCAAATCAGATGACAGAATAAACTCTTTAAATTTTATCCATTAGCTTTTGCTGCCCAAGTTTTTTATGCGAAAGAATAAAAAACATATGAGTTGCATTAATTTCCTCAATAAAATGGATGCTTAAGTTGATAGTTATGTTCATTTTCTGCCAAACTATATCAGTCTCCTAGTATAATCCAATAGTTCTGAAATGCTTTGGAGGAATTTTGTGTGCCAAGTACTGTGCTTGATCTTTACCTAGAAATGAGTTTAAGACTAATTGCCTAGATTAATATTAGGAAATGTCATCACCTAGACTTAGCCTGTCGCCTGCCTTATTCTGGATAGATACATCTACATGGTAAAGTTATATTTATATTAGGCCAAGATAAGAGGAGATACATTTGTCTTCTTTTGTTGGTTTAATAAATGCCAGAGAATACTCTTTGGCATGAATTTCCCAATCTGGACTAGATATTGATCAACTAAAGTCGTTAATTGGCACATCTCCCTTTGGAGAGGCAGTAGCTCTATCTTTGGGCATCATTAGGTTCTCCTTAAATAATTTTTAAAATGGCTCCTCTGAAAAACTGAACAAAACTTTATTGAGAGGGTGTAGTATAGTTAAAAGGATGTGGGCCTTTGGAGTCAGATATCCCTAAATTCAGATCCCTACTTTCCCACTTACTAGTTGAGTAACATTCATTCAATAAATGGTTGAGAACTATTTTATGCCAATTATTGGTCTAGACACTAGAGATTGAAAGGCTCTGCCTTTAAGAAACCAGCAATCTAGAAAGAGAGATAGACAATAAAATAAATAATGTACAATAGAATAATGAACAGTGGTAACACAAACCAATAGGTAATGTGAGAAGGTAGCTAAATGAAAAGGAACCCTGGACCAAAAGAAGATAACAAAGTGTCAAGACGTGCCTAAGACTGCTATGTTTGGGAACATAAAGATAGTAAAGTTTTTTTTAAATTTATTTACAAAACACTGTGTGAACAAAGAACTTATCTGTTTATACCACTGTAATTTCTAGCACCTAAGAGAGTACCTGACCCATAGTTTGAGCACAATACATATTTGGTGAAAAACAAATGAGATAAAAAATGTTTGGGGAAATCGTGAGAAATTAAACTAGAGAAACAAGCAAAGAACATATTAGGTTGGGTTTGTATTCCAAGATTAAAAATTATGATTTTTATTCTGTATCTGAGTATTTTCCAAACTTAGCTAAGAATTAGAATTCATCTGAATTCTGGGTCAACTGTTAAAAATGTGGGTTCCAGTCGTCATCTCATAACCAAATCCTAATCTCTGGGAAAGGAGCCTGGAAATGTGTAGTTTAGCTAATACTTTATCTGATTCTAATGATTACGTGAGGAAACCAGACGAGGCAAAGAGGATAAAGGCTTGAACCAAGACAATAGGATTAATAGAGGAAGTGAGAAAATACATAAATTATATCATGTGCTAATTAGGTTAGCCTGTCAAAGCTCATTAATCATTGGAGAATAACAGAGAGAAAGACATTTATTTTCTGATTTTTGTCCCTGGGTTAAGTTGATACCAAGAAATACAGTAAAGAATTCCAAAAGAGAAAATGATTGGGAAGAAAAGATCATGAATTCTAGAAAAGTCAAATTTGAAGTGCTTATGCTAAAACTAGGGGTGGTTCAGAAGGTAATCTCAAGAGAAAAGTCTAAGCTTGAATCACGGGGCGGATATCAGCACACACACACACACACACACACACACACACACACAAATGCAATGTCTTAGTCTGTTCAGATTGTCCCAATAATTCATGTTATGACATTTTGCCTTATGACATATCTCCAATAGTGTACAGGCAAACGTTTAGTAACTGGCTCTCGGGGAGTGGGGGGAAAGCCCTGATCTGTGGCATCTGCCAAATTTTGTGATGTAAATACACCTACTGTGGTAGATTTCAAGTTACCAAACACATCACAAAATATGGGTTTGGGAAAAGATGTGCATAATTGTTTCTCAACAGCCAGAAGAAGCTGGTTCCACCACACCATTGCCATCTCTGTGTCCCTCAGAAATTCACTTGCAATATCCTTTGGGCCATTCCTCCCTAATGGGTCCATACTCCAGTAAAAAAATTTCCATCCTAGCAATAAACATAATACAAAAAAAGTCAAGTCCAATATGTTCAAATAAAGTGATTCCTTTCCAAACATCTCATCTGTTCTTCCCAAATCCTCCCAGGCTGTAGCACTCTGCTCCACGCCAGCAGGCAGTACTAAGCAGCTGGGTAGAATCATTACTCATTGTCCAGATGTATCATAATTTGATCAGGGTCTTTATGAACTCTGGCCTCTTCAATCCCCATCAAAGAATTCACTTAAGTGTCAATCTAGATCTACTGACTTAGAGCCCAAGTTCCAAGATAGTTGGATTCTGATGGCCAGTTAGCTGGGTTTATAGTTCCTAGATTCATCTCACCTGCCTCATTCATATGTGTGTCTTTATTCTGCTGAGGAAGTTCCACATCATTCATTTCCTTCTACTCTGCAGTCTGGCAAAGGAGGCTTTGTAATCACTTCCTGAGGGATGGGGGAGGAAACTTGGATGAGGCAGCAAGAGTACAATACTGCTGGAATTGGTTCGCACTTATAAGGAGACTGCAGCTATCTCCAGCATTATCTGGCAGGATGCTCAAATTCAGTCTGATGTTTACCAAAATCTCCTATCACACTACCTCCACACTGCTTGTCTTTAGGACAAAGCTGACGGATTACAATTTGGCCTTCTTGATTGCCTTTTTTTTTTTAACTTGAGTGCTTGTTGTGTCATAAACTGCAATGTTTTTAACACTTTAAAGTTGGCATTTCTTTTTATTGTAATCTGACTTGCACCATTTCCTTTGGGATATCAGCTGTCAGACTAACTCTTGATTCTTTAAAAGTAAAGTGCTATTTTTTTCTCTAGCTACTTTTAAGGTTTTGTCTTTTATCACTGTTTTAGCAGCCTTATAATGATGTATGTAGGTGTGTTTTCTTAGTATTTATCTTGCTTGTGGTTCAAAGTATTTCTTTAATCTATGGCTTTATTTCTTCTATCAATTTTGAGAAATCCTCAGCCATTATCTCTTCAAATATTGTCTCTGTTCCATTCATTTTCTCCTCCCCATATATGTGTCTATAATTACATTTATGTCAGGCTCTTTAATGTCCCACATGTTGCTTATGCACTTTTTAGAATTATCATTTCTTACAACATGCAGCTTATGCATCAACAAATGAGAATAATGATATCAGATTTTGGACTTGCCTTGCTAAATTTTCTTCTCTCTGAGATCTCAGCCACTCAACACCTGGCTGCATTGATAGCTCTCCAATGCCCTCAAATTGATTTTCTTTTCAATCTTATCCAGGTTTTCTAGTTGGTCTCTGAAGAAGGGTTGTGTGGCTGTAAGCTAATTCATCATAGCCAGAAGCAGAAGTCCAGAACAGAGAAAAGTAGCTGTATTCTTGATATACGTGGAAAGCACACACACTGAACATTATACATTGAAGGACTTGTTCTTTCATACAAAGTAAACTGTGAAAGATGAATTAAGTCACACTGAGGGCTTTGGCTTGGGCTACTGGAAGGATTGAGTTGTAATTTATGGACACAGAAAGAGGGCATGAGGAAAAGGCTTGGCAAGGGAATATCAGGAGTGAATTTTGAGATAACTGTTAAAAAAATAAACAGCAGAAGGTGTCCAGGAGGCATTAATATATGAATCTGGAGTCCAGAGAAGAGATACAGCCTGGAGATACAAATGTGGAAATCATGGGCATATGGATGATGTTTACAACCAAGAGAGTAGATGAAGTCACCAAATGTAGGAGTGCAGATGAAAAAGAGAAAAGATCTAAAGAGTAAGTCTAAAAGAAATAAAATTTATGTAGATGTCAGAGAGATGAGGAGAAACCACCTAAGGAGAATAGAAGAAGGAGCAGAAGGGAGATAAAACAAAAAACAAAAAACCAGATTCAGGAAGAGAGATTTAAAACAAGAATCTACTCCTCCATTTGTATTCCAGGAATGTGATATATGTATAATGTGATATCCTGGAATCCAAATGGAGAAGCTATTCCAAGAAAAAGACAGTCAATAGTGCATCAAATGCTACTGAAAGATCAAATAAGATGACTGAAAATTGACCACTGAGTTAGAAACATGGAGTCATTGGTGACATTTAAGAGACTCATTTCAGTGGAGGGGTGGAAGATGTCTGATTACAATGGGTTTAAAATAAAATGGGAGGAGAATTTATTCTCATCCTTAGTCAATGTATTAGTCTGTTTTCACACTGCTATAAAGAAATACCTGAGACTGGTAATTTACAAAGGAAAGATGTTTCATTGACTCACAGTTCTGCATAGCTGGGGAGACCTCAGGAAACTTATAATCATGGCAGAAGGGAAAGAGGCACATCTTACATGGTGGCAGATGAGGGAGAGGGAGCAAGAGCAGGGAACACTTCTTTATAAAACCATCAGATCTTGTAAGAACTCACTCACTATCACGAGAACAGCATGGGGGGAACCTCCCCCATGATCCATGATCCAATCACCTTCTACCTGGTCCCTCCCTTGGCATTTGGGGATTATAGGGATTACAATTTAAGATGAGATTTGGGGGGGACACAGAGCCAAACCATATCAGTCAACTCCATCAGGAAATTATTTCTTGCTGTCTGTGTAATTGAAATTTCTAGACAAACAATTCATCTAAAATTCATCTGATTTCCTGGAACAGATTGGCACGATTCATGCATTCTCAAGTCTGGTTATTTGAGTCTTTAAGCGTACCTTTTTAAAAGTTATCTCTAGGATCTCTTCATGGTTGAAGACCTTTTATGCACTAAATATAGTTAATAGTCATGAGTAAGTTGTTAAGATTTCGTGTACTCTTCACGCTCCACAAACTGTTATCTGGAATGCTGAGGCAATATTGCACAGTGATGAAAATGTAAGTAACTTCTAGAACCTGAACTCTAACAAATACTTGCCCCTGGAGGCTTGTTAGCAGCTGCCTCCGCTTTCTCAGTTCTGGAATTACAACATTTCCATGGACGATTCCAGCCAACATTCAGAGACATCCCCACAATGAGAATAGCACATTCAAGAAACACACACACACACACACACACACACACACACAACTTCTAGTGGCCACTTCTCAAACTATAATATTTTCTGTGCTCAAGCTTCAGAGCTCAGAACCACACACACACACACACACACACACACACAAACAACTTCTAGTGGCCACTTCTCAAGCTATAATACTCACTACACAAGCTTCAGAGCTCAGAACCACACAAACACACAAACAACTCTTGTGAACTTTGGAAAGAAAGGGGTACCCTTGACTCTAACAATTCTGGCATATGTATGTGTCATATTCCTTCCTTCCTCCTCTAGACAAAATTTATTTTCCTAAGACCATTGAATTAGGTGGTAAACTCATTGATTTATTTTTATGTTCACCTTTCTTCAGATACCTCCCTTGAAATCTCAGAGGACTCCACCACTGACATAAATTCCCAGAGCACCATCAACATTAATCCTCCTTCTAAATATCTCACTAGTATTTTGAACTCATTCAGAGTCAAGGTTATTCTGAAGAACAGAATGGGAAACTGACATCTCTGACAACAAAGATGCCATTTTAAGTGATTACTCTCCATCATCACAATATACGACGTGGTATATTCTTCAGGATGTGCTAACTGCTAGAACTAACGTCCCCAAAATCACAATCACTAAACATTAGCACAGTGTTTTCTTGCTTATGTTAAAAGATAAACTTAGGCACGTTAAAATTGTAACAAGTTTGAGCATTAAACAATTCATGGACTGATCAGCACAGGAAGGCAAGCAGTTCAGCACCCCACTGGGAGGGGCAGGTGAGAGAGGAAACTTTTATGAGATGTTTATGAAAGAAAGACAAAGAAAATATATTTGGTTAGATAAAATGAAATGTTCCTAATTAGAGGTTAGTTGGAGATCTCTGATTGGCAAAGTCTCTAGTTAGAGGATAGTTGGTTGTATCTGATTGGTTAAGCTTAAAGTTTATTTTACTATTTACATTAAATTGGGTTTGGATTTGCTTAAGTAGGAACCCAAGGCCTTGGAGCTGTCTCAGTCTAGGTGCCTATCAGTTAATCATTTTAACACTTATATACCCCAAGGTGAACACTCCTGGTCAGGTGGTTCTCCTGGGCACCTCTACACTAAACAAAACCTCAGGAACCCAGGTGCTTCCATTCTGTGGCTTCAAGGTCCTTCTGACATCTTCAGCCATCCAATAAAGGAAAGAGAGAACAGAGGTTTGCCCAAAGGGTTTTGAAGCCAGTCTTGGAAATTGCATATCATCTCCACAACATTTCATTGACTAGAAAGTAGTCATGTGATTTTTATCCAATTCCAAGGGAGATAGGGAAATGCAGTCTTGTGTGCTCAGGAAGAGGAAATATAATTTCTGAGCCTCCAGCCCCTCTCTGCCATAGACTTCATTCTGACCACCAAATTTTCAGCTCATTCTTTGTGCTATATGCAAATCACTCATCCGCTTACCTATGAAGACAACTCAAAGTCACACCCAATCACGACATCTTCATCAGAGTTCAGGATCTCCACATGATGCTCAGTCCTTCCATCAGGGCTGGATATGGTTCCTTGTTTTCTGATAGCCTATGAATTAAAACATCAGTTATCTGCCTGTAACCACCACCACACACACAGGCGATATGCAATAGTGGAACAGAAGCAGGACAACAGTAATAAATGCTCCCACTTACAAAGGAAACAAGTAGGAAAAGCCTAGAAGTCAATGATCTACAGCAATTCTCAAGTCCATTTGAGTAGAAAATGTGAAGAGCCCTGATGTCATGATAGGAAAAGTTGTTTGAGAGGGTGTTGCTGATGCTGTCTGTGAGGAAGGTCCTTGTCCAGTTGACATGGTTTGCCTGTGTCCCCACCCAAATCTCATCTTGAATTGTAGCTTCCATAATTCCCATGTGTTATGGGAGGGACCTGGTGGGAGATCATTGAATTATGGGGGCAGTTTCACCCATATTGTTCTCATGGTAGTGAATAAGTCTCACGAGATCTGATGGTTTTATCAGGGGAAACCCCTTTCGCTTGGCTCTATTCACTCTCTTGCCATTGTAAGATGTGCCTTTCACCTTCTGCCATGATTGTGAGGCCTCCCCAGCCATGTGGAACTGTGAGTCCATTAAACCTCTTTTTCTTTATAAATTACCCAGTCTCAGGTATGTCTTTATCAGCTGTGTGAAAACGGACTAACACACCGCTCTTCTTTGCAGCTGCCTTCATCCTCTGCAAGCTCCATCTTGTCACTTACTCTTCTTGGTCATACATGAAGGGGGAGATGGAGAACGCCTTTTGAGACCCTTGGAAAACAGCCTCACGCTTATGGAATTTTGGAGTTTGAATGGTTGTCTGAACTCTAAAATGGTCAAAACTGGTGTTTGGTGGTTTTTAATTTTGTCTGTTTGTTTAGTTTATGGCTTATTTGTAGACAAAAATTCCTCAAAAACTTAATAGGCTTCTGATCAACTTACTTCCAGGTAGTCGTGTGTGCCAGAAACCACATTCATAGATCTTTCCTAGACATAATTCTCAAATATGTTTTATCTCTCTGCTTCCTTGCCATCATACTAGTTAATCTCATTCAACTTAATACCAGGTACCTTGAGGCTATAACTTCTGAATGGGAATACCTTATCTTGAAACTGATCTTTTTTTTGTGAATCAGTTTATTCACCTGAAAATATTTACTAAGCTGTTAGTGGCTAAAGTTTTTTTTTCTTTCTTTTTCTTCCCTTTGTGTAGTTTCATTTCTCACTGTTTGCATTCTAGAAACAGCTGACTTTTTCAATATTGCAAAACCTGAATTTCCAAACTCTCTCTATTTCCTCCCATTTATGCTTGCAAACTAGCCAATTCCTTCCCAAGCTTTTTCTTGGCCAAACACAGCCAATAAAAACCATACACCATTAAAATTATGCTTCTCATTTCTTTTCCTAGAGTTCAGTTTAAATAGGCACATATTCTACCTTCCAAGTGTTCACAGAAAATAAGTTTTACCAAATGTTTTGCCACTGCTTAAGATCACGATTTTTCAAGCAGTCAGTTTCAGTCTCCTATTGACCGCCACAAAATACTAAGCCAATTCCACATATTGTAATTTTTTGTTTTGAAAGCACTCCATGTCGACATACAAACATCTCTATTAGAATAGGCTAACTGCTGTAGCAAACATCTGAAAACCTTATTGGCTTAATGAAATAAGATATATTTTTAATTCAAGTTTGATGGTTCTCTTAAGTGTTTTCTCTGCAAACTGTGACTTAATAACCCAAGTGACCTCTATCTTATGGTTTTGCCATTTTACAAATTCAAGGCAATCTTGGAATAATCTAGTCAGCAGAGGAGGGAAATGAGAAGAGTTTAACACAGAAGATTTTATGATGATGTCTAACATTGATATACATAAATTCTGTGTATGTTTCTTTTTCCAGAACCCAATCACATGGTCCTACCACTTGATTAGGTATTAGGTCCTAACATGATTAGGTGTTAAGAGGTGATTAGGTCCTAATTACCTAACACCTGAAATCGCCAGGAATTAAAGTCTTCCCATGTGTGAAGGTAGGATTAGTGAGCATCTAGCCACTTTTAGAGTAAAATTCAGCTAGAGCCACAGATTATCCTAATATCGGCAAGTAAAGATCATCCAGTTCTAAAACATGCAACAAAAATGTATGAAAAACCCAGCCAGAGTCCTGACAATTTACTTTGTTAATATATTAACTAAAATGCATTGAGAATTTACTATTTGCCAGGTATTCTTCCAATTGTTTCATAATTATTAAATTATTGTCCTTAAAATAATCCCATAAGGTAGTTGCTATTATTATACCTATTGTATAGATGAGAAAACTGAGGCATAAATGGATTCAGAAACTCATCCAAGATCTCACAGCTAGTAAGTGGCAGAAGCAGAATTTGATCCCAGGCAATCAGGTTCTAGAGCATGGACTCACCCATTGTATTGTTC
Source organism: Homo sapiens (assembly GCF_000001405.40). Lineage (NCBI taxonomy): Eukaryota > Metazoa > Chordata > Mammalia > Primates > Hominidae > Homo > Homo sapiens. The sequence goes on from NC_000008.11 coordinate 33,211,506, forward strand.
ACCCTTTCTGATTTCTCCATGAGTTTCTCAAGTGACTAGTTTAGTTACTATTGTCTAATGGCATATTCTCTCTTCCCCTCTCCTGCCCAGAGAGGCATTTTCGGTCTTGTCTGCTTGTTTCCAGCCCTTTAGTGGTTCTCTAAAAGTCTACTCTTAATGTATTCCTGTACCGTTCTACAGCTGTATTAGTGAACACTTTGGGAGATTATCATCCAATTTATAAAGTGACAAGGGAAGAGTATAAAGGGAAATTAAGAAATACATTGAAGGGGTAGTGAGGAGAGCAAGGCAGCCCACATCTCACATATGCAGAGCGTGAGGCAAGAGCACAAACAGAGGCCCACATTCCATATGTCTAACACTTAAAAGTTATACATTAAGCCAGCACGATGTTAAATAAAATATACTTCATCCTCCTACCATGAAAAATATAATATCTTGGAATGCCAGGCTGAATACAGAATTATGGAACTCAAAATTTTATGCCTGAATGTGTTAGCATGGGAAGGAGCTAGCTCCTGATCCCCTGCCTTCCTTCTCCCTCCTGTGGGTTCATCCAATACTACAAAAGGCCTCTCACACATATGGGAAGACATCTCAGTGCGCACATTTGAGCTCTGTCCACACCACCGCAGCAAATAGCCACTCCTAAGTCTTCCATTAGGAGGGTAATTCCAGAGAAGAGGTAGGGACTGGAAGCTAGGCTGGCTGTTTCATAGGAAATTTCAGGTTCCTGACTATTCATAATATAAGTCTGGGTTTAAAGGGAGATAGATTCTGGGTAGGCACATTTTCTTGGCCCCCAGAATTCTCACACTATGGGAAAGGCCATATGAAGCCCAGAGCTGGGCTCTCTGAAGAATGGGACTGAAACTCCTGACATTCCCTTCTGACCATAAGGGAGTAACAGAGATCAGATTTGCCCTCCAGCCTCCAGCAGCCGACTTGAATTACAAATATTGTCAAAGAAAGTTCTTCAGATATAAGAAAAATAATAACAGATGATAATTTAGAACAATGTAAACAATTAAGAATTCCAGAAATGATAAATATGTGGCAAAATATAGAATGTATTTTTCTCATTTTTAACCTCATTGAAATATAACTGACCTTTTAAAGATATACTCTGAAAACACTTATCTACCAAAATATGGAGTGGATAATATTATTATGCAAGTAGCGTTTAAAACAAAACGTATTTATCAGACATAAAGATAAACATTTCATAATAATAAAGGCACTACTTCATCCAGAGGACATAACAATTGTAAACTTTTACACACCTAATAACAGAGCTTCAAAATGCATGAACCAAAATTGATAGGATTAAAAGATGAAACAAAGAAATTGACAATAGACTTGAAATGGGAAATAAACAAATTATGATTGCAGTAGGAGATTGCAACACTCCTCTAGCAGTAATTGATGGACAGGCAGATGGAAAACCAGCAAGAATATAATGCCCTTGAATAATCATTTCAAATAATTTAACCTAATTGACATTTATGAAACACCTCACATAATAGCAGCAGAATACATATTATTTTTCAGTGAATGTAGTACATTTACCAAAATAGATCATATGCTAGGTCATAAAACAAGTCTCAAAAAATGTAAAGGAGTTAAAACCATACAAGGTGTGTTCTCTGACCATAACAAAATTAAACTAAAAATAACTAACAGAAAGATATCTGGAAAATTCCTCCAATACTTGGAAATTAAACAACACATCTCTAAATAACATATGGATCAATAAAAAAATTGTAAGAGAAATTAGAAAATATTTTAAGCTGAATGAAAATGCAAATACAACAGATCAAAATTTGTAAGATGCAGTTAAAGCAACATTTAGAGAGAACTTTTAGCATTATATGGTTATATTAGAAAAGAATAGAAGTGGCAAATCAATGATCTGAGATTCCACTTTTAAAAACTAGAAAAAGAAGAGCAAATCAAACTTAAATAAATTGATGGAACAGAATAGAGGCCAGAAATAGAGCCACACATTTTTGATCAACTAATTTTTGACAATGGTGCCAAGGTGACTCAATTCATAACGGAGATAGTCTTTTCACCAAGTGGAACTTGAGCAATTAGACACACACACACAAAAATTAACCTTGATCCTTACCATCTCTGTATGTAAAACTTAACCTGAAATGAATCATAGACCTAAATATTAGAGTTAAAACTATAAAACTTCTAGAAGAAAATGTAGAAGAAAATCTTACATCCAGAATGTTTAAGGACTCTTAACAAATTGGTAAAACAAAGAAAACAACCCAGTTTTTAAAATGGGCAAAAGATTTGAATAGACACATCACCAAGAAACAATGACAAACATACACATGAAAGGGTCCTCAACTTCATTAGTCATCAAGGAAATGAAAATAAAAACCACAGAGTTAGTACTGCACGTTCTCTGGAATGGTGGAAGTTTAAAAGACTGAGTACCAAATGCTGGCAAGAATGTGGAGCTGTGAGAACTCTCATAGATTTTTGCTGGAAATGCAAAATGGTGTAACCACTTGGAAAACATTTTGGCATTTTCTTATACAATAAAGCATCCAATTATCATGAGACCCCCAAATCCCACTTCTGGGTATTTACTGCAGAGAAATAAAAACACATGTCCACACAAAGACTTGTATTCAAATGTTTATAGCAGTTTTACGTATAATAATCCAAAACTGAAAACAGCACAAACGGCCATTACCTGGTCCTCAGATGATAACTGTATTCTGTAATACTTAGCTATAAAAAAAGAGAAACTACAGACCATCCTGGCTAACACTGTGAAACCCCGTCTCTACTAAAAATACAAAATATTAGCAGTGCGTGGTGGTGGGTGCCTGTAGTCCTAGCTACCGGGAGGCTGAGGCAGGAGAATGGCATGAACCCCGGAGGCGGAGCTTGCAGTGAGCCGAGATCGCGCCCCTGCACTCCAGCCTGGGTGACAGAGCGAGACTCCGTCTCAAAAAAAAAAAAAAAAAGAGAAAGAAACTACTGATATGGAACAACATAGATGAATCCCAACAGCACTCTGCTCTGTGAAAGAAGCCAAACACTAAAGACTGGCTACTGTGTAGTTTCCATTTATACACAATTTTAGAAAAGATAAAATTATAATGACAGAAAGAAGATTAATATTTGCCAAGAATCAGGAGTAGAGGGAGAAGATTGATTCCAAGAAGCATGGGGACAGTTTTTGGGGTCGTGGGCATGTTCTATATCATGATTATGGTGGTGGTTTCATGACTGTAGAAACTTACCAAATTGTAGAAATTTACCATATATCTGTAGAAACTTACTAAATTGGACTCTGACAATTAATGAATGTTACATTATGTACGTTAAACCTCAGTACAACTGATTTTAAAGAGTGTGAACCCTAGAGCAGTGATCCCTTTTGCATGAGTATAAAGGCAGAAATGAAGAAAAAAAAGAACAAGCAAAAGAAACTGAAAATGTTTAATTTATAAGGTGAATAGAGACCCTGGTCATTGTATTAACAGTAGCCAACAATCACCACTATATATCAACAACATCTCATATTTAATGGTGGTTCTTATGTGCTAGGCACTCTTCTAAACTTCTTGAATTAACTCTTTTAATTTAGATAACAATCCTGGTAGTAAATCAAGCCTTTTAGTGAGGACATGGTCAGCACTGAATGCTGCATACAGAGGAGAACAAGAGTGGCATTGGTTTTTGTTTGTTTGTTTGTTTTGTTTTACTTTAAGTTCTGGGATACATGTGCAGAACGTGCAGGTTTGTTACATAGGTATACATGTGCCATGGTGGTTTGCTGCACCTATCAATCTGTCATCTAGGTTTTAAGCCCTGCATGCCTTAGGTATTTGTTGTGGCATTGTTTTATGCTAATGCATGTACATAGCAATTAGAAGGATGGGTTAAAGCTGCATTGCTATAGGTTAACTGTGAATTAGGAAAATTGAAGAAGCAGAAACAAAGAATGTAGACTGTTCCTTTAAGAACTTGGCTGTGAAAAAAAGAAGTGATATCGGATTATAGTCAAAGGAAAATTTGTATTTTTAGGACCTGACATTTTTAACGTGTTTATAGAATAAGAGAAAGGAGCTAGAAAAGATATAGATTCTAAAAATATAAGTGGTTGGGGAGATACTTGGTGAAAAAGGAGAACTTGGGTTCTTCACTTATTGGAGCCTCACCTATTTCCTTTCTATAAAAATAAAAATCATAATCCCAACTACAAAAATTTCCATGAGAATTACATGAAATAAAATATGTATTCTAGCCACTGTAGCTATTTTACTTTCTTTTTCATTTATTATTATACTACTTACTCTATAAAGTCCAAACCAGCTACAAGAAGTTAACTTGCTATAATATCCTCTTTCTGGGGTTTTCCATGAATCCTATTTAAAAGAGCAGGGGCAGAAAGAACTCAAGAAGTTTCAAATAAGTTATCATAATAGATATCAATGGCCACATCCACATACTGAATAGGAAACGAAGCATAGGAATAAATGCGATACTATTTGGAAATAGAGAGGAAGAGAGGACAAAAGACTGAAATAAGAAAACACATTAACCCCAAGGAAAAAAATTTATTGAGTACTTTGCCATTGGAGTAAAATAACCAGTACCTTTTATCTCAGATGATTGTAGCATTAAACTAACCAGACAAAAATGTTTATAAGCACCCTTGATTGCCTTCCATAAGAGGCATTAGCAATGTAGATCAACAAAACAGGTGAACTACGTGGGATTAACTGAACTATGAAAGTGGGGGTAAGAATGAATATTGAATTTTTATTTTTTAAACTATAATAATCACCTAAGGGACACATAAAGGCAGTCAGGAAATGTCAAAGATAAAAATGTTAATTAGGACATTTGGTTTCTTCTTAAAGCAAGCTGCAGTGTTGTCCTTTTTTCGACATTTGGAAGCTTTAAATTCTTCTCTGCCAACTCACCCTTGACTCATATACTCTTTCCTTTAAGAAAAAACAAAATCAGCTAAGATATTTATTTTTGGAGTTCATAGATTATGACCTCACTGGAGAGGTAGGTATCATGGAATCAAATGGCAATTCAAAGGTAAAATCTGTAGAAATATATTGCTAACATCCTGGAGAATATTCCGTATCCCTCAGACTAATACGCAGAAAGTCACTTTACTGTTCTCTGTGCTATCTATATTAGCATCTAGGTAAGAAAGGAATCCAGAGTTGGTGGAATGAGAGTGTGTTTTAGGGAAGCATAGAGCGACCATATTTCAGAGAATGGAGAGCTCTGCATGAATCACATGCATAGGCAACATCCACTTACATGCTCCTTACACATAGAAAGCACACATACATATAGACACATGTATGTGTCTGTGTTTGGCATGTGCATAAGAATCTTTTGAAGAGCTAGTTAAAAATAAAGATTCCTAGCTGGACACAGTGGCTTATGCCTGTAATCCAAGCAATTTGGGAGGCCGAGGCAGGTGGATCACTTGAGGCTGGGAGTTCAAGACCAGCCTGGTCAACATGGTGAAACTTCAACTCTACTAAATATACAAAAATTAGCTGGGTGTGGTGGTGGGCACCTGTAATCCCAGCTACTTGGGAGGCTAAGGCAGGAGAATCGCTTGAACATGGGAGGCAGAGGTTGCAGTGAGCTGAGATCGTGTCATTGCGCTCCAGCCTGGGCAACAAAAATGAAACTTCATCTCAAAAAAAAAAAAAAAATGCCAGGTGTGGTGGTGCACACCTGTAATCCCAGCTACTCCAGTGGCTGAGGCATAAGAATCACTTAAACCTGGGAGGCGGAGGTTGCAGTGAGCCGAGATTGTGCCACTGCACTCCAGCCTGAGCAACAGAGTGAGTCTCTCTCTCTCTCTCTAGATAGATAAATAGATAGATAGATAGATAGATAGATAGATAGATAGATAGATAGATAGATTGATTCCAGCCGCACACAACCCAACTTCCCACTCTATCCACTTTTGTTAAGTCTAGGGTTATACTCAGGAGTATGCATTTTTAACCATCACTCCCAAGTAATTTTTATGCAGGAAGTTTGAAGACCTTACTTATAAAAACACTATTATAGAGAAATTTTTAAGTTGTTCACACAGAGGAAAAGAATGCTACTGTAATTAGTACCTTTAGCTAAGCTGCCCTTGCTTAAGCAGAGTAAGAAAACCTAAGTGATCAGATTTCTGGAGCTCTGGATTCCTTGAGGTGACACAGTCATTCCGTAATGAGAGGTCACACTGAATATGCAGACTTATCCTCTACAAAAGTAATGCATTGATTTACATGCACATTCAGAGTAGAATACCCATCTATGCATAATTTGGCACTGTCTATTACTTCTGTGCTAGAGATGCAAAGCTACAGGAGACAGCACACAGAAGGTCCTGGCTTCTACGTTTCTTGATCAGTTTCATCTCTAGTAGCCTTCACCTTAACTACACTTTATTATTCCACTCCTACATGACCACAACCTACATAATTTAGCTTCACTTAAAACTGCTGGCTGGGCGCGGTGGCTCACGTCTCTAATCCCAGCACTTTGGGAGGCCGAGGTGGGTGGATCACCTGAAGTCAGCAGTTCAAGACCAGCCTGGCCAACATGGCAAAACACCATCTCTACTAAAAATACAAAAAATTAGCTGGGTGTGGTGACAGGCACCTATAATCCCAACTACTCAGGAGGCTGAGGCAGGAGAATCTGAGGCGGGAGAATCACTTGAACCAGGGAAGGGAAGGATGCAGTGAGCAGAGATCGTGCCATTGCAGTCCAGCCTGGGCGACAAGAGTGAAACTCCATCTCAAAAAAAAAAAAAAACTGCTGAAACTCTGAAATATTTCCATCAAATATTCTCCTCAATAACCTCAAAGACTTATCCTTCCAAGCTGGGCTTCTCCGAGACCTCTGCTCCTTGGTTCACCTCCCTTTGCCAGGGTTCTCCTGCCTTCTTTTCTGGTTCATTTGGATTTCTTCATCTTAACAATTTTCTTGGCACTAAAAGCCACTGCCTTCTTCATTATTTCTTTCTTTCCTTTTTTTTTTGTTTTTTTGCTTTGTTTTGTTTTGTTTTGCTTTTTAGATGGAGTTTCTCATCACCCAGGCTGGAGTGCAATGGTGTGATCTCAGCTCACTGCAATCTCTGCCACCCGGGTTCAAGCGATTCGCCTGCCTCAGCCTCCCCAGTGGCTGGGATTATAGGCACCCGCCACCATGCCTGGCTAATTTGTGTATTTTTAGTAGAGTTTCACTCTCTTTAGTGGAGTTTCACAGGGTTTCACCATGTTGGTCAGGCTGGTCTCGAGCTCCTGACCTCAGGAAATCTGCCCACCTCAGCCTCCCAAAGTGCTGGGATTACAGGCATGAGCCACCACGCCTGGCCATTATCTTTCTATCTCAAAGAACACATACTCTAGACCAATCCAAGGAACCATTTTCTTGGTACTTACTCTGGGATGTTGGGCTTGGTTACAGACACTCGCAAAACAATGCAGATGATTGCTACTAAGAATTCATGATCTATAAACCTCAAAAGACTTCTTGAAATTTCTCAGAAATTCTTTTGTATTGACACACTGTCTACCATTCTTTGTCATAGCTATTTTCAATCATTGCCACTCTCTTCAAACTTAATCCTTCACCCTCAGGGGAAAATTCACCTCCTGTTTCATAGAGAAGTAGGGCACACCAGACAAGAACCATTAAACTTTCTATCTCCAAACAACAAAGGTGTCTGCACCTGCTCGTGTAATCGTGGATAAAATACTGCTTTTTCTGTTCCCAGAGAACCCAGCATTGTGCTCCAGATCCCTTTTCTTCTTTTGTTTCTCGAAGTATCACCTGGGAAACACCAGCATGATTACCACCTAGGGAGGCTGGCCAGGTACAGAAGCCTCAGTACAACCTTCAGAATCAGAACCTCTAGATTTGGCATCAAATAATTGTGCATTTTAAATTTTTTTTCAGGGGTGATATTTGTTCTCCCTCAAGTATAAAATGACTGTCCTCTAGTCTCGTGACTGGGTCTTTAACATCTCCCATCAATATTTACACTTGTACAATTCTCCCTCATCAACCTTGAGTACCTGTCTTCTGCCCCACAAGACTCATTTTTCTCTTCTGCTTTAGCAACAAATTTCTTGAAACAGTTGCTACTCTTACTTTCTATGTTTTCTAAGTTAATATTCCCTTTTCAATTGACTGCTTCTACCACCACCACCAAATCCTATCTACTGAAACTACTTTGAAAGTCACTAATCTCCTTATTGCTGAATCCAAGATGCACATTTTTGTCCTTTTCTCACTTGATCTGCTGATAGTATTTGACTCAATTGGCTTCCCTCCTCAAAAACTCCCTTCCCTGGACTTCCAGAATGTTGTATAAGCTGCTGCATCTCCATTATAGCTGACTCCTATTCTTTACTCAAGTCTTTTTTTTTTTTTAGACAGAGTCTCACTTTATCACCCAGGCTGGAGTGCAGAGGGAGCGATCTTGGCTCACTGCAACTTCCACCTCCCAGGTTCCAGCAATTCTCATGCCTCAACCTCTGGAGTAGCTGGAATTACAGGTGCATCCCCCCACATCCGGATAATTTTTGTATTTTTACTAGAGACGGGGGGTTTCACCATGTTGGCCAGGCTGGTCTCGAACTCCTGGCCTCAAGTGGTCCACCCAATTTAGCCTCCCAAAGGGCCGGGATTACAGGCGTGAGCCACTGTGCCCTGCCTGCTCATCTCTTAAATTGGAGTACTCTAATTTCTTTTCTAGAATCTCTCTTCTTTTAATTTACATAGGTATTTCTGAGGAAATTCCATCTATTTCCAAATCTTTAAATATTATATACAATCTGATGAATAATACCAAGGTACACAGATGGCAAATAAGCATATGAAAACATGCACAACAGTATATGTCATTAGGGAACTGCAAATTACAGCAACAGTGAAATACCACTACACACCTATTCAAATGGCCACAATCCAAAACACTGAAAACACCAAAATGCTCACAAAGATCTAGAGGAATAGAAACTCTCATTCATTGCTGGTGGGAAGGCAAAATGGTACATCCACTTTGGAACACAGGTTGCTAGTTTCTTACAAGGCTAAACATAGTTGTATTATATGATCTGGCAATCACACTCCTTACCCAAATGAGCTAAAGATTTATATACACACAAAAACTTTCATAGGAGTGTTTATAGCAATATCATTCATAATCACTAAAAATGGAAAGCAAGCAAAATGTCCTTCAATAGGTAAATGGATAAACTGTGATATATTCATATAATGAAACATTATTAAGTGTTTAAAAAAAGAGCCAAGGGAATATGGGAAATCTCTGTATTTTCTGCTTACTTTTGCTGTGAACTTAAAACTGCTTTAAAGAAAATAAAATCTATCTTAAAAATTGAGCTATCAAGCCACCAAAAGACTTAGAGATACATTAAGTACCTATCACCTAGTGAAAGAAGCCAGCTGAAAAAGTTCTATGTACTGCAGATTCTAACTCTATTACATTCTGGAAAGGTAAAACGCTAAGTAAAAAGAGCATTGGTTTCAGGGGTAAGAGGAAGGGAGAAATAGGTGGAGCACAGGAGATTTTTAGGGCAGTGAAACTATTGTGTATAATACTATAATGGTAAATGCATGACATTATGTATATGTCAAAGCCCAGAGAATTCCACAACACAAATAGCAAACCTTAATGCAAACTATGGATTTCAGGCAATAATAATGTATCAACAGTGGTTCATCAGTTATAACAAACGTACTGCACTAATGCAAGATGTTGATAACAGGGGAAACTCTGTGTACCTGATATGGGGGGAAGGTCTATGGGACTCTGTACAATTTTTCTGCAATCCTAAAACTGCCTTAAAAAATGAAGTCTACTTAGAAAATAACAAATTGGTTTTTTAAAAGTCTATTTTAAAAATCTATCCACATTTTTCCACTGCATTTTTCATACACTTGTTCAGGCCACATCCACATTTGCCTTTAATTTACTATTACCACCTCCTACTCGTCTTTAAATTCTCCCTCTAATCTATACATTACACATAGTCCACTCTGCAGCAAGTGTGATGTTTTATAACTATATAAAAATAATCAACAACCCCATCAAAAAGTGGGCAAAGGACATTAACAGATACTTCTCAAAAGAAGACATGTATGCAGCCAACAAACATATGAAAAAAAGCTCAACATCACTGATCATTAGAGAAATGTAAAACAAAACCACAATGAGATACTATCCCACACCAGTCAGAATGGCGATTATTAAAAAGTCAGGAAACAATAGATGCTGGTGAGGCTCTGTAGAGATAGGACCACTTTTACACTGTTGGTGGGAGTGTAGATTAGTTCAACCATTATAGACAGTGTGGCGATTCCCTAAGGATCTAGAACCAGAAATACCATTCGACCCAGCCATCCTATTACTGGGTATATACCCAGAGGAATATAAATCATTCTATTATAAAGATACATGCACATGTATGTTCACTGCAGCACTATTCACAATAGCAAAGACATGGAATCTACCCAAATGCCCAAAAATGATAGACTGGATAAAGAAAATGTGGTACATATACACCATGGAATACCATGCAGCCATAAAAAGGAACGAGATTGCATTATTTGCAAGGACATGGATGAAGCTGGAAGCCATAATCCTCAGCAAACTAACACAGGAACAGAAAAACAAACACAGCATATTCTTACTCATAAGTGGGAGGTGAACAATGAGAACACATGGACACAGGGAGTGGAACAACACACACCAGGACCTGTCAGTGGGGTGAGTGGAGGGAGAGCATCAGGATAAATAGTTAATGCATGTGGGGCTTAATACCTAGGTGATGGGTTGATAGGTGCAGCAAACCACCATGGCACACGTTTATCTATGTAACAAACCTGCACATCCTGTACATGTATCCCGGAACTTAAAATAAATTTTTTAAAAAATCGTCATCATCATCATGTTTCTCTTTAGCTTTTAATACTTCAGTTGTTTCCTATTGCCTTCAGAATATGATTGTGAATCCTTAACATGGATCATTAGTGTCTTATGACCTCACTCGCCTCTCAACTCCCCACAAAACCTGCCCCCTCCTGTGCCGAATTGCCTGCAAATTCCCAAGCCCGTTCTGTTTTTACTCCTCTCTACCTTGCTCACATAAATCCTGTTCTTTTTCTAGTCTCACCTTAAACATCTTTTCCTCTAAGAAACCATCCCAGTTTGGCCAAAAATAAGTCCTGACAACCTTCAAGTTTGGAAACAGAATTTTATGAATTTCTAATTTATACATCCAATAACTCACTTGATTGCATTTTAGTAAGACCCTGAGAAATGCATTCCAGCCTAGACTCTGGCTTTAATGGGTAAAACAAAAGCATCTGAGAACAAAAAGAAAAAATATTCCACTCAGCCATATGTGCGTGATTGGCTTTCCAAGTACAAGTGTATCTGGACTGGATATCAGCCTGGATCCAAATGAGGACTCCCAGGCCCCGATCCCACATCACAACCAAAACAAAGTTAAAGTGACCCCTGGGAAATTGACAGGTCATCACAGCTGTTCTGGAGTGCATGCGGGCAGATTACTCTAGGTGATAGTGGTGATTGCTCTGGAGTCTTAAATATTATTTAAAAAAAAAACAGTCCAGCTGCAAAGGAAGAGTCACTTGGGCCTAGTAGGAAGAGGTGAAGGGTCAAAGCCAAGGTGAAGGTCTGAATTAAAAACATGCTTGGTCCTCAAAGCTACAAGACAGGAGAAGAGGCAAATGTTTTCTCAAATACTGAGGCCTAAAAGAGTAAACAATGGCTGTGCATTTTCCTCCTTTTTTCAAACAAAATTCAATAAAGTGATCAGCACTTCTGCTAGAGGTGGTGATAATTGCATCCAATCATCTTTAAGCAACTGGGCTTGGCTTTGTCAAAAATGTGTAAATGGCAGGCTCAGATTTTAATACTTTGAAACTCAGGTTGAGAGGCAGAGATCCAGATGGGGGAAGGAAAAGGGAAAGTGTGAACTGGAGAGTGTCAGGCAATGCCGGGAACTAGAGAAGGTGATAATAGTCCTACACCTCAGCCTCCCCAAACACCCAGGGTGGCCTTAAGCTGAGGCAGGCGGAGGGGGTGGGACTGTTGTACAAGGAACCACAGCCAGCATTCACTTCTACAGCTGCCTGGACACTTAGTTAATCTGCCCTCTGCCTTAGACCCTCCAATACAAGTGATTGATGCACTGCCCTTGGAATGCTGGTTCATGCATTCATTTATTCATTCATTCATGCACCATCCATTCAACAAACATTCACTGGAACCAGGCACTAGAGATACAGTGACAAGGGAGACAGACAAAATCCTTGATCTCATTGAGCTAACATTCTGGTTGGGGAGAGAGACAACAAGCAGATAAACAAATGCATATGCAAAATAGTGTCAGAGAGTGATAAGTATAATGTAGGAAAAAAGCCTAGGTTAAGAGAATAGAGGGACAGCATTAAGAAAAAAACAGTAAATGCATGCTGGGCTTAATACCTAGGTAACGGGTTGATAGGTGCAGCAAACCACCATGGCACACATTTACCTATGTAATAAACCTGCATATCCTGCATATGTACTCCGGAACTTAAAATTAAAAAAAAAATTTAAGATAATAGAGGGACAAAGGGTGCTGTTTTAGTAAAGTGGCCCAAAAAGTCCTCTTGATGGTAACATTGAAGTGGACGCTTACAGGAACTGAGTGAATAAGTCAGGTGAGTGTCTGTAGGAAACAGGTCCAGGCAGGTGCACAGGCCCAAAGTGGAACAGGCTTGGGGACACTACAAGAAGAGCCATAAGTAAGGTAGAGAGGAGACATTGGTCATCAGGGAATCTTAGCCAGGCCACAGCCTTGTTGACTTTTATTCTCAATGTGATGGGAATCCCTAGAGGATTGGGTGCAGGGAAGCAAATGTAACAGGTTTGTTTATTTGTTCACAGTAAAGGACACACCCAATCTTCCATCTTAACAATTTTTAAGTGCACAGTTCAGTGGCATTACATGCATTCCTGTTGTCCTGCTATCACTATCATCCTGCCACAGAGCTCTTTTCATCTTGCAAATCTGAAACCGTACCCATTAAACAATCCCCATGTGCCTCCTTTTCACAACTTCTGGAACCCAACATTCTCCTTTCTGTTTCTACTCATTGGACAACTCTGGGAACCTCACAGAAGTGGAATCATACAGTCTTTGTTCTTTGGTGACTGGCTTATTTCACTTAGTATAATGTCTTCAAGGCTCATCCACATTGTAGCATGTGCCAGAATTTCTTTCCTTTTTAAGGCTGAATAATATTCCATTGTATAAATATAGAGTTGTTCCTCAGTATCCATGGGAGATTGATTCCAGAAACCCTGTTGAATACTAACATCCAAGGATGCCCAAGTCCCTGATATAAAGTGACATAGTATTTGCATATCACCTATATACATCCTCTCATATCAGCAATGTGACTTTGTGGTTTTTGGTTGAAAGACTCTTCTAGATGGGTGGAATATTAATGCTCTGCTAATGAAACACTGCTAATTGGCTAGCAGAGAATTAGACTTGTCTTATTTTTCATCAAGGCTTAGTCCCTCTGGCTGTTCATATTGAACTCTTTAGTCTGGAATTGGTCACTGTGTTAAAATAAACACACGCTTATTATCTGAGGTGTTTTTAGCCTAGCATATGATGGTGATGCTGGACTTGGTTTAGGCCACCAGGCCTACAGCAATAGGAACACAGCAAGATTTGTGGAGGACCAGATGACTCCATCCACAGTCTCTTCTCAGTCAGTAATCTCTATGGGAACTTTGCTGAATTTGGCTAGAGGCTGAGGTATGAGTGATACTACATACAACATCTCACACACATATATCTAGCTAAAGAAAGCTGGGAAATGGTGGCTCACCCCTGTAATCCCAGCACTTTGGGAGGCCAAGGCGGGCAGATCACAAGGTCAGGAGATTGAGACCATCCTGGCCAACATGGTGAAACCCCGTCTCTACTAAAAATACAAAAAATTAGCCGGGCATGGTGGCGGGCGCCTGTAGTCCCAGCTACTCAGGAGGCTGAGGCAGGAGAATGGCGTGAAACCGGGAAGTGGAGCTTGCAGTGAGCCGAGATCGTGCCACTGCACTCCAGCCTGGGTGACAGAGCTGGGAAACAAGGCAGGCACTTCTTTTGGAAACCAATTCCCAAGGGAAGACTGAAAGCTAAGAACCCCAGAAAGTCACCACTCTTCACCAGGGTTCAGCTATCCCTTCTGCCATAAATATGACTTCAGGGCTAGATTAAGGAATGCAGGTTTGTTCTGTTTAAGAGCAAACTGCCACATCTTATTTGTATTTATGCACAGGGACCTGGAAGAGTTTGGAGATATGAGAGGGGGTGAGCTGTGATTTCTCAACTTCACGGTTCTTTCTAACAGTGTTCAGTTATTTTATTTTTGAGGCAAACCAGCGTACATTTTGCTCAGTAGATCAAAATATTCATCAGAATTGTTTTGTTAATAATGACATTTAATAAATAGCTTCTGTCTCACCTTTTTAGGATATGATCTACAAATCCTTCCCAGGACCTAAAGAGTTTTTGAACTTTTAAAACGACAAGCATTTTATCTCAAATTGCTAGGCTAAAAACACCTCAGATAATAAGCGTGTGTTTATTTTAACACAGTGACCTATTCCAGACTAAAGAGTTCAATATGAACAGCCAGAGGGGTTAAGCCTTGATGAAAAATAAGACAAGTCTAATTCCCTGCTAGCCAATTAGCAGTGTTTCATTAGCAGAGCATTCATATCCCACCCATCTAGAAGAGTCTTTCAACCAAAAACCACAAAGTCACATTGCTGATTGCCTGCCAAAATCCACTCTCCCGCCAGATTATACACAATCCCAGAGGCTCAGAAGACAGACAGTGCACAGGGAACTCTCATGAAAAAGTTAACAGGGATAAGTAAATATGTAAGTGGTCATGAGGGAAAAAACTGGTACCGGTAAGGTTTTGGGGAGCATTTCCTCACCTAAGTTTTTGTTTTTCATCATACAATATTTTATAGCATATTCATATTTTTCCAAGATTGTCTTATATAACAATAACAATAAGCATTTGCATTTAAGTGTTTAGTTTACATAGTGGTTTTATTATACAGTATCTTTTTTAAAAACCCAAAACTTCTTTCAGTTTATTCAAAATAAAAATACACATAGAATTATGAAAATATAGGTTTACTATTTCCACCACATAGGTTGATGCTGCTGATGAAAGGCTTACAAACTGGTTTTCAAGTTTTTAAAACTCATCTTGATCCCTGAATATAGTATGCCTATATTCACGGGGTGTTAATTTCTGGAAGGAGCTCTCAGGTGGACAGCTTGCTACATCTTGGTCTTGCTCTCCTGGGGCGATATCGGTTGGGACAGGTCCATGATGGAATTCTCTGTGCAGTTGTCCAGAATGTAAGTCAAATACAAATTGCTTGAGTTTTCCAGGAATTAATACATCTTCGAAGTCTCCAAACACATACATATGCCTAAAGCTGTCAATAGTGATTACAGGACAATCTGCTGGAGTTTTCTCCAGCATTTAAAGTGGAGAAGATCTCCATGAGGTAGGTGAACCCAATTCCATATGTGAGAAGTTCAGGTGTCTTACTTAATTAAGGTGCACACCTCTTTGACTTAAACAAATTGTACAGCAAACACCCATGAGTGTTGGGGGACACTCATGTAAATGATTTTGGTTTGGTGTTAGGGACATAGAAAGAAGGATTTTAAAATAAAGACTATTTTTTTTATAAAAAGAGAGAATTGGGGATGCATATTGTAACTTCGGGGTGTGGCAGCTGCCCAGGTTCTACAGTTGCACATCATAATAGTTTTTGCTCACGCTCAGACATTAGATGGCCTTAGCTTCTTAACCCAGATTTTCCCTTGATGTACTCTGTAATCTCAGGGAAGCTAAATAACCTAAGCCTCAGTTTTACCAATACGTAATGTGGGGAAAGTAATACCATCTCCCTCTTGGGGGTCATGAAAACAATGTCGTACTCTGCATAAAGTGGGCCTCCCAGTGCCTGGTACATACTAGGTATCACTGAGAGGAGGCTATTGTGATGATTCTCGTCCATAGCTCCCAGAACCACAGAGAATACAGCCTTTGGGGTGGGGAGGTCACACAGTTCAGGTGGAGCTGCTGAGTTTGAGTTTAGGAGTCTACTTATTGCTGCTTAATAGGCAACAAGGGCTTGGAATACCGAATAGGGCTGTGCCAAGGAAACAAGTTGAGATAGCTCAGAGAATGGAGTTTCTTCTCTTCCTGGCCTTGTAAAAGCTGCGGTTGGCAAACACCTTTCTGAGTTCCCATGAAATTCTCCACTTAGTTGTTTCTCTGTGGCTCACTATTAGTGAAATGCCCTCTGTTTTATTATTTATTTATTAATTAATTTATTCTAGAGATGAAGTCTTGCTCTGTTGCCCAGGTGGGAGTGCAGTGGCACAATAATAGCTCACTGCAGCCCCAAACTCCTGGACTCGAGCAATCCTCCTGCCTCAGCCTCCTGAGCAGCTGGGATTACAGGTGCACACTGTCACGCCTAGCTAATTTGTTTTTAATTTTTATCTTTTTAGAGACAGGGTCTCGCTATGTTGCCCAGGCTGGTCTTGAACTCCTGGACTCAAGCAATCCTCTTACCTCAGCCTCCCAAAGTGCTGAAATGTTCTTGAAGAAGGGAGTATTATTTTTTGACCACTTGGTTTCCCAGTCTATTTTTAGAACTGAAGCCCTCTTTCAGGTTCTCTTAATTCACATTTTATTTGATCAATTTTTTCAATCATCTCTCTTATTTAAAAAGTCTTGTATAACCCATAGTTTATTTTTAATTGTAATAATTTCAAATACATTTTATCTTGAAACTTTGACATTCTTTGACTGTTTTATATCTAGTAGCTACATTTCATACACACCAGGTACCCAATAAATGTTGATCAATGAATCAATGTGAGGTACACAAAGGTGTAGAAAAGTTGAAGTTTCAAATTATTAGCCAAGAAATGTATGCTGCCCCCTGCAATTGAAACATTTACCTGTGAGTTGTCAAGAATGGTAGAAAGTTTTACCTTTAGGAATATTGAATATGGTCCCATGGTGGGTGGGTCTTTTATTTTTATTTTATTATTTTATTGAGACAGAGTCTCACTCTGTCACCCAGGCTGGAGTGCAGTGGCATGATATTGGCTCACTGCAACCTCTGCCTCCTGGATTCAAGCAATTCTTGTGCCTCAGCCTCCTGAGTAACTAGGATACAGGCATGCACCACCACACCTGGCTAATTTTTATTATTTTTTTTTTATAAAGACATGGTTTTGCTTTGTTGCCCAGGCTGGTCTTGAACTCCCGGGCTCAGACATTCCTCCTGCCTCCGCCTCCCAAAATGGTGGGATTACAGGCATGAGCCACAATGCCTAGTTGGGTAAGACTTTTAAGCAAACCCCACTGCAGAGAAATACTGTCTATTTCTCAACCTTCCCCCATCCCCCTTTTTCTCAACCTTCCTGCATCCCCTTCCTCCACTCCAATACATATCACTGAGAGAGCATATTCATATAAGTAGTACTAGTGTACTGCCAAAATAGTTTTTGTTGGAGCTTTTCGAATAGCACCCTTCTCTGCAAAATTCTGAACCAATTCAGGAATAAGACAAAGAAGAAAGGCAGATGGAAGGCCAAAGTGTCACATGTACTACTGATTGCACAGATGCCACTAGCTTCCCCATCTGTTCGCTCTCTTTGGGATCACATTTCCAAGGCTCCCTTGAAGTTAGGTGAGTCCACACGGCTGTGTTCCCTGCAGTGGAATGCAAGTGGCTAGGATGTCTCCATTTCCATGCATCCTTCCATTCATGATGCTTCACTCCCTTTTGCCTTTCTGGTGAACAGGAATGGATATTCAGGGAAACCCTGAAAGTTACACGTTGAAGAGAGCAGAGCAGAATGACTGCATGGAGGAGTGGAGTCCTACTTACCTGAACACTACCCTTGGACTGTGATGAGACAAAGAAATAAGCTTCCTCCCCTTTGGTTACCAGATTTGTTGGTGTCTTCTCTTATCACAGCTTAACCTTAATTCATGATGAGGCTGATGTTGGAGACAATGTCTTACGTCTGTGTGTAGGCAAATCTCAGCATCAGGCAGACTTCTCCATCCAGCCCTTCTGACCAGGGTTTCCTCACGTTCTCCCTGCTCCTCATCCCCCAGGGCTGGCAGGATCCCAGCAGAAAGCTTGCGCCAATGACCCTCCCTGGGATTATAAATAACATTCTGGATAGCTGCTTCTGGAAAACACTTCGGATAGTTTTTTATGGAAGGGTGCGAGGAATAGAATTGGGAAGTGGAGATAAAAGGGAATAAATAAATAAAAGAAGAAGAAGTAGGGAAATAAGCTCCTTCTGTATTAGCCTGGAATCTAACCCTGGTCCACAACCAACTCTACTTCTCTTTCATCAGCTACATTTTGGCATCCTGTCCACGTGCTCCCCTGAATCCAATCTTGGCTTGCTTAGATTGGTTTTTCTTTCCCACCTCAGCCCACACAGCTGGAAATTCTGCAGAAGCAGAAGTCTGCCAAAAACAATAGTTTTGCTAAATATCCAAAAACAAGGGAATTGTTATATAAATTATGAAGTATCTTGTCAGTGGAGTATTATTCAATCATTGAACATGATAAACATGAAGCCTTTGTAACAACATAGAAAATGTCTCTGAAATCATGTTACCAAAGAAAAAAAGCAACTCATCAAACTGCACGTGCAAGGTCGCCACAACATAAAACAATATACGCATGGGAAGAAAGCTTTGGATGAAACATGGAGAAAATAAAGCAATGATTGGGTTAGAATAGTGTGCTAAAAATATTTTTATTGTTTAATTAAACTTATTATTTTTAAATGATAAAAGAAATGGTTTTTTTGCTGTCCCTACTCAACGATGCTTCAAAGGGGTAGTACTCCTACCCCTCCTTACCAGCCCTGGGAATCACCCCAGTTGAGAGCAAAGAGATGCCTGGCAGAGCTCTGAGAGGGGCCTGACTCCAGACACCTCGTGGTCTGCACCAATTCAGACTCTGAACACAAAGCCTGCTGGTGCTTCCATATGTCCTTGCTTTATTTTTAAGGCTTTTAAGATTCTAAGCATTTTGATGGCGCTGTTGTCTCCCTTAGTAACTAGACACCCAAATAGAAATACTTCTAGCCTCCCTCCTCTCTGATGATCATGGTTAACGTGACATTGTTATAGAGGGCTAATGGAAAATCTATGTCCTCAGATAATTTGAACAGATCAATATAACTCTCTACTGACAAAATTTATGAATGTGGGATTTGCATTCCTTTCACTGTTCAGGAAGGTATTTATAACAGGGTCAACTTTTAGCTATTTTTGTCATCTTGAAATCTACATAACGAATGCATGTATGAAAAGTACTCAATGCCAGCAGGATGCAAATTAATGCACACTGCACATATTTCTTACTTCAAAACATTTCATATCTCAGAAAGCTTAGTAGTTTATCACTGTCCTCCCCATCTCTATCCCAGCAGCTGTGTCTTCTTGGTTGAAGGGAAAAGACAATGTGCAGTTGTCATTTGTGCGTACCAAGCCCTTGTCTTGGCCTCCCCAGTGTGAAATCTATGAGGGAAACTTTCCATAGATATGAACTCCTGGCTCCAGGCTTTTCAAAATGCCCACAGAGTTCAAGCAGCTTCAGATAAGGCCCTCAGACAAAGGAGAGAAACCACCCTGGGAGCAAATTAGACAGAAGGATAGAGAATATGACAGCTGAACAAACTGTAGGTATTCTTGCTCAGGGGGATGAGAATTGAAAAAAACATAAGCAGCCACTGGATGAGATTAATAAATTTTTGACTAGGGAATTTGACCCTAAAACTCATTTCTCAGTTCAGTGGGGGCAGGAACAAATCACAGGCAGCTGACAGATGCATGCAACATACTGTGAGGCCGGGTGCAGAGAAGCAAGGCTTGCCCCAGGCAGCAGTCTCCTCTGTGGTCTCCCACTCAGCCCCTGATCAGGTTTAGCCAGAGTTGGTCTTGGCCATAGAAAACCACATCACCCCTTTACCAACCTCCCTTCTCACCTCCAACCCTCTTTTTTCATCTCACCCCATATCAAATACAATTGCCTAAGTTTCTATTCCCTTCTTTGTCTTCTGCAGAACTTTCTTTTTCCCCTATATTATTACTTATCACACTTTCTAGTAATTATTTATTGTGCTTGTTTCCACCATTATGCTTTGAGTATTCCTTGAGGACAATGTCTTTCTCCTATCTCTGTATCTCTGTATCCAACAGTGCCTAGGAATGGGCCTAGCACCTAGTAGGTGTTCAATAATCTTTCGTCATATTAGTATTGACTTTCTAACCTAGAGACAACCAGATTGTTCTCTTTCTAGACTGGAAGGCCTATGAGGAGAGAAAAGGGCTTTGTTATTCACCACTCTTATTCAGTCCTCAGCAAAAAGAAGTACCCATTAAGGATATATTGAAAATCAAATTATTCTTTACAACACTCTTTCCAGAGATGTCTGCCTTCCATGGCCCCTTCACAGATACTTCTCCAGAAATACTAGGCGAGAGAGAGGACGAGCTATAATGTTGTTCACCATAAGAAATAATCTTTGTAATTACCCTCTGCTATAATGCTGATTCTATGTGGCATGCTCTGGAATTTGAACAGCAAACACAGGACTCAGTGTCAGGCCCATCACACTGTAGCCTCCTAGATGTGCTTATACAAATGATGGGGGAGGTATAAACACATCTAGGAGGCTACAGTGTGACATGGGGCATGATACTGAGTCAAATAATAATGGATGTTACTAAATCTGAATACCTCTGTGCCAAGCAAAGATGAAGATGTTCCCTATGAGCTAGAATAGTGATGTAGTTTGGCAGTGTCCCCACCCAAATCTCATTTTGAATTGTAATAATCCCCACTTGTGAAGAGTGGAGCCAGGTGGAGGTAACTGAATCATGGGGGAGGTTCCCCCATAATGTTCCTGTTTTGGTGAATAAGTCTCATGATATCTGATGGTTTTATAAAGGAGAGTTGCCCTTGCACACACTCTCTTGCCTGACGCCATGTAAGATGTGCCTTTTTTCGCCTTTGCCTTCTGCCATGATTGTGAGGCCTTCTCAGCCATGTGGAACTGAATGTATTAAACTTCTTTCCTTTGTAAATTACACAGTCTTGGGTATGTCTTTATTAGCAGTGCTAGAACAGACTAATACAAATAGGGTGAAAAGTTTTAACATGAGCTTTAAGCTGCATTTTCCATGTAACCATCACATCCCAAAGGACTTTTTTGTTTTTTTAATTGAAATGGAAACTTCTTATTTTGTACTTGGAAATGCAGCATTGTCTTCTGAATTCATTAAAATTTTGTAGTCATACTTCTAGTTCAAGGTATAAGAATGTAATAAGAAAAGGTTTCTCCCTTTCTTTCATGTTAACGAATTTGAAAATATAAAAATCCATACTGAAGACTCAAAAGTCTTCTAATAAAACTCTGATTCCACCAAAGACACATTGCTGAGACATTTTGAAATGATATGCAAATTAACACCACAGGCCAGGCGCAGTGGCTCACGTCCGTAATCCCAGCTCTTTGAGAGGCCGAGGCAGGTGGATCACTTGAGGCCAGGAGTTTGAGGCTAGCCTGGCCAACATGGTGAAACCCATCTCTACTAAAAACATAAAAAATTAGCTGGGCATGGTGGTACATACCTGTAATCCCAGCTACTTGGGAGGCTGAGGCACGAGAATTGCTTGAACCAGGGAGGCGGAGGTTGCAATGAGCCAAGATTGTGCCACTGCACTCCAGCCTGGGCGAGAATCTGTCTCAAAAGAAAAAAAAAAGAGAGAGAGAGAATGAACACCGTGATGTTTACCACTTTTCAGAATTCCAGTGTTTTTGCTGTGTTTATGAGTTAAATTTAAACAACTCTTGTATGCTATTTAAGTGGGTAAAAAAGGAAATTTTGACCAAGAAAGCAAGTCTTATCAGTATAAGGTCACTAATCTTAAACAGGATATTTTAGAGAAATAAAGTGTCTTGACTCAGTTGAAACTTGGACAAAGAGGAAAGTAGTGAGTTATGAAAAAGTCCTAGTATGTTAAAAATAAGTGGAATTAAAATTCACTGATAGACCAAAGAAACTAAAAGGCTTTGGACTAGTCACTGTTTTTCTTTCCAACAAATGTGTATCAGTATTTTAATAGTTCTTCAACTGAAGTGTTTTATAGAAATATTGAATAGAACGGAAGTGTTTTACAGAAATATTGCAAAGCTCAGAAGAGGCAATAAAAGCTGGACAATTAAAGGAAAAAACAAGGATTTCGGATTCTTGCAAATTTGGGTTCACTCATAAGGCAACTAGTTGTCCTGGTTTGCATGGAACTGAGGGATTTCCGAGGATGCAGGACATTCAGGGCTAACTCCAGCATTGTCCTAGGCAAACTGGGACAGCTGATCATCCTAATTTCTAGTTCTAAAACTTTCTATCCAAAGGAATTCATTCCAAATACTGCCCCAAATTCTAGTTTCTTCCTCTCTAAAATGGGAATCATGGGTTGTTGTGAAAACTTAAGATAAAAGTACAGGTCCTAAGATGTTCAACTTGTATTTGGCAATCAGTTCTAATGGTAGAGATATTAAGTAAGATTAAAATCTCACCCAAACTCTATATTTGACCTTCTTTTACCCATCAGACAAAGAATTTGCATTATTTTACCATATTCTTCTTCATGTAGCCAAGTATACTCTTCATATTTTCAATTCAATGGGGTTGTGAAAAACTGTAAATCTTCCCAAATGTTGAGAATCTGAATAGAGCCATTGATTTATTTTAAGCTTCTTTAGAAAATTGATTTTATGTCAATTCCAAAAGGAGTAAGTTTTCCCTCTTTCTGAAACTCCAGACATTCTGAGAACTCTTCAATGAGCCTGAAGCCATCTAACACTTGGGCAGGTTGGAAGCCATCTTTGATGATAGTGAGCTACTAACAAATCTAGATGGATGTCAATATCCAAAGACTGCTATGGGCAGGGGGCATTGCTGTGAGCCACCAAAGATTCTGTCCCATGCATGTTTGAATTGTAAAAATAAAGGAAAGTCCTTTGGGTCAATATGAGAGATGTTGGAAAGTAGATCCATCTCTGAAAGAAACTTTCAGGAATTATGCAAAGTGTCTTGGCCCCTGTTGACTGTCTGGGATCAGGAACAGATTGCTGTCTCAATAAGGTATTGGACTGGAAATCAGAAAAAAAATCCTAGACTCAAGACAGTCAAGTATACCAGCTTAAATAATGGTGACAATCTTCCCAGTCAGACCAAACATCAAAAACAAAAGCAGAAAAATAATTGTCACTTACTCCCTACTGGGCAAAGTAGTTGCTGAAGTGAGGCTTCCATTTGTTTTTTGTTTTTGTTTTGAGACGGAGTCTTGCTCTGTCGCCCAGGCTGGAGTGCAGTGGTGCAATCTCGGCTCACTGCAAGCTCTGCCTCCTGGGTTCCCGCCATTCTCCCGCCTCAGCCTCCCGAGTAGGTGGGACTACAGGCGCCCACCACCACGCCCGGCTAATGTTTTGTATTTTTAGTAGAGACGGGGTTTTACCATTCACAGGATGGTCTCGATCTCCTGACCTCGTGATCCGCCCGCCTCGGCCTTCTAAAGTGCTGGGATTACAGGCGTGAGCCACTGGGCCCGGCCCCGTTTGGTTTTTTTAATCTGTACAGAACTGAGCCAGGAAGGAGCAAACTGTTGCTGCTGACAGCAAAGGTGAGTTGAGGCAGACAGGGACTAATATCATGGTACCAGGTGGTTTCTGAAATTTGATGTTTTTCAAAAGATGTTCCTTAATACTGAACGTGAATGTCACTAGCTATTGTTTAATTAAATAGTGAATTTGTCAGAGGAGTATAAAGCTGCATTTCTTTTTTGTTGTTGTTGTTGTTGTTTTGAGATGGAATCTTGCTCTGTCACCCAGGCTGGAGTGCAGTGGCGTGATCTCAGCTCACTGCAACCGCTGTTTCCCGAGTTCAAGTGACTCTCCTGCCTCAGCCTCCCGAGTAGCTGGGATTATGGGAGTACAGGCATGCGTCACCATGCCTGGCTAATTTTTGTATTTTTAGTAGAGACGGGGTTTCACCATGTTGGTCAGGCTGGCCTCGAACTCCTGGCCTCAGGTGATCTACCCACCTTGGCCTCCCAAAGTGCTGGGATTACAGGCATGAGCCACCACACCCTGCCTAAAGCTGCATTTCTAATAAAAGTTTCATTTTTTGTGTTGTATAAAAATTGTGCTTTTTAATTAACCTCACCATGCATCTGAGCAAACAAGATGGAAGAAAAAACCTCTAAGTTCCTTCCCCTGTGCCCCTTCACTATAAGTCATGTCTATCGTGATAGACATGAAGAGGATTCATGATAGCTGGCCAACCTTTAAAAATTATATACTGACAATGAAATTACAATGATCCCAGTAAGAAGCAAGGGTAGAATATCAGTAAAGAGATTAATGTCCTTGAATAGGGAAGTCTCTAGAAACTCAAACACCAAGAGATAAAGAGAATGCTGGGGAAAATAGCATACAAAGAGAAAAAGAGAGGAAGAAAGAAAAGAGAAGGAGTTGGCTTGAATCTCTAAGCATAATATTAATATATCTAAAACTCTCAAAGAGCTAAGAAATGTGAAGCATGCTAAGATAGCAAACACACATTTTGGAAAGTAAATATGTATTTTGCAAGTAAAAATGTATTTGTCAGGTGCCTGGGCTACTGATGTAATCTTAACAGGTGACAGGGAGATAGAAGGGAACTCAATTTGGATTTTGCATTGGTCTGCTTTGTCAGCAAGCATGATTTTATGCTATCCTGAAAAGGATAGAATAAATATTGATAGATGTGTAAGGTCTAATAAAGCAGCACCTGGCCTCTCTGAAGTGGTTTGGTTCCCTGGCTGTATAAACACACATCCATGGTGGAGTGTGCTTCAAGAATGTGCAGTACTTTGTGGGATTGTGGAAACTCGATAAATGTGTTCCCACTTATCTAAAAAAGATGTAAATGGATCCTGTCATTTATGGACTAGTGAGCTTGACATCAAATCCAGGCAAATCTCTGGGATGGAATATTAATAAGTTGATCTGTGAGCATGTACAAGGGGAAGTGGTGAACACTAGCAGACACCACAGGACCCATAAAGAACAAATCATGCCAAACTGATTCCACACACACACACACACACACAGTCTCTAGAATAGTGGAAGTAAATGCTTCAGATGAATCTGGATTGCAGAAAAGTCTTTGACAAGGTCTTTCATGACATTCTTATAGAAGAAGTGGAAATATATATGGAGAGAGAAAACAAAGGTAAACTCCCATTTCGTGATTATTACATCTGGAATCTCGCCAAAAGACTACAAAAATTAATGCATGTTGTCTGCATTGGGGAGGTCTTTTTCAAAGTTAAATTAATAACAAATGATACCATTTCAATCAGTTGTGTAAACTACATGGAAAAGGGAGGAATACCTAATATATTGAATGGAAAATTGTTGAATTGTTTTGTGGAGGTAAGTAACTGGAAGTCATGGTGCTTTCTGAGAAAAAGTATTTTACTATTTTACTTGGTCAGTTCAGCACAGTTAAACAGGTGGCACCAGATATAAATATGTGAGGAAAAAATTATGAGTTAAATCTGGAGAAAATTCTATGAATTTAACTTATTCTGTGAATTGATAAGAAAGCACATCAATTAATTTAAAAGTGTAGACTGAAGAACTCCAGGTTCACTTGGAGCATAGTCTGAAAAGCATTGTATTGTACTAAGTATCCAGATTTATTTTTCTGGAATCAAGATTTTTTAAAGGATGAGAACAATTGATTGATATTTAAATAAGATACAGTTCTACACTAAGAAGGGTCCAATTATAGAAGGATAAGGTATGTCTGAACAGCAACATGGAAATGTTTCTGGATTTTCCCTAAGTGTAAAACATTCACACTAATGTTGTAAAAGAGAAGCCAGAATTTAAATGTGAATTTAGGCTCTGTTAAAGAGGTATGTTCATTCATGAAACAAAAGGCATGATGGTACCTTCAACTCCATGCTGATTTGTGTTGTTCTGAGAACCACACACTATACGGGATATTGACAAGCTGGAGTACATACCGTAGAGAATGTTCAGGATGGCAAAGCCATAAAATAATTATGTTATATGAGGAATAGATGCAGGAACTAGAATTGTTTAGCAGGAGGAGAGAAGTTGCAGGGAGACTGTTGTCTTCAATTTCTCTGGGTGTGGGCTAATACACCTATAACCAGTGGGGCTGGGAAAGAATAGTGTTGAGTGAAGCCCAGAGCCAATGTGGAATAATCTCAAGGGTGACCGCTATCAGAGTTAGGACAATTTTTTTTCATTTTATTACTTTTGCAATTTCCATTTTTATTTTAGATTCAGGGGGTACATGTGCATGTTTATTACAAGGGTCTATTGCATGATGCTAAGGTTTGGGTAATTTTTTTTGTTTTTTGTTTTGTTTTGTTTTTTTAAGTTTTCAAAGTCCAAGGTTGCAATTCTTTAAAGGAAAGGGGTGGTGGAGCCATGGCACAAAGCCAAAATAACCAGAGAGAACTGGGAAGCCAATGAGCAAGGTATAGCAGACACTCCAACAATAGGAGTGATGGGAAGGGGGAGGGTAAGACAGAGTAATTGTTGAGCCACTGGATGGTAGTGACTTTCCTTAGTCATGCCTCCTGACCATAGGCATGCCTTGTGCATTTTAAGGTACTAAAACTGAAAGCACCCTTCAACCCAATCTCCCAAACAAGTGAGAAGATAAGGAGCTTGGTATCCTTGGTTTCAGCATGTAGAAAGGATGATTGAATTTTAAAGTCTTGTACCAAGAGGGAATCGATTTTTAATTCAGAATATGTTGCCAAAAAGAGACTCAAGTTCAAATCACCAAAAGAAAAGTCAGAACCAGAATTCAGAGTCAAAAACAGGAAGGGAATCCAGAAGAAGGAATGTGCAGAAAGGATAACGGTGAGCAGAGAGAATGAAGGGAACCAAGCTTGGAAGATGAGAACTCACGGTGCCAATGCCCACAGTGGACTTTTATGTAATTTCCCGTCACTTGAGTGGAAATGACATGTGAATTTCAAGGGACGAAAATTCTCAGGATAGAGATTGTTCTGGGGAAAGTCTCTTTTGGAACCACTCATTTCAAGGAGAAGGCACCAACCCTACAATTGTAGCTGCTTGGCACATACTGTTTGGTAAAATCTAACCACATGAGGAAGGCAGCCAAGATGAGCTGGGACAGACTAACCTTGTTGTATGTATGCCAGCAGCTTTGAATTAGCATGGTCAAAGCACTTCCACCAAGAAAGGCAAGATCTTCTCAAGGTAATGTCCCCAAAAATTAATGGAAAATAATTTTTGGTTATTTTTACTCCTGTAGAGTAGAATTAACTTTGGCTGAGAGGAGCTGAGTGGTAGGCTCAGGTCTCAAGGTCATTGCAATAAGTTCTGCCCAGTGGAATATGGTCCCTTTTATTATAACTGGTATGGCTATTGGCCAGGTTTAGGTAGAAACAGTCAAGTCAGAAATGAACAACACCTTTGGCCTCAGAAAGACCATGGCTATGTGAAATAGATATGTTTCTTCTTTTCCTTCTTGAAATTATTAAGTCTATTTCTGGTGTAACAGTGGGGAATAAATCACCAGTAGTATCTAGCCATCTTTGATTGTTCTAGAGATCCGAGTCTTACAGCAAAATCACTCACATCTTATCTGATCTCAAGAAGTTGCCTTTCCTGGACACAATATCATATTTATGGGCTTCCAAACTCATATCCCTTGGGGTTTTCCCAGAGAGGGAGCCACTGCAAGCTTCAAATTTTGTTCAAGGAATTATTTAATATGATATCCAAATAGATAAGAATCTTTCTGCCCAGGAGGTCCATGTAGGATCAGATTCATAATCACAGACAGTTGTGAAAGAACAACACAAGCTGAAGAGCATTATTATTTGTTCCTCTACTTCAGAAAGCTTTCTACCTTTCATTCTCCCTAATCTATAGGAGATGGTGGGTACGTACAACACTGGTTCCATTCACAGTTGTTCACCATGGTACTAGACTAGAAGATGGAAAATCAGCAAGAGAAGGTAGCGGTCTCAAATGATTAAGACATATTTATTAATGAGGACCTTGTTTAGAAGACAGAGAGGGAGTATTATGCGTGGCAGTTGCACAAGTACTAGTTAAGAATCGCTAACACAGCTGTACCTTTACTGCTTCCTGATTAAAAAAAAAAAATACCTGCTAATAGATGGCCAATCCGGATTGCCAGAGAAAGACGTGATACCATAGACTATGAGAGAGATCTCCTCAGGCAGGCTGAAAGGAACAGAGGTAGTGCTGGTGGTAGGACTCTGAGAGTCAATAGAAAGCATGGATCTTAGTAAGAGAGACATCCTAGTTTCCAGTCAGAAGAGGCCTGATCCTCAGAATTTGCCTGAAACTTTAGGATTTTCATGTTTGACCTGGATATCAGTGCCAATTCTCCAGGGATGCAGAAGACGCCCCTCACCTTCCTGGCTGGTGAGCAGGGTACATTGGGATGTGAAATGAACTTTGCTGGCAGCCTGGCGGTGTTTAGCAGTGATGATTACATCTGGCATCTCAGGTGCTTATAAGCAAAATGCTTGTTCATAGGGCTTGCTCTCACAACTTTACTGAGAGACCAGAGGTTTGGGTCTGCTGGACAATTTTTAAGACTGCACCCTCAGGTTCTTGAAAAATTGAACCCACAAGGTATGCCTGTTTATTCAAATCACAGAGCTATAACAAAGGGCTGCTGACTCCCAACTATATCTTTTACCCATGGATGACAGCATTGGCCTCATGTTGGTGGTCAATCTATGTACCTCCTCCTGCACAGAATTGCAAGGAGTGGAAGGCAGTGCCTACCTTGTCATCTGGGAGTGACTTATGTACTTGTATGAATGTCACTTGAAGGAAATTTGCTGAAGGGCTAAGCAGGCACTACCATGAGAAAAGTTCAAGATTAGATGGTCTCCAAAAGTTTTCATAATGTTAACATCTATTTACTTTCATATCTGAATTTGAAAAAAAATGCTTATTAACACAAATATATCTCAAGTTGGTAAAATTTTAGGCATTCTAATAAAGTGAAGGAGGAATTGATTAATTTTTAGGCATAGTAGAGCAATAATCTGCCCAGAAGTTGACTGTTGTTTTGAATGTTTGCACACACGTGTACATATGCACATATGCACGCGTGTGTGCATGCGCGCACGTGCGCGCGCACGTGCACACACACACACACTTACAAATAGCCACACTGTGTTTTATAGGATATACACAATGATGTTTCTATTCTGCCCTTTGCCCAAATAGGTGAGCTTTTAGTAACGAAAAGAATGATTCTGGTTCTTAGCCTTGGAGATAATGGGGAAGTGCCTTGGCAAAAGATAAAAGGGAAAGAAAACTTTTGTTCTTCTAGATCAATTATACTCAAACAGGCATACAACAAAATCACCAGGAAAATTTAATAAAAATACAGATTTCAGAGCCCCTTCCTAACATATTTCTGAGTCTACAGCTAACATGTATCATTATAGGCCTGTAGAGAACTCTCTATTCCAGTGGTTCTCAAACTTGAGCATGCATCCGAATCCTCTGGAGTGCTTGTTAAACACAGCTTGCTGGGCCCCACCCCCACTTTCTGGTTCAGTAGATCTGAAGTGAAGTTCAAAAATTTGTATTTCTAACAAGTTCCCAGGGGGTGCTCACACTATTGGTCTGAGGACCACATTTTGAGAACCATTACTCCATTTAGATCATGAACCAGCTCTTCTACTTTCTGACTAGATGCTACGGGATTAGGTCCCCGATTCAAAGGGTGTCAGAGATTTGAATTTTTATCAAATCACCCAAGTGTTTCCTATACAAGTGTTACTTTGAGAATGCCAATTTAGGCTCCTTGATCTTTGGTTATATTTTTAATATTAACTTCTGGTTATAGCCTTTACAACCTTGGGATGCCCAAGATGATTCAATAGCAGAGGCCTATCCCAGATGATTCCTACTGTCTTGAAACCCTGCTAAAATCTGACTTCCTCCTACTTGCTTGCAATTGGCACATCACATGCCTAGACTGACCAATGAATATATTGATTCCACAGTTACCATGAACTAGATCTAACTAAAGAAACCAGTTGGAGTCTCTGCTGGCATGGCACCGGCTTTGATTTCAGGACTAATTCTTGGTGGCAGGCTTATGATCACCGGGCACTAGTGATGATGAAGCCCTTAGTGGGCACAATTTACTAGCTGTGCTGGGGACTCACTGCAACTGACCCAGAAGGTATCTCTTTAAAAGTAGCAGTGTCTGGCTGGGCAGGGTGTTTCACCTCTGTAATCCTAGCACTTTGAAAGGCCAAGGCGAGCAGATCACGAGCTCAGGAGTTTGAGACCATCCTGGCCAACATGCCGAAACCTTGTCTCTACTAAAAATATAAAAATCAGCCAGATGTGGTGGCTCATGCCTGTAATACCAGCTACTCTGGTGGCTTAGGCATGAGAATCACTTCAACCCAGGAGACAGAGGTTGCAGTGAGCCAAGATCGCACCACTGCACTCCAGCCTGGACAACAGAGGAAGACTCTGTCTCACAAAACACAAAAAAAGAGTAGCAGGATCTTTTCTTGTTTACATGCCAGGTGGCTGGCCCATATTTCTTCATTTCTAACCTGCTAGGCATTACCCATCCAACTGTGTGACCCATGGCTGGGCACATGCACATCCACTTGGTGTCCTTTGTGGGAAAAAACAGGACATGTGATAGTGGGAACTCTGTTGAGGAGAGCAGGGGCTTCAGGAAGAGCGGGAGATGCGGCTCTGGTACAAGCCCACAAGGCTCTGAGTGACAGGTTCACTAGTGGAGAGCTGAGCCACTGGACTAACAGTGGTTGAATGAGCGGGTTATCTTCTGGTGCAGGTCTTCCTACATTTGTCCTCTAAAGTAAAAAGTTGCTATTCCCGTTCTCTACATAATGTGGATTAGTCCTAGCCCTTCAACACTCTCCCTAGCTCACTCCTTTAGCCAATGGGACACATTTTCAAAGCAGAGGGCATCAAGTAAGGAATTTTATCTGATGTCGTGCAATAATTAACATCATGATATAACCAGGCTAACCAGCCTCCCTCTGCTAACCTAAAATCGCAAGGAAAGAACATATGAGACATTCATAAGCCCATTCAATGGTTTCATAAACTTACCTGCTGTCTCCTCCAAAAAGGAAGCACAGAGTTTGAATCCTGGCTCTGCCACTTACTAGTTAGTTATGGCTTTGGGTGAGCTGAACTTCTTTGATCCTCAATCTCCTTGTCTAACAAATAAAAAAATAATGTTAGTGCCTACCTCATAGGATGTCACAACGATTAAATGAGATAATACATGCAAAGCACCAATAATAGTTCCTGCCATTTAGTAACCACTCAGCAAATAGAAGATATTATTTATTGACTTGGAATTTTCTATAAATGGCATTTCTTTCCAGAAGACTTTTTCTAAATCATTACCAGTGACCTACAGGAAGGAAGAGTTTGTGGGTGACTCAGTAAATGTCTGACATTGATGTATAACAATATTAAGCAACTCACTGCTAAATCAAGAGATGCAAAGTGGAAAATTTATGCTGCCTAATTTTAATCACTTAAATACAAATGGAAGTATCTGTGCCTCTTCTGATTTCTAGAAAACTGGAAACCCCCAGTGACCAGACACAATAAAAGGTAGAAGTGACTCATCTGGAAGTCTGGGAATTCTCTCAGTATGAGATCTTCTGGGAAGACCTAGATATTCCCAGCCTTGCCTACACAGGGGCTTTCCTCACCCCTGACCTGTTTGTAGAAATTAAACTGCAGTTTTGCCTTTTCAGCTGCTACCATTGTATCCCTTCAAAATTTCTACTCGAGGTCTGATAGCAACCATTTACCAAACTTGTAAGTGACACTATGATATCATCTCCAGGTATACCCAAACACCATCACAATCATCTTGATTGCAGGAAGTAATTGATTTTGACTATGTGTACAAATAAACATTCCCCTTTCAAGCAATACTATGGGTAATAATCTTTTTTCTCGTTTAATATTATCACTAAGTTCTAGTTACCTGGTTCCGCTTTGGCCCAATCTGAGGGCCTTTATTTACATATGAATAAGTGTAAACTATCTTGTTAGAGCAGTCTTGCTACATGCCTCTCAGAAGACAGTAAGCTGTCTACTAGTAAACTACAGGGCCTGCAAATTATTGGAAGGTTACGTTGGGTAAGAACAATAGCAGCCTGTCTCCTCCTGCAAGATTTCTGGTGAATTGACATCATCTGAATTTTCTCAGCCAGGTATCTGTGGACAACCCATAGAACTTAAGGCATTATTGTATTAATTATCTGGGACTGAGCCTATTTGAAATAATCTTAGCATTGCCACTTTTGTCCGTATTTTTCTGTTGATATGAGCCTCTTAGGTTTCATCTTTTATCTTTGCACTTTATACACGTTGGAGTGTGTGGCTTTAGAGGAATTAGTTATATTGTAAAGGAGCCACCATTATAGATTTTGCTCATTTTGATAGTACAAAGCCACGCCCCTTAAATCATTTTCCTATCAGGTACCTAATTTCTTGTACTAATCACTGACTCATGAACAATACTGCCACCCTCTGGGAGTCCTGGGAAATGCCTTTCAATGTCAAAAATTGTTAGCATTGGTATGAGACTGGGGTACCCACAAAAATAAATGACAATATTTGTTTGAGTTGCAAGCTGGGGAAGAAAGGACTATGTTGTTGAGATGTCCCAACAATTGTGAGAAGGGAATTTTAGTTGTTTTAACAAAAGCTAAATGAAAGCAGGCATTTTATGAGAGTTCTTGGGGGTTTCCACGAGAGTGGGATCAATGCACCCTCTCCAAATACTTGAGAAGCGACTCACAGATGAAATGTCAGCCGGCCACAGTTTATTCATTGTGTGCTACCCTCGCCTGAGATACATGCTTCACTGCGGAAGTCCCTTTTGTCACCATGCTCATTCTGAGATCCCTCCCTCCCCAGTTTTCTTTTGTGGTTGAATGTCATCAGTGTTCTGATGGCCCCATGTTGGTGTGTGATGAAAAGACATTTTGAACCCACTCAGTTGGGTTGCAAATTAATATTGCAGTTCAGAGAAGCCTAGAAGAAAAACCCTATCATGATTGTTCAGAGAACAATCATGATATTCAAAATCTGGAGGAAGGGCTCTTCTCTTTGATCTCTGAGAAGCTCAAGGCTCCAACACCCAAAGCTAATAGCGGGCACTCTTTCTGCTCAGCTTTCTGCTGGATGAGATGACATCCACTAAGCAAGGTGGACCAGTTTCTATGTTGTGAGAGGAGCAAGCACAGCAGAAGTGCTAGTGACCTGTCCTGGACAGCAGGTCCCTAGCAATTGCCCTTGCCACACTCAGTCAGCTCCCCCTTCTTTCCTCTGGAATGGAAAGCACAAATAAAATGCAAAAGCAAGGTCAGCGTGACCCATATGCAGCTGGAGGAACCTGTCTGCCAGGCTCCCCTCAAATCATAAACACTTCTTCTGCCTTCAGTTCTATGCTTGCAATGTCATAAAGAAAATGAGCTTTCATTTTTACCACTTGTTTACATGGTTTTCAAAGACTTTGTTTATCAAACTGTGCTTGAGTAATAGTACTTCCTCCTTTTATACAACTAAGGTTAATAAAAATGCCAAGCAACTCTTCTGTTTTGTTTAGCTCATTCTGGCATTACCATAGGTAAACATATGTTCTCCTTTGTCTTTTGGTTTTGAAACTGCCTTTATTGAGCCCTAGAAGTCCAAGAACCCCAGACTGCTATAAACTACCAAGTGTCATTTTAGCTTGTCATGATCACTAATTAGAACTGTTTTTGTTTTTGTTTTTTGTTTTTTGTTTTTTCTTTGAGACAAAATCTCTGTCAGCTAGACTGGAATGCAGCGGCACAATCATAGCTCACTGCAGCCTTGACCTCTTGGGCTCAAGCCATCCTTCTGCCTCAGTCTCCTAAAGCCTTAGGATTACTGGCATGAGCCACCTCACCCAGCCAGAACTGTTCTTGAAGGCAAATTTTATGTCAACATAAAGAAGTTGATGGGAGGATTCCAGAGTCCTAATGTGCTGGGAAGGGAATGTCTGAACGCAGGGGAAAAAGTCTTGGAAGGACTAAGGCTGAGAATGAGGGACAGAGGACTAAAGATGAGCTTATCAAAGTATACTTTCATTAAAGGACATTTTACTCACAGATATTCTTACATCCAGTGGAAACTGGTGTTTAGAGATTCACGAAAATATCACTGCCTAGAATAGAGCCTGACATGTAGTAGGTACTCAACAGATAGAGAATGGATGAATATTGATAAGATGAGGGTAAGATCACTTTTTAGTTCTTATTGTTTTATCTTCTCTGGATTTGCCATGATAGAAAAATAAACTTTGTTTTAAAGAAGAAAGAAAACAATATGTCAGCTGAATTAGGAGAAGAACCCAGCATGTAAGCTGCAGAGCACAAGATGGTTTTCCCAAACCACAGCCTCAGCTGCACACAGCAATGAGACCAGGCAACCCAGCCAGATAATCATTATGTCTTCTGTTCTTCTTTTAATCTTTGGAAATAACTGATTCTCTAATTTTTTTTAAAAAAAGTTTGTTACAAAGCTATTAGAGAACAGAATATAATCTTGTAATGCCAAGTAATTAGCTTGAAATATGTCTGATACAGCAGTTTAGCTGAAAATCTAAATGTTATTGTGGAAAATCATAGTAAGCAGCAGCACTTAGAGTTGCAAAATGAAATGACACAGCAGAGAAAAAAGTTTTTGTATTACATTTGTCTCAGCATATATAGTGAATGTCTGATGTGTTTACTTATCCTAATGATCACAATAAATTCCATCAGAAAGCATGCTTTGAGGCCTTGCATTTTAAATGTAACTGACCAAGGTCTCTTAATTCAGTAATCTGCATTCAGAATGACAGTGTTTTCTCTGTCTTCTTAGGGTTGAGCAGAATATGGGTCACGATGGTGCCCTACTCACATGAAGCTGAAGGTAGTGACTACACTAGTTAACTGTCACCTGAGTCAACACAAGCAAATGAAATGCACCCAGAAAACTTAGGCCAAATGCTTTCTATCACTTAAAATACAGTATATAAAAGGGCTGCATAAGTGTTAGTTGTTGTGTTGTTGTTATTATAAAGCCACTTGAGAAACAATCATTATAGAAGAAAAAGTATCAGGAAAACTAAAAGAATGGAACTGGGGCCACGTGTTAACTGGGCTTTCTCTTTTTAAAATTTTTATTTTATTTTAAGTTCTGGGATACATGTGCAGGATGTGCAGGTTTGTTGCATAGGTAAATGTGGTTTACCTATAGTGGTTTGCCACACCTATCAACCCATCATCTAGGTATTAAGCCCAGCATGCACTAGGTATTTATTCTCATGATCTCCCTCGCTCCACCCCCACCCCCGACAGGCCCCAGTGTGTGTTTTTCCCTCCCCATGTCCATGTGTTCTCATTGTTCAGCTCCCACTTATGAGTGAGAACATGTAGTGTTTGGTTTTCTGTTTCTGTGTTAGTTTGCTGAGGATGATGGTTTCCAGCTCCATCCATGTCCCTGCAAAGAACATGATCTTGTTCCTTTTTATGACTGCATAGTATTCCATGGTGTATATGTACCATATTTTCTTCATCCAGTTTATTATTGACGGGCATTTAGGATGATTCCACATCTTTGCTATTGTGAACAGTGCTGCAATGAACATACATATGCATGTATCTTTATAATGGAATGATTTATATTCCTTTGGGTATATACCCAGTAATAGGATTGCTGGGTCAAATGGTATTTCTGGTTCTAGGCCTTTGAGGAATCACTACACTGTCTTCCACAATGGTTGAACTAATTTACATTCCCACCAACAGTGTAAAAGCATTCCCATTTCTCCACAACCTCGCCAGCATCTGTTGTTTCCTGACTTTTTAATAATCACCATTCTGACGCGTGAGATGGTATCTTTTTGTGGTTTTGATTTGCATTTCTCTAATGATCAGTGATGTTGAGCTTTTCTTCATATGTTTTTGGCCACATAAATGTCTTCTTTTGAGAAGTGTCTGTTCATGTCCTTTGCCCACTTTCTAATGGGATTGTTTGTTTTTTTCTTGTAAATTTGTTTAAGTTCTTTGTAGATTTTGGATATTAAGACTTTGTCAGATGGATAGATTGCAAACATTTTCTCCCATTCTGTAGGTTGTCTGTTCATTCTGATGATATTTTCTTTTGCTGTTCAGAAGTCCTTTAGTTTAATTAGATGCCATTTGTCAATTTTTGCTGTTGTTGCAATTGCTTTTGACATTTTCATCATTAATCTTTGCCTGTGCCTATGTTCTGAATGGTATTGCCAAGATTTTCTTCTAGGGTTTTATATAGTTTTGGGTTTTATATAGTTTTGGGTTTCACATTTAAGTCTTTAATTCATCTTGAGTTAATTTTTCTATAAGGTGTAAAGAAGGGGTCCAGTTTCAATTTTCTGCATATGGCTAGCCAGTTTTCCCAGCAAAATTTATTGAACAGGGAATCTTTCCCCATTGCTTGTTTTTGTCAGGTTTGTCAAAGATCAGATGGCTGTAGATGTGTGGTCTCATTTCTGAGATCTCTATTCTGTTCCATTGGTCAATGTGTCTGTTTTGATACCAGTATCATGCTGTTTTGGTTACTGTAGACTTGTAGTATAACTTGAAGTCAGGTAGCATGATGCCTCCAGCTTTGTTCTTTTTGCTTAGGATTGTCTTGGCTATACAGGCTCTTTTTTTGTTTCCATATGAATTTTAAAGTAGTTTTTTTCTAATTCTGTGAAGAATGTCAATGGTAGTTTAATGGGAATAGCATTGAATCTATAAATTACCTTGGCAGTATGGCCATGTTCACGATATTGATTCTTCCTATCATGAACATGGAATGTTTTTCCATTTGTTTGTGTACTCTCTGATTTCCTTGAGCAGTGGTTTGTAGTTCTCCTTGAAGAGGTCCTTCACTTCCCCTGTTAGCTGTATTCCTAGGTATTTTATCCTCTTTGTAGCATTGTGAATAGAATTCACTCATGATTTGGCTCTCTACCTGTCTATTGTTGGTATATAGGAATGCTTGTGATTTTTCCACATTGATTGTGTATGCTGAGACTGCTATAGTTGCTTATCAGCTTAAGAAGTTTTGGGCTGAGACGATGGGGTTTTCTAGATATAGGATTATGTCACCTGCAAACAGAGAGTTTGACTTCCTCTTTTCCTGTCTGAATACCGTTTATTTCTTTCTCTTGCTTGATTGCCCTGGCCAAAACTTCCAATAGTATGTTGAATAGGAGTGGTGAGAGAGGGCATCCTTGTCTTGTGCCAGTTTTCAAAGGCAATGCTTCCAGCTTTTGACCATTCAGTATGATATTGGCTGTTGGTTTGTCATAAGTGGCTCTTATTATTTTGAGCTATGTTCCATCATACCTAGTTTATTAGGAGTTTTTAACATGAAGGGATGTTGAATTTTATCAAAGTCCTTTTCTGAATCTATTGAGATAATCATGTGTTTTTTGTCTTTAGTTCTGTTTATGTGATGAATTATGTTTATTGATTTGCATATGTTGAACCAGTCTTGCATCCTGGGGATAAATCTGACTTGATCTTGGTGGATAAGCTTTTTGACGTCCTGCTGGATTCGGTTTGCCAGTATTTTATTGAGGATTTTTGCATTGATATTCACAATGATGTTTTCTTTTTTTGTTGTATCTCTGCAAGGCTTTGGTATCAGAATGATGCTGGCCTCATAAAGTGAGTTAGGGAGAAGACTCTCCTTTTCGATTGTTTCGAATAGTTTCAGAAGGAATGATATCAGCTCCTCTTTGTACCTCTGGTAGAATTCAACTGTAAGTTTCTCTGGTCCTGGGCTTTTTTTGGTTGGTAAGCTATTTATTACTGCCTTAATTTCAGAACTTGTTCTTGGCCTATTCAGGGATTCAACTTCTTCCTGGTTCAGTCTTGGGAGGATGTATGTGTCAGGAATTTATCCATTTCTTCTACATTTTCTAATTTATTTGCATAGAGATATTTATAGGAGTCTCTAATGGTTGTTTATATTTCTGTGGGTCAGTGGTGATACCATGTCCCCTTTATCATTTTTGTGTGTCTATTTGATTCTTCCCTCTTTTCTTCTTCATTAGTCTAGCTAGCAGTCTATCTATTTTATTAATTTTTTCAAAAAACCAGACCCTGAATTCATTGATTTTTTTGAAGGGTTTTTCATGTATCTTCTTCAGTTCTCCTCTGATCTTGGTTATTTCTTGTCCTCTGCTAGCTTTGGGGTTTGTTTGTTCTTTGTCCTCCAGTTGTGATGTTAGGGTGTCAATTTGAGATCTTTGTAGCTTTTCAATGTGGGCA
Source organism: Homo sapiens (assembly GCF_000001405.40). NCBI lineage: Eukaryota > Metazoa > Chordata > Mammalia > Primates > Hominidae > Homo > Homo sapiens. The sequence continues at coordinate 33,250,177 of NC_000008.11, forward strand.
CTTAGTGCTATAAATTTCCCTCTTAACACTGCTTCAACTGCGTCTCAGAGATTCTGTTACATTGTCTCTTTGTTCTCATTGGTTTCAAAGAACTTCTTGATTTCTGCCTTAATTTCATTATTTACGAAGGAGTCATTCAGGACCAGGTTGTTCAATTCCCATGTAGTTGTGTGGTTTCGAGTGAGTTTCTTAATCTTGAGTTCTAATTTGATTGTGCTGTGGTATGAGAGAGTGTTTGTTATGATTTAAGTTCTTTTGCATTTGCTGAGGAGTGTTTTACTTCCAATTATGTGATCAATTTTAGAGTAGTGCCATGTGGCGCCAAGAAGAATGTATATTCTGTTGTTTTTTTGGGTGGAGAATTCTGTAGTTATCTATCAGGTCCACTTGATCTAGAGCTTAATTCAAGTCCTGAATATGCTTGTTAATTTTCTGTTTCAATGATCTGTCTAATATTGACAGTGGGGTGTTAAAGTTCCTCACTATTATTGTGTGGGAGTCTAAGTCTCTTTGTAGGTCTCTAAGAACTTGTTTTATGAATCTGGGTGTTCCCATATTGGGTGCATGTATATTTAGGATAGTTAGCGCTTCTTGTTGAGCTAATCCCCTTACCATTATGTAATGCCTTTCTTTGTCTTTTTTGATGTTTGTTAGTTTAAAGTCTGTTTTGTCAGAAACTAGGATTGCACCCCCTGCTTTTTTCTGCTTTCCATTTGTTTGGTAAATTTTCTTCCATCCCTTTATTTTGAGCTTATGTGTGTCTTTGTACTTGAGATTGGTCTCTTGAATACAGCACACTGATCGGTCGTGACTTTCTCCAACTTGCCATTCTGTGTCTTTTAGTTGGGGCATTTAGCCCCTTTATATTTAAAGTTAATATTCTTATGTGTGAATTTGATCCTGTCATCATGATGCTAGCTGGTTATTTTGCAGACTTAGTGATGTCATTGCTTCATAGTGTCATTGGTCTCTGTACTTCAGTTTGTTTTTGCAGTGGCTGGTAACACTTTTTTCTTTCCATATTTAGTGCTTCCTTCAGGAGCTCTTGCAAGGCAGGCCTGGTGATGATGAATTCCCTTAGCATTTGCTTGTCTGAAAAGAATTTATTTCTCCTTCACTTATGATGCTTAGTTTGGCCAGATATGAAATTCTGGGTTGGAAATTCTTTTATTTAAGAATGTTGAATATTGGCCCCTAATCTCTTCTGTTTTGTAGGGTTTCTGCTGAGAGGTCCACTGTTAGTCTGCTGTGCTTCCCTTTGTAGATGACCTGGCCTTTCTTTCTGGCTGCACTTAACATTTTTCCTTTCATTTTGACCTTGGAGAATCAGATGATTATGTGTTTTAGGGTTAATCTTCTCATGGAGTATCTTACTGGGGTTCCCTAGATTTCCTGAATTTGAATATTGGCCTGTCTTGTTAGGTTGGGGAAGTTCTCCTGGATGATATACTAAAGTATATTTTCCAAGTTGGTTCCATTCTCTCCATCTCTTTCAGGTACCCCAATCCATCATAGGTTCAGTCTTTTTACATAATCCCATAGTTCTTGGAGGTTTAGTTCATTCATTTTCATTCTTTTTTCCCTAATCTTGACTGCCTGTCTTATTTCAGCAAGATAGCCTCCAAGCTCTGAAATTCTTTCCTCTGCTTGGTCTATTTGGTTATTGATACTTGTGGTTGCATTATGAAGTTCTCATGTTATGTTTTTCAGCTCCATCAGGTCACTTATGTTCCTCTCTAAACTGGTTGTTCTGGTTGACAGCTCCTGTAGTGTTTTATCATGGTTCTTAGCTTCTTTGAGGCACCTTTAGCTCAGCAAAGTTCATTATTACCCACCTTCTGAAGCCTAATTCTGTCAATTCATCTATCTCAGACTCTGCACGCTTGCTGGAGAGGTGTTGTAATCATTTGGAGGAGAAGAGACCTTCCGGCTTTTTGAGTTTTCAGCATTTTTTCATTGACTCTTTTTCATCTTCCTGAGTTTATCTAGCTTTGATCTTGGAGGCTGCTGACTTTTGGATGGGGTTTTTGTGGGGAGCTTTTTGTTGATGCTGTTGTTGTTATTGCTTTCTGTTTTTCTTTTAGCAATCAAGCCCCTCTTCCATAGGGCTGCTGCAATTTGCAGGGGGTCCACTCCAGACCATATTCACCTGGGTTTCTCCTGCACCTATGTCACCAGTGGAGGCTACAGAACATCAAAGATGGCTGCCTACCCCTTCCTCTGGGATCTCTGTCCCACAGGGGCACTGACCTGATGCCAGCAGGAATGCTCCTGTATAAGGTGTCTGGTGACCCCCGTTGGGGAGTCTCACCGAGTCAGGAGGCATGCATTCTAGGACCTGCTTAATGAAGGACTCTGGCTGTCCCTTGGCAGAACGGGTGCTCTGCGCTGGGGGGAATCCCACTCATCTTGACTACCTGGATTCTCAGAGCCAGTGGGGGAAAAGACTAACTCTGCTGATTCATGGAGACTACAGCAACCCCTCCCACCAAGGGCTCCATCCCAGGGAGATCAGAGTTCTATATGTAAAGCCCTGGATGGAGGTTTTGAAATTCCTTCGGGGAGGCTCCACCCAGTGAGGAGGGATGGGTCAGGGTCTGGCCTTTAGGCAGTCTAGCCACGATCTGTCACAGCCGCTGTGCTGCGCTGTGGGGAATTCCTCTCGATCCAAATCATTCAACTCTCCGTCATCGGCAAGGGAAAAACGGCCAACTGGAACTGCAGTGATGGTTGCCACCCCTCCCCCAGGGAGTTCAGTCATCTTAGGCAGCAGGCAATCACACTGATATGGCCACCCCTCCCCCGGGGAACTCAGTAATCTTAGGCAGTCTCCAGCAGAGTGTCCACTGAGAATCTGCACAGCTCTGTACTTGGGACCCAAGGCCCTCATTAGGGGATCTCCCGATCCACAGATTGCACAGATCCCTGGAAAAAGCGTGGTTTCCTGGACAGGGTAGCACAATCACTCACTGCCTCTCTTGGCTGGTGGTGGGATCTCCCTTTGCCCCGTGTGGCTCCCAGGTGGGTTGTCACACCACCCTGCTTTTCCTCACTCTCTGTGGGTCATGCCAACCACCTAGTCAGTCCCAGCAAGAGAACCAGGATACTTCAGTTGTCAGTGCAGGATTCACTCACCATTTTTGTTCTTCTCAGTGGGAGCCTCCAACTGCAGCTGTTTCTATTCAGCCATCGTGGCTCCTCCCCACAATTTGGCAATCTTGACAACTCTCTTTCATTCATTTGTTCATCCACTCATTGACATAATTCATTCATTCACATCATTTATTCATTCATTCACATCATTTATTCATTCATTCATATATTCCACAAATATTTATGGCATACTACAGGGAGCTGAGTTCTAGAAACAGAATGATGACAATGCAGTTAGAAGACCTCAACACCTTCTCTGTCAGAGGGAAGATTTCAGCTATTAAGAAATCAGATTTGGGAGGGATGGTTAATTTCTGTAAATAAACTGGGGTCAGATATTCTTTCATGAATTCCAATCTAGGACCCTGAGGCTTTTCTATATGAAAAATATTAGTAATTTTGTTTTATTCCAAAAAATATATTATATTTAAGCTTCTCTTTAGACTTTATTTTAGACTGAAAGACATAAATGGCTATAAGCCCTGCAAGAATTCCTTAGGAATTAAAACTCCTTTCTTCAATCTCCTCTCTAATTGACCTGCATGAACTCCTGTCAACTCTCCATTACCACATAACAAGGGAAAGACAAGCTAATGCTCCATTTTTTTTCCTTTGAAACAGTCTTGGTGTACAGTAGCATTAGCCTAGCTCACTGTAGCCTTCAAGTCCTGGGCTAAAGTGATCCTCCTACCTCAGCCTTCTAAGTAGCTGGGACTACAAGTGTGAGCCACCACACCCAACTAATTTTTTGTATTTTTTTGTTTTCGTGTGTGTTGTTTCTTTCTTTCTTTCTTTCTTCCTTTTTTGGTCTCCCTATGTTGTCCAGGCTGGTCTTAAACTCCTGGGCTCAAGTGATCCTCCTGTCTCAGTCTCCCAAACTGCTGGTATTACAGGCATGCACCACCACACCCAGCTCAATGCCACCTTTTGAGTAAAATGCTTTGGGCTTTTCCCAGATTGGTAAGCCTATCTTTCCTGCCTGAGGTTGACAGATGTCATTGAGAAAGCTATGGGAAACTCAAAAGCACTGTCCACTGCTCAGCTATGGCTGAATAGAATGATAGCAATTTTAGCTGCACTGTGACTTTTCCCAGGACAGTGTTTGAGTTTTCCAGCCCCCACATTTTATCAGATCAAACCAAACACTTATCAGAACTACAAGTTATCTTAATCAACTTTGAGACTACATTGACTGTTGTGTTAGAGTCTTTACACATTTAAATAGAATATTTTTTCTCTTGTCTTCTCTTTTCTGTAGATGGAGGGGCTATAGTTGACCATTTGGAGTGGTTCACAAACCTAACATACAATATTGTAAAAAATTGGACAGCTTTTCAGATTTATAAGTGTCAGAGCAATGTGATGACAGAACCTCAGGAACAGCCTCTTCCTGTTTATAGGGCTCAGGATGGAATTAATTTTCAGAGCTGTGACAGAGATCAGCTTCTATGGGATGACACCCCAAGATTTATGGTCCTGAATAAAAAATATTGACTGAGGTAGAGACAAAGTCAGTATTTACACCAAAGAAATATTCCTGAGGGTAAATATCTCTGCAGTATTTTATTCATTCAAGAGTGTGACTATTATACCATAATTGTAGGTTTGGTTTCCTTTAGGCTATATTGAGCCCAAGGACTGAAGGACAAAGAGGAAGAGGAGAGGTGAGGGGAAGGAAGGATGTGTTTCCACAGATTCTATATATTGCAGGCAGTGGTTAATAACATATGACTTGTAGTTACCCATTGACTCAGCAAATATTAATAGCACCTAGTCTGTGCCAGATCCTGTGCTAGGTTCTAGAGATAAAACAGGGAATACAATAGACATGGCATCTTTTTCTCATGAAGCTCTCAGCATAGTAAGGAAGACAGACATTGAACAAATTATTAGGTTGGTACAAAAGTAATTGCAGTTTTTGTCATTACTTTTAAAAGCAAAAATCGCAATTACTTTTGCACCAACCTAATATTATAGACGTGAGGTTTATTATGAAAAAGGAAGTACAGGTGGCTGCTCTGGGGACATATGATAATGGAGCCTAACCCAATTGACAAGAAGGGGAGTGTATTGGTCTGTTCTCATGCTACTAATAAAGACATAACCGAGACTGGGTAATTTATAAAGGAAAGAGATTTAATGGACTCACAGTTCCACATGGCTGAGGAGGCCTCACAATCATGGCAGAAGATGAAGGAAGAACAAAGGGATGTCTTACATGGCAGCAGGCAAGACAGAGAGCATGTGCAGGGGAACTCCATCAGATCTTGTGATACTTATTTGCTATCACAAGAAGAGCATGGGAAAGACCTGCCCTCATGATTCAATTATTTCCACTGGGTCCCTCCCACAAAATGTGGGAATTACAGGAGCTACAATCTGAGATTTGGGTGGGGACACTGCCAAACCATATCAGGCAGAGAAATCAGGAAGAGGGAAACGAGGGAAACATCCTCCCTAAGCTATGGGGAGTAACAGTTTAGCCAGACAAAGGTTGGATTGCATCAGAGTGCTGGAGAAAGACTGAGACACTGCAACAGAGAAAAGAGTATGGGCTGTTCTAGTCCTTTAGTGTAGTACAGACATTGGCAAACTAAATCTGGCCAGTGTTTTTTTTTGTAAATAAAGCATTATTGGAACCCAGACATGTCAATTCACTTACGTATGGTCTAAGGCCATTTTCACACTACAACTGCACAGTGGAGCTGATTAGTTGCAAAAGAGATCATATGGCCTGTAACACCTAAAATATTTACTACTTGGCCTTTTACAAAAAAAAAAGTTTGACAATTCCATCTAGAGAAAGTGGCTTAATCATGGTTAGTAATGCTAGACGCTGTAACAAACTACCCCCAAATCTCAGATACTTATACAATAAAATTTCTCTCTCATGTCCTAGCTCTTCAAGCAGCTGCTCTGGGCAGGTTTTGTCAAAGTAGCGAAGGCAGGAACACTGCCTTGTGATTTTACTATCTCCTGTCTGAGGGTCCTGCACACCAGCTGTGCAGATGGAGAACAGAAAACAGAGTTGAGGATATGAAATGCGTTAGGGACCAGGTCTGGAGTGACACACGTTGCTTTCGCTCTCATTCCATTAGTCATACGATCCCACCAACATCCAAAGGGAGGCTGAAAAAAGAAGTCTTCTCTGTGCTTGAGAAGAAAAGGAAGTTTCGGGGAATACATAGCTATGCCTCTGCCACAGCAGACAAGATGTATTTTTAAACTGGGGCTAAAAATCCTGTGTGGTTGGATTTAGGTGGCATGAGGTAAGGCTGATAGGTAGGCAAAGGTCAGATTGTGGAGGGTCTTGTAAACCACGTCAAAGATTTATATTTTAACCTGGGTCTGAATTATCAGTTATATGACTCTGATAAGTTATATAACATAGCTAATCTAATCCTCTGCTTCTTCATCTGTGAAAAGAATGATGCTACCTGTTTATAGAATTGGACAGACTCAAAGAGATATAGTACATAGAGCTTTTAGAATATCACCTAACAAACAGTAAACATGTAATAAATTGTAGTTATTTATTGCCAAAACAGAGGAAAGTTCCCCCACCTTTCCCCCAAACTGGCCTTCTCCACCCACAGGCCCCAAAATGCAGAAGACCCTTTGCTAACCCAGTATACCAAGCCTTATCCCCTAAGAAAGAAATCAAAGCACCCTGAATTGTTTCTCTACCATTCCATTGGCCTCCATGTTTGCTACCATCTTTTCAAGGGCACATTGGCCTAGAGAACAATCAGGTCCCAGAGTAACTGTTTGTGAAATACATTGACTCCCCAAATCCTTTACCTTCCCTGAATCAAGATAAGATGACATTAGAAGCTCAGGAAAAAAAAATGTGTGTACACATATGTATATGTATATGTATACGTACACAAACAGATACCAAATAGGGCAAGGTTAGAGTGGTAAGACCCAGCTCATCATGTATGCCTAACACCCTACACCTCTAGCCCCATCCTAAACTTATTTTGAGTCCATCTTGATCTTTGGATTCCCTGCATGATTTTTAAGGAAAGTTCCTGGCCTGAGGTCTCCATACCCTGGAGAAAGGAGAGTTTTTCTTGAGCTCAAGATAACATGTGAAAAACAAAACAAACCAAAAAAAAAAAAAATAGAATAATATGGAAAATTGCAAAACTTTTTGAAAAATAAAAGACATGAGAAGGGATGAGACAAGCAGATATTGAAAGATTTTATGGAGGTATGGCATGGTACTGACAAAAGAATAGACATCAGTGGTACAAAATATTAAAGTGAGAATTTAATATGGAAATAAAATCAATGAGGAAAGGGAAGATCATAAAATAAATTATGGTGCCATAAATTATTAGTAATTTGGAGGAAAATATACCCTCACTCACACCATACACACACACCCCTTACAGATAGGAGACAGGGCAGTGTAGTGATGACAGCAGGAGCATCTACAGCCAGCAAGATGCCTGGGACTCAATCCCAGCTCTGTGATTTATTTAGCTGTATTGTAGTCTTGCAAATTATGTAGTCCCTTTGTGCCTAGTTTTCCTTGCACATACATAGGGAGTAATAAAGGTATTTACTTTACCAGGTTGTTAGGAGGATTGAGTGATTTAATGCACGTAAAACACTTAGAACTGTTTCTAATACACAATAAGCACTCAATATATGTTAGTCATTGTGGTGGGGAAAATCACAAGGAAAAGGTCCCTTTCATTCAACATATTCTACTCTACATGTACTTCAGTATGTTACATGAATGAGGCTCTAAGAGATCAAAAAATAAATTAAGACACAGACTTGTCTTCAGAGAGAGGAGCTAGCAATCTAATATCAGTTAGGAATGTATCTACTCATTCTTATCCTTCAAAGGTGAGTTCTGGAACAGAACTGGAGTTGTTCAGCACAGTTTGAACATCTTGCAGACCTAATTTCTTGTTCATGTCACTGGAAATGCTTCCTGCAATAAATTTATTTTGTTATATATATACATTGTCATTCATCATTGCAATACTATTCTTATGGGAAAACAGATTATGAATAGTGTAATAACTATGACAAATAATAAACAAGCTCACTTGCTTCTGGCTCTAAGGGAAATAAATCAGCCGGCAGTTGCATTCTCTGCTCCACCCTCAACTCCCAAAAGGGAGCCATCTATTACTGAAAAGGATCTGCAATTTTTTAAATTTGACTGTTTCTCCCCAAATCAAGACAAATTGCATCAATACTACAGAAAATTCCCAAATATTTCAGTATCTTTGCAGAGAACGTAGGATATATTCCAATGCCTAACATCATAGTTCATCAGACATTGTAGTGAGTAAGGCTTTGAGATCTCCTCCTCATGGCTTGGAATCCCTTTCACCCTAACTTAATAGTACCATGCATACATGACCATGACCAGTTGATTGACCAGACCAATTCTTCCTTGGGCATTAGGAAAATAAGTATTTCTTTGTCCTCTGAATTTTGATGGGAGACAAGCCTCTGGATCACACCACTTGCCTTTCTATATTTGTTTCTTTGCCTGGTTTATTTTTCTTCTCTTATGACTTAGGGTAGTGGAGAGAGCATTGGGATACGAGTCACTAACCTAATGGGTAAGATTTTGTCTCTTATCCACTAGTAATTCTGTGGGCCTTGGCATCCTCTTGGTAAGAGGAGAGGGTATATTAGAATGCTCTTTCAGATAATTTCCAAACATGACAATCTATGAAATGAACTTTCCTTATCCTTAGCATAAGCCTGGGTCTATCATTAGTCCAGCCATTTATTTTGGAAGCTTTACCCTCACCCCAGTCTGCTTTGGCCACTCTGAGTAAAAATCTACCCAAGAATTCACCTCTCCCGGTTTCATCATGCCGAACATAATATTCCCTTAATCCTATTCTGCATATCTTGCTATCTCTCCATTTACTGTAGAACAGCTGCAACCCACACACTAAGTCACCATTCAGGATAACTGGTATCTTTCAGTGAATCACTTGGCAACTCTTCCAGGACTCTGTTTTCCCATCTAAGAAATGAGAAGAATATCAGCTATTCTTAATTCACAGAACTGTTATGACTTGGGGAGAAAACTGAATGAACTGTGTAAAGTGCTGTACAAATAAAAATGAAATGGAAACCATTACTAGAATTACTTTACCTAAAAATTGAAAGACACTTATGAGCCACATGAGGATATCTTTAATATTATTTTTATTACTATCACATGTTACGTTAATGCATATAAAACACTTAGAACTGTTTTCTAACACACGGTAAGCACTCAATATATGTTAGTCATTGTGACCTTAAGATTTGAAACTCTTGTTGACCTTAGGGTTTGAAAACTGGTTTTATACTTTGACTGAGCTTTGGAAATTTGAAAATTCTTCAACCTGACATTGACTAAATGTGCCCTATTGCTTTCCCTACACGAATCTTCTGGATGGTTGGCCACACTCAAAACAGAATCACTTCCACCTTTTAATGTAATTACAGTGCAATTACAAAATTCATTCAATTTTGCTAAAACTGATCTAGTAAATAAAATGTATCAATTTTTCATCATGGCCAAGAAACTAACTAGACAAAATATACCAAAAATACTGTATGATTCCAACTCTGATAAAGTGTTTGTTGGAAATCCCATCTCTCACTTTTTAGTGGTCACCTTTCACCATGCCTTGTGTGTTTATCACTCTGTCTGTGTTTACAGCCCCTTCCTTTTGTTCACAAATTGTCATATTATTTTCACATGTAGGATTAATTTTCCTCCTTTCAACCTAGAAAGGAATGAGTTGTTATGAATTTATTAACAAAGTAAAATAATATTCTCAAGCAAATTTACAGGCTTCATTGAATTGCAACTGATTTAACATCCCTTATCTCTCTCTGTGCCACTGGATTCCTTCGAAAAGTGTTCTGCAAGGGTTGCCCCAGAGCTTCTCTGAAAAGTCTCACCCAAAGGTCATCAATGACCATCTATCCCAGTGACTGACATATTTAATGGTTTCTTTATATCTATCCTACTTGATCTCAACTATAATTTTTGGTATGAATGATTACCCATTCATTCTGAAGCTCTCTCCTTCTTTGACTTTTGTGTCAGATACCTTCCCACCTGACATCCATTCCACCTCAGCCTCTTTGGTTAGTAGTGATGCAGTTCATGAGACAAAAGAGAGATCAATGAGTCCCCTCCTAATGAGATTAAGCCCAATCTCTGCTTTCTATGCTAATGATCAGTTCAGAAACCCAGATCTGATGCAACCAGCATATGGAATTTTACTGGCCAGAGAAGTTGGTTCAGATAGGTATGTCAAGCCAATAAAATGCAAGAGCAAGATCAATGGGAATTGGGGGAGCAAGGAGGCTAGGGGAGAAGTTTCTTTACATTTGCAAGACAACCACTGGAAAGGGGGCCTTGGTTATACATGGATGGGAAATCTCGAAATTCTGTAGCCATTTCCCCAACAGTCTATGGAGAAACACAACACCCAGAGGAGAGCATTTCTGGGAGAATAAGAAGGCGAATGGAACTGGATCTGTGACTATAGCACCTGTTCTTGGTCCTAGTTAACTTACCTCTAGAGTATTGCTCTATAGAGTATTTACTCCATAAGCAGAAAAATTCACTTTATCATTATAGTCATTTTGAGTTGGTTTGAGTATTAATTGAGCTGAAACCATCATAACTAACAATTTTATAGCATTGTCTTCTTCATTCTCTTTCTACCTCACCAATAATTCTTTTTTTTTTTTTTTTTTTTTTTTTTGAGACGGAGTTTCGCTCATTTCCCAGGCTGGAGTGCAAAGTCGCAATCTCAGCTCACCGCAACCTCTGCCTCCCAGGTTCAAGCAATTCTCCTGCCTCAGCTTTCCGAGTAGCTGGGATTACAGGCATGCGCCACCATGCCCAACTAATTTTGTATTTTTAGTAGAGACAGGTTTTCTCCACATTGGTCAGGCTGGTCTTGAGCTCCCGACCTCAGGTGATCCACCCACCTCAGTCTCCCAAAGTGCTGGGATTACAGGTGTGAGCGACCACACCCGGCCCAATAATTCTTTTAAATCATGGATTGCACTAGCTCCCTTCTTCCATTTATCCTTTAACCATGGTGACTCCCTGATTCTATACTTTGACTTTTTCTATTTTCTCTTTCCTTAGCTTCAACTTTCACCTACTTCAAAAACTAAAATCAGTAGCACTAGCCCAGATTTTTCTTTTGAGCTTAAGACACAAATTTTCATTTATTTTCCATATATATTGCCTTTAAGTATCCCATCCTGGGTGAGCTGAATCTATTACCTGCCTGCGAACTTTTTCCCTACCACCCTCTTCATGTATTTCATAGCCTAGTTTGTAGCATCACTATGACTTCAACCTTCAAAAACAGAAATTTTTTTTTCTCCCTGGTTGATACCTGTGTCTTAGCCCTCACAATCATCATAAGGTCTTGCCAGTTCTTTTTTTTTTTTTTTTTTTTAATTTTTTTTTTTTTTATTATACTTTAAGTTTTAGGGTACATGTGCACATTGTGCAGGTTAGTTACATATGTATACATGTGCCATGCTGGTGCGCTGCACCCACTAACGTGTCATCTATCATTAGGTATATCTCCCAATGCTATCCCTCCCCCCTCCCCCGACCCCACCACAGTCCCCAGAGTGTGATATTCCCCTTCCTGTGTCCATGTGATCTCATTGTTCAATTCCCACCTATGAGTGAGAATATGCGGTGTTTGGTTTTTTGTTCTTGCGATAGTTTACTGAGAATGATGGTTTCCAATTTCATCCATGTCCCTACAAAGGACATGAACTCATCATTTTTTATGGATGCATAGTATTCCATGGTGTATATGTGCCACATTTTCTTAATCCAGTCTATCATTGTTGGACATTTGGGTTGGTTCCAAGTCTTTGCTATTGTGAATAGAGCCGCAATAAACATACGTGTGCATGTGTCTTTATAGCAGCATGATTTATAGTCATTTGGGTATATACCCAGTAATGGGATGGCTGGGTCAAATGGTATTTCTAGTTCTAGATCCCTGAGGAATCGCCACACTGACTTCCACAATGCTTGAACTGGTTTACAGTCCCACCAACAGTGTAAAAGTGTTCCTATTTCTCCACATCCTCTCCAGCACCTGTTGTTTCCTGACTTTTTAATGATTGCCATTCTAACTGGTGTGAGATGATATCTCATAGTGGTTTTGATTTGCATTTCTCTGATGGCCAGTGATGATGAGCATTTTTTCATGTGTTTTTTGGCTGCATAAATGTCTTCTAAGCCACAAGAACAAAGCTGGAGGCATCACACTACCTGACTTCAAACTATACTACAAGGCTACAGTAACCAAAACAGCATGGTACTGGTACCAAAACAGAGATATAGATCAATGGAACAGAACAGAGCCCTCAGAAATAATGCTGCATATCTACAACTATCTGATCTTTGACAAACCTGAGAAAAACAAGCAATGGGGAAAGGATTCCCTATTTAATAAATGGTGCTGGGAAAACTGGCTAGCCATATGTAGAAAGCTGAAACTGGATCCCTTCCTTACACCTTATACAAAAATCAATTCAAGATGGATTAAAGATTTAAACGTTAGACCTAAAACCATAAAAACCCTAGAAGAAAACCTAGGCATTACCATTCAGGACATAGGCGTGGGCAAGGACTTCATGTCCAAAACACCAAAAGCAATGGCAACAAAAGCCAAAATTGACAAATGGGATCTAATTAAACTAAAGAGCTTCTGCACAGCAAAAGAAACTACCATCAGAGTGAACAGGCAACCTACAACATGGGAGAAAATTTTCGCAACCTACTCATCTGACAAAGGGCTAATATCCAGAATCTACAATGAACTCAAACAAATTTACAAGAAAAAAACAAACAACCCCATCAAAAAGTGGGCGAAGGACATGGCCAGTTCTAACCTCATAAACATCTCATTTTCTTCATGAGGCACATTGTCCTCAGCCTAGCTCATTAGCTCATCATTTCCATCTGGACTTGCCTCCTAACTGGTCCTTTGCATCCTCCACAAATCCACCAGTGATTCCTCTCAAATATAGGCCCATGTCAAAATGTAAAATGTCATTTTCCTTCTTAACATTACATACTGGCTCCCCGTTGCCTATAGAATAAAGTTTATACAACTTAAGTGACTCTATAAAGACTTTTGCAACCATATCAGAGCTCACCTATTTAATCTCACCTTCAACCACTCTCTAAATATGAAGCCAGTCCTTGGCATGCTCCGAGCAAGCACACACCTGCCTGCCTCTATCTTGTACCACTTGTTTCCTCTGCCTTCAGTGGTCTTTTTTGTTTCTGAAGCTGGTGTATTCCTGCTCATTTTTCAAGGCCTGAATAAAACATAATCCATTTTAGTAAATATTTCCTGACAACTCGGGCAAATTTCAGCATTCCCTCATCTTTTGTAGTTCTAGGAACAGAACTATATATAAGAGAAAGTCACATATGCTATGATAGATTAATGTTTATTAATATGTACTGTACCTTCTCTAGTTTGTAATTTGTTAGACTATGAACCCAGGCTTTTGACAATTATCTCTTTAGGACCTATTCCATAATCTGACATATAATAGATGTTCAAATATCATTTTTCAAATCAAAGAATGAAGAAAAGGAAATTAAAGGATTAGTGACTAGCTAGGAAGAAGCCTCTCTGGACTTAGTTTCCTAATCTGTAAAATGAGACAGATTTAGATGGACCCCTGTGCTTCCTTCTGCTCTAAAACTCTCCACAATTTTATGAAAATATTAGTAGAGCAACCCAGTGATTCTTTCATAATATAGTAAACTAATACTAAATTTTACAAACTACACTCTGGTCAAAAATATGTACAAATTCAAAAATGGAAAGAATTTTTCTTTTTCTTTAATGTGTCCCCCTGTTGCTATATGAAATGTGTTAGTTCTGGAAAGAAGCCAATATTAGGTTTGGAACAGTTAAGAGCCAATAGAGACATCATTTTTAATTATATTAAAAGCATCTTATAAATTTCCCATCAGTTACACCATAATTTCTCTCCATTAATCACTGAAGGACAAGTGTTTGCAGCTTGGTCTCTTGTGGATAAAATTTGGGTATAAAATGTGGTTTAATTTCCAAGCCTCTGTAAATCTAAGTCTCTCTCCCTCTAGCTCCCATTCAGAGAAAAAATGGGGTTTGACATAAAAAGGAAAAAAAGTAGTTTGATGTAAGGGGGTAAAAAAGGTGAGTGAGTATATACCTGCAGGATGTTTTGGGGTAAAGGATTCAAGTCAGTGATGGCTGGTGATCACAGTAACTGAAATAAGGTCTGCATTTCTTCTTTTGGGGCAAGGCAGGAGGATGGGTAGCATTGTCAGGCTGAAAAATCAAGAGACATGAAGTCTAATTCTGGCTCTGCCATTAACATTAACATACTCTGTGACCTTGGTTAAGTCAATTATTCTCTAAGATCTATTCTTGGACCGGTTTAGTGACTTGGAATCTACGTATTTATTGCAGTGTGAATCCTCCTAGAGTTAACCTTCACTGGCTTCACTTTTAATGTTATGCCCTTGGTTTTTATGAAAGGCCATTACAAGAAACAATAATATGAATTCTACTAATACAAGTATAAGTTTGTGCCTGAGGAAATACTGGAGATGTTTATTTCCTTGTTATGAAATTCCACATGAAAAAATTCTCATAGATTTTAATTCCAAGACAACTTCTTCCTCTTCCTCAAACTTATCACAGAACCCATATGTTAATGCATTTCATATATTCCCTGCTACCGGAATTCCCAAAGCTCTTTTTTTCATTTTTTTCTTTTTTGACTTTAATTATCAATATATATATGCTTATTATATACATATATATGTCCACAATTCAAAGTTAATCATTTTAATATTTTAATAGATGCCCCTCAAGTTTTCTTATGGGCAGTTTCTTACCCAGTTTAGTTCATATTCTATATGCAATCTTGTGTGGCCCCTTTTGGTACATAGCATAAGTCTCACTTGACTGACTAGAAACTTGAATTCTGTTCATTTATTTAGATCCAACTTTTACCCTTCTGAACTTTTCATGTGGACATATACAGACATTTTATATCAATAGCTTGATCAATCAATCAATTGATATAGCTGTATATCTACATGTATCATAAAATAAGTATTCCATACAATGTATATGACATTCATTTGTATGCCATATTCACATATGGCATATGTTAATATGTTATGCATCTTATATTTATAGACAATAAATGGAGAAGTGATTTGTGAAGTGTATAATGCCCCAAAAGAGCGATTTTTGTTATTACCTATAGGTTTATTTAACGTCAAGGACAGAATAGCTATTCCTGGTCAAGCTAATCAAGTAGTCTAGGCGTAGAACAAGTTATCAATACTGGTGAGCCTGGTAGAACCCAGGCAACTGGAGAAAGCCCAAGAGTAACCATGTAGGCAGTAGAAGGTGGCTGGCATAGAACCCCAGACAGAGAATAGCGTTCGTGGCTTCTAGCACAGCTGCCCTGCATACTTAGGTGCAACCTCTAGAGAAGCTGTCAAGGTTCTACCTCTTTTTATGCCTAAATAATGTTAAGAAATGTCCCTCAACAAGTGAATGGATAAACTAAATTAATATACATTTATACAATTGAACATTACTCAGCAACAAAAGGAAACAATTTGTATACGTGCAGCAACCTAGATGGATCTTTATTTGCTGTGTGAAGGCTAAACCATAAATAGAAAAACACCTGAATGATTTCATTTATGACAGGATATAAATGAAGTTATTCCGGTTACTTGAAATTTTAGAAAGCCAAATTAATCTGTAGTAAGAGAAAACAGGTCAGAGGTTGCCTAGAGAAGGAAGTGGACATTTGGATGGATTACAGAAGGACATGAAGGAACTCTGTGGAGGTGAAGAGTAGGATGGAAATGTTTGTTGTCTTCATTTTGGTGATGGTTTCACAGTGCATATATATGTCATAAGTAATGAAATTGTACACTTTAAACTCTGATCAATCATTGTATGTAATACATCTTGATAAAGCTATAAAAACTTTTTAAAATTAAAAAAAAGAAATTTATCCAAAACTTTGAATTAAGGCAAAAAGGTGGGTGGCACGTCCTTTCAATATCATATGGGGACAAGGAACTCCCCCAGATTACCTAGAAGAATATATTTGGCTCATGTCATTTTTAACCACAAATTAACATTTCCAGCTCTAGTGAAGTTACTTGCACACCTGCAAATTTTCATTGGTTAGAAATGTGAATAATTTGTCTAGTGGAAGAGATAACCCCAAAGATATATGACTTGTTGGACATCAAATAGATTTATATTTAACTCAGCAATCCTACCCTAACACTTTCTTGTTAAATTAAGCATAAATACCCACATGTCTTAAATGCTCTTCAAAGCAATCATATTTTCCCAGCTCCCTCATTGACTAATGAGGCTCTTTAAAAATAACTAAAGTCTAAGTCCTCCCTACCCAATTCCACTAGAACCAGTTCCTCTCCCCCATATATTTCAGGGAGTCCCTAAGGTATGCGTTTGTTTTCACAAACAAATCCCATTGTCCCCTGTCTTCATGACCTCCATGGGGACCTGGTTCTCAACTGCACTCTTCTACAATTTACCTCTGGCCATCTTAGAACCAACCTCTGCAGACAACTTTTGATCTCTCTGTCATGGTTGCCCCAAGCATGGACATGGGTTCAAACATTAATTCACAAAACAGAGCTGAGATGAGGTTGTAACATACAATATAATAAGCTTTGGCTGAAAGCTGGAAGAAGGTGATGGGATTCAGGCCACACTACCCTAAAACCTGGTACCTTAGCATTTGAGAAAACAGCAGAAGCAGGAAAGTCACTATTTCTTTCCCTCTGCCCCTCTCCCCTGAAGCAGGTCATAAAATCTAGGAAGGATTTTCTGACCTTCCCTTGAAGCAGGTCATAAGACCCTTATTCAAGGGGAGCCCTCCTTATTTCCGGAGAAAAAGATCCAAAGACACAGAGATGCCAAGAAGAGTCTGAACAAACAGGCCTTGCAGAGCTCCTCCTGGCTTATTACCAGTAGATCAAACCCTCTTTATCCAGTCATACTTCCCTATAATGGCCACCCTTCATCAAACCTTTCATAAAAAAATACACAGTTGTCTCTGTTTCTTTGAGTCTTCATTTCTGAAGGTTCTATGTAAAACTTACGTTAAATAAATGTATATGCTTTTCTCTTGTTAATCTGTCTTTTCTTATAGCAGCCTCAGCCCTGAACTTTCCTTCCCTACAGAGACATAAGGGAATTACTACATGTGCACTTATGTGTACACATACACACATACATGGTTCGCAGAACTACAGTATCCCCTTTCATCCACAGGGGATACATTCCAAGGCCCCCAGTGGATGCCTGAAACCACCAATGGTACAGAACCCTGTATACACTGTTTTTCCCTGTACATACATACCTATGGTAAAGTTTAGTTTATAAATTAGGCACAAGAAGAGATCAACAATAATAATAAGCTAGAACAATTATAACAAAATACTGTAATATTAGGATGGTGTAAAAGTAATTGTGGTTTTGCCGTCACTAATAAAAGCTATGTGAATGTGGTTTCTCTGTCTCTCAAAATATCTTAATCTTTTCAGATGGCCATTGACTGCAGGTAACTGAAACTGTGGAAAGTGAAACCACAAATAAGTGGGGACCACTGTGCCTTCCTCTTTTGCCACTACCTCCCAAGATGCCAGTACCAGGCAACCAGCACCCCTACTTTGGAGATCTGGATCCCATGATTCCCTCCTTTCAACTCGGAGACCCCAGTACCAGCCAAGTAGTGGCTCCTCCCCAGAGGTCTGAGTTTCATCTCCGTGGGACTACTTCTCCAATCATCTAAATTTTAAGTATTACACTGTCTTCCTTTTGTTTCCACAGCCCTAGAGGTGATACATGCTTCTTTCAGTTGCTACCTCTGAGAAACCCTTTTAGTCACCAAGTTATTCAATAACAACTTTATGCCTTCTTCTTTTTTTTTATTTGAGATCGAGTCTCACTCTGTTCCCTAGGCTGGAATGCAGTAGCACGATCTCAGCTCATTGCAAAATCTGCCTCCTATGTTCAAGTGATTCCCCTGCCTCAGCCTCCAGAGTAGTTGAGATTACAAGCATGGCCACCACGCCCAGCTAATTTTTCTATTGTTAGTAGAGATCGGTTTTTTTCCATGTTGGCCAGGCTGGTCTTGAACTCCTGACCTCAAGTAATCCACCTGCCTCTGGATTACAGGCATGAGGCACCACACCTGGCCCTAATTAATCATTCTTATTACTGAAATCTGCTTGGTTCAAGTAACTGGTGTGGTTCTGTCGCCTGCCTGGGCTCTGACAGAAACAATGGCAGACTAGCTACAGAGTCCAAGGCCTCAACCGCCACCTAGAGTAGGAAAAACACAAACAAAAAGGAAAGCCAGTTTTCTCCTTCACTCATCAGTGCAGGCCAGCCTCTGCTCACACATCATCTCCGAGATGCTATTTTACCCATGAGGAAGACAACCTTTGACATAACTCTGTAGAGAAACTCAGCTTCTCCTTATCTCCTTTCCAACACAGGATCTGGACTTTAACTTTGCAAAACCTATGGGTGTTTTTCCAAAACAAAAGCATCACTGGCCCCCAAAAGTACAATCAAGCCTCCAGTTCTAACAACACAAGGAAACAATGACATTCTGGAAAGAAAGATGTTGTTTTTCTTGGGTTTTACATATCTCAGGGCCAATTCCTTAGGGAAACTCAAGGTCAAAATATTTTCTTCTCAAGAGCCTCTTCAAGGGAAACAGACTTTTGAAGTACAAGCTGTAAGGTCAGCGCCACAGCCTGAGATGGGGCAGCAGAGGCTTATTCCCCCATTCCAGCCCACCCCACTCCCCTCATCCCCACCTAAGCAAACACCAGTGGTTACGTTATTTTTACCTGGAATATTTATGTAATTCATTAAAGCTGCTTTGGCAGCAAATGATAGAAATAAAATTAATATTCAACCTAGCTGCAGCAAAGAAATGGCTAGTTGAACTCAGTGGTCTAAGGACAGATTTAAAGGCTGCTGAACTTAGGAAGAAATGAGAACTGAGAGCTAGGAATTAGGAAGTCATCTTGACACTATTTTTCCCTCATCTCTGCTCTCATTTTTACGTCTATATATAATAATTCTTTCTCTACTCACCAGCATTTCAGGGGAGGCTTTTTCAGTGCACCCCTGCTCTTGGATTAACATAAGTAAGCCTTACCCCTTAGTGAGACTAAGTCTCTGAATCTTAGTTCAGGAGCTCACTCTTGTTCCAATCAATTGCTTAAGGGTCAGGTTCATGTTTTACAAAATAGGAACCCAAGTTTTTCAGTCTGGGTGGCAGAGAGCACAGAAGAAGCCATCATTAATTCAACAAGGCCATCCTCCCATAAAGTTACTATTGCACTTATCATGAATGTCTCAGTGCTTATCTGTTACTCAATTTTATGTCAGATATTAACTTTAAAAATATGTGTATATTTATTAAATCTCATCAGCAATAATCTACTAAATGCTTAAAGAAAATTAAATTTCTAAGTGATGCCGGAGTCCTTGATACAGCCACCTTGCTTCAAGAATTGGGAAAGGACAAAATGAAAAGCATAATCAAAGAGGAAAGGTTTACCAAGGCATTAGACACCCCTTGGGCATAATAAACGTTCAGCCAGATTTATTATTATTATAATATGTATAATGGCGTAGTCCCACAAGTAAAATGCTAAATATGATTATAATGTTTATAGCACATAATACAGCAAGGAGCTTTTGGTAAGGGGAAAGGGAGGGGAGGAATGGGAGCTGTGTCCTTGTTGAGAAAATCACTAGGGGCTTGCATCACTGAGCAAAAAGAGACCCATCCCCCGTAAGTTACTCCCAAGGCCCAATCAAGGACACAAAGCACCGTACATGGCTGAGTGCCCAGCCCTGGGAGACCATAGAGGGCACAGAACTCCCTTGGCCCTCACTCCTAGGAGATTGTGTCTTTCATGCCAACTTCATTCATTTCCAACTGATGACTCCCTGCAGACTCACACGCCCCAGTGGACATAGTCGAGCCCTTTGGGGTTCTGTTTTATCATTGGTGGGGCCTGATGTGCCTGGTTGAATCTGTCCTCCTTACTACATATTAAGCCCCAGCTTGGTGAAAAAATCTGGCATCCCCTCACTTTGTCTACAGGAAGAGTTTGAGGCCACTGGCCCCAGATACTGTTCCATCCCAAGTAGCATCCTCTCCAATTCCGGCTCTACTCACCTGTTTCACCCTGGATGAACACCTGAACTGGCTCCCTTCTGTGGGACTTCTCCGATCAGTGGTAGAGAAGGGAAAGTTGGGCTGGGTGCAGTGTCTCATGCCTGTAATCCTAGGAAGATCACTTGAGACCAGGAGGATCATTTCAAGACCAGCCTGGGCAACATGGGAACACTCCTGTCCCCAAATAAATAAATAAGTAATAAGAGAGAAGGGAAAGTTGTTGGGAATGACAACACTGAGACAAATGAGGCTGGAAGGAGAGGAGTCCTCAAGAGCCTAAACCTGATTCACTTTTGTTCCAAGTCAGCATCCTGCCAAGTTTATAGTAAGAGGCCAGGCCCAGGCATATTGCTACTAGGAAAAACTTAGATAGATTAGATAGATAGTTAGGTAGGTAGATCAATCAATAGATAGATAGAGATGGATATTCTATATGGGTGTGGGTGTACTTTTTGAAGAGGTCTATACAATTCAGGAACTATAAATTCTTTCTTTTTATTGCAGAGACGCGGTCTAGCTATGTTGCCCAGGCTGATCTCAAATTCCTGCCTTCAAGCAATCCTCCCCTCTCAGCCTCCCAAAGTGCTGGGATTACAGGTGAGAGCCATGGAACCTGGCCTTGGTATTATGAATGCTATTTTTCCAAGGGAAAGGCCAACCCTATCCATTTTTAAAACAATAACACAGGATTCTGTTAGTGATAGCTTATGGCTTCACACCAAAGAAGCAAAAAAGATGGAATGCTCAAATTATATAATAACTTCCATTTATGAATTTTCACTAACACCAGACATTCTGCTAACAGTCTTACTTAATTCTTTCATTTAATCCTCACTACAACCCTAAGAGTTGATTCTATTAGTATGTGTTTTATAGAAGAAAAACTGAAAGTATAAAGATCAAATTATTTGCAGGGTTCCAGAGCTGGCAGGAGAGAAGCTTCAATTTCATTCTTTGCTGTCGATAACTCTGACTTTCTTCCTCCTCAACTTAGACCAAGTCTTACCCACCTCATCAGAGGCAGGAGAAAGTCAGCCCAATGGCCCAGCCTCTCCTCTGCAAGGATTGTCTCCCTCACCTCCTGGAAAAGTGAGCAGCTCCAGCGCTCTCCCATAGTGCCTCCAGCATCCATCAGCCTAGCTGGCGAGTGTGCCCCCACCCCTGCCCCTGACTGTCACCATCCACTTAGGGGAGAGAGGAACACAGGAGCCAAGAATGCAGTGGAGCATGGGCACTCCTCTGTGATAAACACCCACAAAAATTAAGCCATTCTAGAGACGGCAGCGGCTGTTCATACTTCAAAGGTTGTCTCTTTACACGTCTTCTCTGCCCTCCTTTTACAAAGTTTGAACAATTCTATTAAAGAGTTCAGGCCGGGTGCGGTGGCTCATATCTGTAATCCCAGCACTTTGGGAGACTGAGGTGGGTGGATCACCTGAGGTCAGGAGTTCCAGACCAGCCTGGCCAACATGGTGAAACCTCATCTCTATTAAAAATACAAAAATTAGCCTGGCGTGATGGCGCATGCCTCTAATCCCAGCTACTTGGGAGGCTGAGGTAGGACAATCACTTGAACCTGGGATGTGGAGGTTTCAGTGAGCCAAGATTGCACCACTGCACTCCAGCCTGGGCAATGAGAGCAAAACTCAGTCTCAAAAAAAAAAAAAAAAAAAAGAGGTCAGCATTGTCTAAATATCAATTAACCTGGGTGAATATGAACATGCGATCAAAGCGAATCTTCTTAAACCCCTGAGAAACAGATTCCTATTACTGCATTACAAAGAGAATTATGGTAGTGTTGACCATGGCCTTGTGAAAAAGTCAGACAGTCTCAAAACTGTCAACCAAGAAGGCAGCTCAGTTACCTTTGGGGGCATCTACAGTTGCAATTTTGAATATTTTTCCAACATTGTTCTTTCCTGATTACCTGTCTTATTATATCTGGGTCTTGGCAGGAGAATACATTCATGACTTAATAGATCTTTTTATATTTCATTTAGAGACCCTTCCATTTGACTTATCAAAGTCAAGTATATTTGATTTCCTTAACACTGTATTTTATTATTAATTGTATCTGTGTGTATCCATATTAAAGTCTTCCGCCAGGTGTGGTGGCTCACTCTGTAATCCCAGCATTTTGGGAGGCCAAAACAGAAGGATTACTTGAGGTCAGCAGTTGGAGAGCAGCCTGGCCAACATGGTGAAGCCCCATCTCTATCAAAAAACACAAAAAATACAAAGTACCAGGAGTGGTGGCACACGACAGTGATCCCAGCTACTTGGGAGGCTGAGGTGGGAGGATCACTTGAGCCCAGGAGGTGGAGGTTGCAGTGAGCCAAGATCACGCCATTGCACTCCAGCCTGGGTGATAGAGTGAGACTCTGTCTCAAAATGAAATAAAGTCCTTATAAGAAGTATCCTCATGTTTACTAAGAGGATACAAAATGAAAGTATAAAAATCTCCATTGTTTTTAAACATTTTATCACAAAGGTCATAATAGGGTAATCTCAATTTCTTAGCCTGTGTGAGCCTCTGTTTATTTCCTCTGAGACTTAAATGAGACAATATGATACTTTACCCTGGAAAATCATGAATGATAAAGAGCAAAGTGTGCTGATTAGAGTATTTTTCTCAACCTCTATTGCCCTTTTGGGTTCTTTTCTCAAAGAATTACACACACGGAGCTGCATTCTTCTATGAAGAGCTCATAAATAGAATGATTTCCCAACAATATTGAATCACCAAAGGGTGAAAACCTGATTCTATTCTGATCCCAGAAAATAAGTAACGGTTGCTTTTCTGTTAGTGAATGGAAATAAAATGGTTAAAATGTAATAAAACACCTCTGATCCTTCTCATTTTGTAAAAGCAAAATGAGAAAGGAACACTTAGACTATGCCAGAAAGAGAATAGGATGTGGGCTTAAAGATGAAAGAAACCCTAGAAAAGAAATTATTAGAATAATGAGGAGGTCAAGAAAAGATCCACATGAACACACACGAACAAAAACAGATGAACTTGTTTAAATCACAGAACAATGAGCATGTATTGCCCAGAAAAATGGAGGTAACTAGAACTCAAACAAATATCATAGAGCATTTGAGGAAAAGACAGAAAACTTGTTAGGCACAGATTGAAGGAAAGGACATTCTAGGAAGGAGAAATAACAGAAATGCTATATAAATTTAGCTATAGTGCTGCATTTATATAGCATTTTACTGTTTCAAACCATTTTCATATTATCCCATTTATTCTCCAAAAGAGCCATAAAATAGAGAGTTTATTTATTCACTTGCCTCGTTAAAATGGATTCCAGAGGCTTAGTATGGGATGTCGAGTATGACGAGACTAATAAGAAAAGTGAGGCAAAAGAAAAAATAAAACAAAAATAGATATTATGTGAAGTCAGAAATGAATAGTTATTAATGATATTATTAACATTACATTATTAAATATTCTTAGATTAATATTATTCTGATGCTAAATTATTATTATTAGTGCTCTATTACCCCCAACAAGGTCAAATGAGTCCCAGGTCAACTAAAGAGTGGCAGATTCTAGACTTAGAATCATTTAACTGGTGTTCTTTCTTTTAAAATCATCAGCAATTACTAAGGGGGGGCAGTCCCTAAAAATAACAGATAAAAAAAGCAGCCTGCAAGCTCTCAAAGAAATTTTGAGTTTTTTGCAGATTTACTTCTGTATGCATTTTCTACAACCACTTGAATAATGGATCATCGCACAGTAGTTGCTCTAAATCAATGTAAGATTGTCTTAGGAGAGAATCTTGTGAAACCAGAAGGATCTGCGGGTTACTTACCTCTCCTCTCATTCTTTTGTAGATTTCTCCCTAGACCAGAGGTTATTTTGGGGCTTTCTCATGAATACAGATAACTGTGCAGTACTCTCTAGGGTTTTGGTAGCTTTGCGAAGTAATTAAATAGTAATGCTCCTGAGATGCCGCTACTGGGCAGTGACTGGGGGAGTAAGATCAGGGGTGAGGTTTGTGATCTTGAGGAGGATAATAATGCATTCAATGATGAAACATAAGGAGGCAGCCTGAGAGGCGGATTAAAGGGAAGGGCTTCGAATGAGAATGCTACACACAAGCCCAAATCTGCTACTTAGCATATGTTTGTGGGCAAGTTACTGTTCCTCTCTGCTATTACCCTTTATCCCATGCAAAATTGAGATAATAGCCATTACTGCCTTGTGCAGTGGATATAAAAATTAAATGAGATAAAGCATGAAAACATTTAGAAGAGGGCTTGATACATAGTGCTGGAAAAGAAAAAAAGCTCTATTATGATTTCACAAGTGCTGGAAGTGACTTTCTGATAAAAGGGCTTTAATTGACTTCCTTTATCTCTTCAACCTGCTGACTTATGGTAACGGCATACAGACTGTGCACAGGGAGGCCCTTGTGTCAGAGAGGCATCTGCCCATCACCCAGCCCTTCCCACTGACTAGCAAAGCAGGTGGGCTGCATTTAACAAAGAATACAGGAAGGAAGCAAAACCTCCCAAAGAAACCAATTGACTAAAACTTCGCACTTAAAGACACCACTTTGAACACATGTAAAAGCCAAACCCAAAACAGATTTAGTTTGAAGGGTTGTGTATAACCCATAAAGAGGAGCAAAGCAATCTTTTCAATAGACTACTGGCCTGCCTAGTATATTTGCTTCCCAAAGAAGGAGAAGCTCACTCAAGAGCCTCAAGTCCTTCACTCAGCACCATTTCTGCTATTGGAGGGCCACAAGTATACTGCTACAGCCAAAACCAGGAGATTGACCTTCCAGAACAGACCTCAGAATGTGCACATCCAGGAGATGGAATAGAAGGGCACTGATCGTGGATCTTCCTAATCCACCTCCCTTCCCTTCTCTCACCTATGCATCTTCCCAGGAAGTCATCTCTGCACGAAAGATAAATTGAAATGTATTGTACAGTGTTCATTATTACTATTTTAAGAGCTATTTAATTGCCACTTTAAGGTCTTTGACATTCTCTTTTCCAGTCTTTCTGTTTTATTTATCTGAATGTTTAAATATATATTAAGAACTTTCAAAAATACACCTGCCCTCAGGTGAATTCTCAGTTCCCTCATATTCC
Source organism: Homo sapiens (assembly GCF_000001405.40). NCBI lineage: Eukaryota > Metazoa > Chordata > Mammalia > Primates > Hominidae > Homo > Homo sapiens. Next base: position 33,275,767 of record NC_000008.11, read on the forward strand.
TCAACCATGAATTATTCTACTACAAGAGCTTTGTGAATTCTAATGCTGATGGCTGAGGAAGGATTTCTGTACTTTTTATGTGTACTTTCTTGGATCAAGAATAAAACCTTGAAATGAAATTAATGTTGTAAATGAGCTTTGTCATAACCTTCCTAGATGGAAAATACTTAACTCTATGACAATATAGACTCTGGCAGTTACCCAGATTATATTTAACCAAGGTTGATAAACACCCATGATATCTTCATGGTACTCCTTGTTATTATTGTCAGGCCACCACTCTCTTCATATGAGTGTCATAGGGAAGGCAGGCTTTTAAAGTTTGAATATTATCTGAAGACTAACAGAGACAGAACACAGTAGGGGGATGGTCATGCTTGATTTTGTTTACCACATATTCTAATTTGGTATTATCAGTGTAAGTAATATCTAAATCATGACTTGGATATATTGCACTCTATCCAAAAAATCCTAAAAGAGTCCCCCATGATCTTTTTAGTTTTATTTTCTTGAAGCTAATACAAAGCATTTTCATCATGTCAATAAGCATCATGAAGCTCTTACAAGGATGTCTAATTAATGATTGATTAATACCGAACTCAGAGAAGCTGCATGTGCTACCAAACAGCTCATTTGCACGGCAGTGCTAGGGCTACATGGGAAAAGTAGTGACTTACAAGATACTAATTATTCCTTTTGTTAATATGGCACATTATGGCTTACAAGGAAATTTCACATACACTATTGCATTTGTCCTGAAACAATCCATGAAGTGAATAATAGGTAGACCATTTCATTTCTTGATTGAGCAGTCAGTTGTTGCTAGACAGTCCCAAGCAGCATTGAAGGTACATAACAGAGATTAATTCTGAATTTGGTTGTGTTATATATTTGTTTGTTTTTATTGTTTTGTTTCAATTGCTTTAGGAATAAAAGTGGTTTTTAGTTACATGGATGAATTGTATAGTGGTGAAGTCTGGTGTGTCCACCACCCAGATAGTGCATTATACCCAATAGGTAATTTTTCATCTCTCACCACCCTCCCCATTCCCCCTTTTTGACTCTCCAATGTCCATTATACCACTCTATATGACTTTGCATACCCATAGCTTAGTTCCCACTTATAAATGAGAACATGTGATATTTGATTTTCCATTCTTGAGTTACTTCACCTAATACAATGGCCTTCAGGCTGGGCCCAGTGGCTCATGCCTATAATTCAAGCATTTTGGGAGGCCGAGGTGGGCAGATCACCTGAGGTGGGGAGTTTGAGACCAACCTGACCAGCATGGAGAAACCCCATCTCTACTGAAAATACAAAATTAGCTGGGCATGGTGGCACATGCCTGTAATCCCAGCACTCGGGAGGCTGAGGCAGGAGAATCACTTGAACCCTGTAGGCAGAGGTTGCGGTGAGCCGAGATCGCACCATTGCACTCCAACCTGGGCAACAAGAGCGAAATTCCGTCTCAAAAAAAAAAAAAAAAAAGATAATGGCCTTCAGTACCACCCAAGTTGCTGCAAAAGACATTATTTCATTCTTTCCACGATTGAGTAATACTCCATGGTGTACACATTTTCTTTATCCACTCATCTGTTGGTGGAGACTTAGGTTGATTTCATATCTTTGCAATTGTGAACTGTGCTGCAATAAACATGCATATGCAGGTGTTTTCTTGATATAATGACTACTATATTTGAGTTGTTTGAGCTATGATGATATAATGTGGTGAAGAGGCTCTTAAAACTGAATGAATTTACCCAACAGTTCAACATTCACATCCTGATGCAACTTGTGGTTTGCTTAATGCCAAGATGGTTATTCCCATTAAGGATCTGAAGGGTAACTTAAATTTTAATGTTATGTGGATGTGGTGGAGGGTAGGGAGCTGGAAAGGTCAGGAGAAAGGGATTACAAAGGGGTAGGTAGAAACTGTGGGGTTGATAGTTATGGTCATTATCTTTACTGTGGTGGTGATGGTTTCACAGGTATGTCGAAACATCACAATTGTATATCAATTAAATATTAAACATATTAATCTGTTCATTAAAAATTTTACTGTTATGATATATTAAAACTTGAAAGATAAATAATACGATAGAACAGAATTTCCAGTAGTGAGGATTTATGAAGGCCTCATGACACATCCCTCTCCAAAGTCAAGGTTCTGGTGTGCTATCCCTTTCCATAGGTAGAGAGCTGAGGCTCCATGGAGTTAACTAATTCGCCTCAGGACGAACGTTAGTGAAGTCAGGGCTTGGGCCTGACACTGATTCCTAAGCTCCTAAACTACTGATCTTTACACAACACCAAGCCAAGAACTGAACATAGCTCTGACAATCCAAAAAGCCTGTTAGGAGGAATTCAGCTGGTTCAGGACAAGGAGTAGCCCTAGGACAAATTGTGGAGTAATGAAACATTGATCTTCAGGGCATATAAAATCAGTCCATCCACACGTCTCCTCCTTAGTACTTTCTCATTGATCTTCTCTTACCTAAACAACCTCAGTGCAGCCAGCTTTCTTCCCAGAATCCCTTGTTGTAATGCTTCACCTTGATCAACCCACTGTGCCCTGCAAAAAGACTTCTTCATGTCCTATCTTATTTCTTCATGATCTTATCCTTTGCTATAAAGAAAAATAGTTCTTTATCTGAAAAACTCATCTACCGCAAAAGTCTAACTGGTGAAAATAGTCACCTGTCCTCCCAAAGATATTTACACCTTTAAAGGATTTACAAACAGTCAGTACAGTCACCCAAGCAAGAGAATTTTTGTCTTAATGGTGGAAATTTTAGTTACCTGATAAATAATTTTAAAAGATTTGCTTTTTTCTGTCATGAAACAATGACCACCTATCCATTTATGGGTAAGTGATGAGCCTAATTAATCTGTGAATGTCCATCTGTTTCCAGTCCTGGAAGGCAATCCTCTACACTAAGTTAAACCTAACTCCATCAAATGGATGGTCCTCTAGCTCTTATTTAGGAGCAAGATCAAACTGAAGAAATAGTACTTAGTGTCGGGCATTCAACAAGTACCAGTTGAATTGAAAGGTGGATTCTTGGCAAAAATATACTTAGAAAACGATGTCTTCCTTTCAGATCATTCTCTAGAATTTGAGTTCCTGATAAATCCTGGCATTGTAATGAATGCTTAAAGAATAGAATGTTCTTTTGATTTATCCCTTATTTCACTGAGCCTCTGAAAGGCACAATGTGATGGGTAGTTCAAATCTGAGGTCACTAACACATTCCCGAGTAGTAGATATCTTATTATGTTGATTGACTGATGGCCTCCATGTTTTTTGTTTAACACAATTTTTTTCTTTTGAGATGGAGTCTCACTCTGTCACCTAGGCTGGAGTGGCAGTAGCTTGATCTCTGCTCACTGCAACCTCTGCCTCCCAGGTTCAAGAGATTCTCCTGCCTCAGCCTCCCAAGTAGCTGATATTACAGGCTCACACCACCACACCCAGCTAATTTTTGTATTTTTAGTAGAGATGGGGGTTTCACCATTTTGACCAGACTGGTCTCGAACTCCTGACCTCAGGTAATCCATCCACCTCAGCCTCCCAAAGTGCTGGGATTACACGTGTGAGCCACTGCACCTGGCCTGTTTTTTATTTAAAACAAATATATAACAGAGATGAAGTCCCAACACTATAGAGGTTGGCTTGTACTTTTGTCCTCTAAGAAGGAAAAGCAGAGTTCTTTCCTGGACAGTACAGAGCAGAGGGTACATCCAGCCCCTCCACAGGTTGTAAGCCAGGCTGTCAGACCTGCATGAAGGGTTTATAGTCCAGAAGGCTGTCCTCCTCAGATCTTGGATTAACTACAAGATTATAAGAGTAGCAGTGAAGACACTAAAGAAATTATTGCCCGGAGCATCCATGTTAATTCAATTTAACATGAGAGTTTTAAAAATCTAGAAGATATAGAGATACATAATTATACATTCAGCCCTAGAAACAAATATGCTAAAGCCTTTATATTACAGCAGCCTGTTAATATGGCTCTACTAAGTCCAAAGTAAATGGGACTTAAGAATCATTTCTATTTCCTCTAAAGATAGAGTGGGTTTTTCTCATAACATTCAGTCCTCTGATATTACTTGACATCTTATATTCATAGTCAAGCTCTCTGGAAATTATAATGGAGAGTTTCTGGTTTATCAATTTTACCACTAAGAGAGGTAGACAGTAAGCAAACATCCCATCCTCATCATGCTGTCTTTGTCATTTTCACACTGGCCCTCTGTTCCATTTTTTTTTCCTCTTATTTAGAGGCTATAGAGGTTCCAAACTTGGAAATAAAGACTTGCAGGCAGAAGATTTGAAGCATTTTTTCTTCTCACACTGTGATCAGTTAGAGCTCTTCATCTATTTGTATAATCCATAAGACCACAGCCAGGATGCTAAGTTCTGCATAATGACATATTTCCAGGTCTTCAAATTCTACTATGGCCTTGTGCTCCTCTCTCTCTCTCTTTCTCTTTCTCAGCTAATTAAGCTTTTACTAGAAGTAGAATAAAGGAGATGAATTACCTGCCCATTTTAATCATTAATGCCTAGCTTTGGCTGTGCTTTTGAAAAGCTATCTCCTTTCTTCTCCCTTGCGAATGGCCCACCAGACCAGTATTTGGCATGTTTCAAACAAGTAGCTGGCAAATTTCATTCCATTTAAAAAAAGAAGAAAGGGAAACACTCACGTGTTGTCCTTAGAGTGTTCTGGCTTTGCTGCTTACAGAATTATATTACTGTCTAGAACCCATCCACTCTCCTATTTTCCTGGAAGATTAGTTCAAATCTTCTCTTGTCAATTAAAATGCATACCTCCTCCACCATCCTCACTTTCACCTAATGACATTACTTCCCACTTCACTCAGAAAAGTGACCTTCCATGGACTTCCACACCACATCCCCTGTCTTCCCAGCTATTGGTGGATCAGCTTCTCATGTTTCTATCTAAAATCATGTCCTCAACATGGGCACTGGATCCACCGGATGGAGAGCATGGGCTTTCCATCTGCTCCAGGACTTCATTCCTAAATTATCTTTCCTCTCCTGCATCATCCCTTTTTCAGTCTCTACTGGATCATTCCCATCAGCATACTAACCTCTCATCTTAGAAAAGAAAAAGTAAAATATTATCTTGACTCTACTTCCCTGACAAAATTGCACCTAATTTCTTTGTTATTCTTTGTAGCACATCTTCTTGAAAGAGATATCCATACTGTTTTCCATTTCTCTCTTCTCATTATCTCCTAAGATCCACTCCAGAACTATCATTTGACCCAGCAATCTCATTTCTAGTTATATACCCAAATGAATATAAATTGTTCTACCATAAATACATATGCATGCATATGTCCATTACAGCACTATTCACAATAGCAAAACCATGGAATCAGCTTAAATGCCCATCAATGTTAGACCAGATAAAGAAAATGTGGTACATATACACCACGGAATACTGTGCAGCCATAAAGAAAAACCAAGATCATGTCCTTTGCAGGAACATGGGTGAGGCTAGGGGGCCATTATCCTTAGCAAAATAACACAGGAACAGAAAACCAAATACTTTATGTTTTCACTCATAAGTGGGAGCTAAATGATGAGAACATATGGACACGAAGAGGGAAACAACAGACACTGGGATCTACCTGAGGATGGAGGGTGGGAGAAGGGAGGGAATTCGGAAAAATCACTACTGAGTACTAACTAGGCTTAGTACCTTGGTGACAAAATAATCTGTACAACAAACCCCCATGAAATGAGTTTACCTATGTAGTAAACCTGCACATGTACCCCTAAACCTAAAATTTAAAAAAAAAGGAAAAAGAGAACTATTAAAAAATTAAAAAATAAAACCCACTTCAATCAGCATTCACCACCATCCCACTCCTCCAAAACTGCTCTTATTAAGGTCAACATGACCTCCATATTACTGAATCCAATGGTGAGTTCTCAGTCCTCTTCCTACTTGACAGATTAGTAGAATTTCATCCAGATACTCATGGTTTCCTTCTTGATACACTCTCTTCACTTGGCTTCCAGGACACCACACTGTGCTTTTCTTCTATATCACCAGTGACTTCTCTATGTCTTTTTCCAGGTTTTTCTCTTCTATATAAGACTTTAATATGTTAATACTCTGGGGTTTCGTCTTTGGTCTTCTTCTCTTCTTTACCTACCTTCACTACATTGATGATCTGATTGAGTCTCATTGCTTTAAATATCACCTACATTCTAATTTCTCTCAAATGTGTATTTTAAACCCAGAGCTGCCTCGCAAACACCAAACTTATATATCCACTGCTTCCTCAGCATGTCCACTTGCATGTCTACATTTATGTCAAACCCAGTGTCACCAAAACTGAAATTGATCTTCCCTACACCCCAAAGGAGCACGTACAGCTTTCCTCATCTCTGTCAATGATAATTTTCATCCTACCAATAATCCATGCCAAAAATCCTGGAGTTATCTTTGACTTCACACTTTCTCTTATTTCATACTTCCAATCTGTGAGCAAATCCTTTAGCTTTAAAATGCATCCAGAATTAACCACTTCTCACCACCTCCATTCCTATCACCCAAGCACAAATAACCTTCATCTCTTGTTTAAAGCATTGTAATTGCCTGCTAACAGGACCTCCTGCCTCCACCCTTGCCTCCTATCAGTTTACTTGCAGTCTGTCTTAGTCTGTTTTGTGTTGCTATAACAGAAAACCTGAGCCTGGGCAATTTATAAAGAAAAGAGGTTTGTTTGGCTCACAATTCGGGTGGCTGAAAGGTTCAGGATTGGGCAGCTGCATCTGGTGAAGGCCTCTCTCATGCTATTTTCACTTATAGTGGAAAGTGGAAGGGGAGTGGACGTGTGCAATGACATCACATGGTGAGAGAAGAAGCGAGAGGGAGAAATGAAGAAGACAACCCGCTCCTGCAAGAACAATTCATTCCCCTGAATTCACTCACCCCTGAGGGAAGACACTGATTTATTCACAAAGGATCCGCACTCATGATCCAAACACCTCCCACTATGCCCCACCCCCCAACACTAACACATTGAGAATGAAATTTCAATCTGAATTTTGGCAGGGACAAACCACATCCAAATCATAGCATAATCCAACATCCAGAGTATTCTTAGAAGGTAAATCAGATCATGTCACTTCTCTGCTAAAACTTTGTGATGACTCCCATTTCATAGGAGTAAAAGTCATGATCCTTACAAACACCTATAAACTACCACCTGATCTGACCTCTCTGACCTCAACTGCTACCACTCTCTGTCTCCCTCATTGTACACCAGACATCCTAACCTCCTTGTTCTTCAAACATGCCAGGCTGAGAACCTTTGCTCTGGTTGTTCCATCTGTCCAAATGTTCTTCCTCCAGCTCCTTCTTAGTTAATTCCCTCTCCTTCTTTATATCTTTACACAAACCTCACACTTCAATGAGGTCTACCCTAATCACACTATGTAAAACTGCAAGCTACTTTTTCACTTCATCATCATTCTCTATCCCTTTACTCTGCTTTCTTCTCCATAGCCCTATCACCTTCTAACAAGCTTTATACTTCATTTATTATATCTTTTGGTTATTGTCTGCCTCCCTCAGCTAGAATATAGCTCTAGGGGGAAGGGATTGTTGCCTTTTTTTTCTCTGATGAATTCCAAGTGCCAAGAACAGTGCCTGGCACATAGCAGAGACTCAATAAATATTTGGTGAATGAATGAATGTAGCTAAATGCACTTAGTGACATGGAAATATATCTTGCTATCATATTATTATGTGGGTCATATGATCTTGTAACTTTATCCATAGCAGCCAACTTGTGATGGATGCTGCCCCAAATATAGCTAAACATAAGGAAGTTCAATGACTTATAAGGAAACCTGACAGAAAATTCCACCTACTAGAACTAGTCTGTATTGAAGAGTGTCCAAACTAGCCAACCCAGTTGCCTATAGATTGCAACTCAGAATACTAATCTTACAGACAAAGAAACTGTATAGAAGACAAATGAAAAATATGCTAAGAGAAAACAGTTAGTAAAAAGTCTAAAGTAAATAGAAGCCATGAGACAATAAGTCAGTAATAGATTAAGAAAGCAGCAAATAGAATCCAAGACCCAAGAATGGTAGCCTCAGAGTTCTATCTTAGACTGAAATCACTGTGGTCTCTTGAACAGAGATCCAGTTCTCCACAAAACCTGACATTGCTAGGACTCTTAGGTTATTTCTCCATCCTCATAAAAAAAAATCCCCATCAGCTCAGGCAACCTGAGTGTGTCTTTGTTTCCTATGGCTTAAATCTGCTAATTAATACATGAAGGCATCAAATCCTTGTTGGCCTCCTTGTACCCACCTAGCTCTGTGCACTATGCTAAAGCAACTCTCAACTGGACACCAGGAGACAGGACAATGGGTTGATGAGGAATGTGAGCTCTGGAGCCAGCCTGACTGAATTTTAATCCCAGCTCTGCCACTATTCAATTGCATGAATGTAGATGCATTATTTAATCCCTTTATGCCTTGGTTTCTTTTTAAAATGGAACTATATTATGATGTACCTTTAAATTTGTAGTAATTAGAAGTTTACATATAACATGCTTAGAGCAATATCTGGAACACATTGAGTGCTCAATAAGTGTTAGTTACTATTATTCTCTAGAGCAGTGCTACCCAATGGGAATATGAGAGCTGATATGTAATGTTGAAATTTTTGTAACCACATTTAAAGAGTACATTGGAATAGTGGGAGTTTTTCTTAATAAGACATCTTTATTTACTCCAATACCCAAAATATAATTTCAACTATACTCAATCAAAAAATAATAATAATAATAATTATTATTATTATTATTATTATTATTTTGAGATGGAGTTTTGTTCTTGTTGTCCAGGCTGGAGTGCAATGGTGTGATCTCAGCTCACTGCAACCTCCGCCTCCCAGGTTCAAGCTATTCTCCTGCTTCTGCCTCCCTGGTAGCTGGGATTACAGGCATGCACCACCATGCCCAGCTAATTTTGTATTTTTAGTAGAGACAGGGTTTTACCATGTTGGTAAGGCTGGTCTCAAACTCCTGACCTCAGGTGATCCACCCATCTTGGCCTCCCAGAGTGCTGGGATTACAGGCGTGAACCACTGCACCCAGCCAATCTAAAAATTATTAATGCCCACGCACGGTGTCATGCACCTGTAGCCCCAGCTGCTCAAAAGGCTGAAGTGTGAGGATTGTTTGAGCCCAGGAGTTTGAATGCAGCCTGGGCAACATAGCAAGACACCATCACAAAAAATATAAATAAATAAAAATCAGTAACTATTTTATATTCTTGTTTTTGTAGTAAGTCTTCAAACTCCAGTGTGTATTTTATACTTATAGTACATCTCACTCCAGACTAGGCAGATTGTTAAGTGCTCAAGAGCCACAGATAGATCGTGGTTACAAGAGAAGACACCCAGGGTAGAAGTGCCTCCTTTGCCTTTCAGAACCTAGATTCTAGGTTATAATAGCTCCTAACAATACATGCCATTTTTATTAAAACTAGGGTAGAAGTCCCAAGATTCAACCCATCACCAGTGGCAGAATCAGAAAATTAACGGGCAACTTGAATGTATAAAGCCCTACACCTAATCTCTTCAAGTGGAGCAGGTTAATCCATCCTTTTCCTAGCATTCTGCCATCATCCATTCTTTCCAAGCATTTCTTTCCTTTCATTTGATTCATGTTCTAATTCATATATCAATTTGTACTTTCAGTCTCTTTCTCTGGCTTTTCTCATCATCATCATTTTCAGAAGATGAGATATGGAATCAGATGACAGCTGGTAAGGGAAGGATCAGGAAGGGGAGCAAAAGGAATGATTTTTCTAAGATACAAAGTCAGAAGCTCAACAAAACACTGGTAGTGAAAGTATTACTAGCTGATGTGTGGGGTGATAGAGGGTGAGAAGAGGGGTATAAAATCCATCAATTTATCTCCCCCTTTACTGCCGCTCCCTTATCAGGTCCCCATCCCTCTCCATTGGAGAATAGCACCAGCCTCCCGCTCAGAATGTCAAAGCCACTGGGAATAAACTTCTCTCCCTTTCATTTAGCTCATTATCTCCAGGGACTAGAATAATATGGGCATCTAGTAAGCACTCATTAAATAATTAGTGAAGGCAGGAAAAAAGGAAGGAGGGAAGGAAGAAAGAAGGAGGGAAGGAAAGGAGGAAGGAAGGAAAAAAGGAAGGAAATTAAGGAAAGGAAAGGAGAGGAGAGGAGAGGAGAAAAGGGAGGATGGGAGGGAGGGAGGAAAGAAGGAAGGAAGGAAGGAAGCAAGGAAGAAAGGAAGGAAGGAAGGCAGGCAGGCAGGCAGGCTAGTTTCACCTTTGTCTTTCCTTCAATCCATTCCCTTTTTATTAATGCTCAAATTCAATCCTACAGTCAGAAAGATATGCTTGATCTTGCCCACTGCCTATATCTTCCATTCTGCTTTCACTCACTCTTCTCTCATCACTATGTTCTAACCAAACTGCCTCTTTTTAGTTCCTAGGACTTGCTGAGATGATCACTGTCTTAGAGCGTTTATTTTGCTGTTGTGTTTGGAATGCTCTCACTAACTTCTTGTCCTTGAAGTTGCATCTTAAACATTACCATTTAAGATAGGCCTTACTTGATCCCTACCCCATTGTTCTTTATGAGAGCTAGCTGTTTGTTTCCTTTGTTGGATGTTCTCATTTTATAATCAGGTATATATGGATTTGTTTACCTACTTATTAGTCTGTGGGCCTCCATTCCGTCACTCACTGATACTGAGCTCCATGAGGGGCAGGTGTCAGGTCTATTGCATTCACCTCTGTAAACCCAATGTCCAGTACTGCACCTGGTACAGATTACATGCTCAATCCATAAAAGCTGAATACATGAAAGAGTTACCTGACATACAAATTGCTTGTCTGGACTAATGTACCTTATCATTTCCTTTAACTTTTAACCTGAACCCTTCTGGAAATGTGGAAGACATACTCAAGAGGCAGGGCTTGGAATTCCTGAGGAGCACCACTGTCCGAACACCTCTGGCAAGAGTGATGGTTCAGCAAGGCGTAGTCTAACTCTGGTGTGGTGTTTCTCTCGCTGTGGAGGAAATTTCCAGTGACATGATTCAATCCCCAAAACAGGGCACTTTGAAGACCAAATACACATTGTTCTGAGAGAATGTGAGAAACCACTAAATCCTCAAATAAGGCACCACACGAGTATTCCAACAGGGAAATAATGACGATAAGAAATATTATCACGCTTTGGTTCACTCACCAATGTTTTGTCTCTTAAGGACATAACAATAAAAACAATAAGAATGACTAATTTTTCAAGTGCATTTACAATGTGCCATTCATTCTGCTAAACTGTTTACATGCATTATCTCATTTAATGCTCATAACAATCCTATAAAGTTGGAGTTACAATTATATTCACTTTACAGGCAAAGAAAAATGGTGCCAGATTGTTTGATAAGTTGCCCATAAAACACTCAGCTGTTAAGTTGCAAGGCTAATATTTGAATGCAAGTCTGATGATGCCAGTACTGATGGCCCTGTGCCTTCAGTCTAGCGTCCTGGAGTCTGAAACGGGAGATGGAAGACAGTAGCTTGAATACAGAGGGTGAAAGATTTTCCTCCCAACACAGGACTCATGTTGATCTTGACAGCAGGAACATAACTACTTGAGTGGTACACAGTGAACGTGGAGAGGGTGTGGTGGTCCCTCCCCAGAACAGGACAGGCTTTCTACTAAAGGATTGGGAGTAGCAAGAGTTGGGGAAGCAAGGGAAGCACAATCGAATGGCTAACAGTGCGATCTCTGAGCAAAAGGTCTCTTCTGTTATTTGGGGAAGCTCTCAGTCTAGCGATTCTGACCCAGGTCCTCCTGCTCAGACTCTGCATCCTTTTTCAGATGTCCCCTCTTTGTTCAGCTGTCCCTCTTTTCCCAATCTAGGGATGCCTCTATAAAGGGCCTGCTGGACAGCTGAGTGGTTTCCAAAGAAGACCAGAAATCAGTTCCACCACAGAAAAGATCAGAGATTCCTTAAAATTGACCCAATCATGAAAGCAAGAGATTCTAGCCCCTAGCCTAAATTATTTTTTTAATCTTTTTTACTATTTTTTACCAAGACAATGGTAATAATGATGAAATTAACATATTCTCTTTGTATGTGACTTAATTAAAAAGAAGAAAATTGAAAGTGATCTCCCCACACATATACACAATTCCACTCTTCAGAACCAACCACGTTACCAGTTTGGGGCATATCTTTTTTATAACCATTGTTTTCCCCGTAACATCCATGAGAGAGGAGCTATAAATCCCCTCTTTTCAACTGAAGGAACAGAGTCCTTGAGAAGAAATGCTATTCTCTAAAAGGGGCTCAGTGCTGCAGAGTGGGGGAAAGACTTCACATCCACATCCCAGGGATACACTGGAGAGAAGGTTGGGCTCAACACAGCTATGCCACACAGATCAATTTTTATCTTCCATTCGTTTTTGAACAGGCGCTATATTCACATGCCTAAAACTCAGCATTGTGTAAAAAGGTTAATATTGAGAAGTGTCATTGCAACTTCTGACCTCATTCACTTTATTCCCAGTAGAGACAGCTACTTTTATTCATTTTTAATATATCTTGCCAGAATTCCTTTATGTAATTAAAAATGAATATGAATATGTGTTCCTACTTTTCTGCTCCAGGTCTATTTTGAAGGAAACTAGTACTCATAGTTATCCCTGCTGACTCTTGACAAGGCACAAAGGTGTCACCTTAACCAAACAAGTTCTCGAATTGTCTCTAATTCCTTTTGTTCTTTTACCATTGGGACTACGGTGTCTCTGAACAATTTCATGGGTACCAAACAACATACTTTATGCAAAGGCATCACATAGTAAATACTCCAAAAGCCTCATTCTTTTCAAATTGTTATCACTGATTTGTATTTTAGGCTTTAGTGAGAGGAGCAAAATTTTTTATCTGTTCAGACTCCCATCACTGCTCCCCACAACACCCACACTTCCCAATAACAGAGAAAATAACCCCACAACTTAGGGAAACAGTATGTTTCCCTATTTTAAAAACACATTTTAATACAAAGGTCCAGGGACCTGAATAATACACTTCTGTAATTTAATATGAAAATGAGAGAGTTGAGGGTGACATTGTATGTATCCCTATGATATAATTTGATACAATTTTCCCCCATATGTCCAATTTTGTGACAGAGAGGTATTGTGTGCTAGTATTGTCTCAAAACTCAATGTCTAGAGAGAACATAATTTTTTAACTTGAATCTCCAGTATCTACAATACCAGGGTGGTTACAGTCCTTTGCCTCTGAAGGGGGTAAATGAGCAGAATTTATAAATAATTCTACTCTATACAGCGTAGCTTCTATAACTTCTATAACCACAAGGAAACCAAGAAATGATGTCAGTCTATTAATGGTACTCTGTTTAGAGCCATATTTCTAAAAGAATTTCAGTGTTAGCAGAAAGTAAATATTTCCAGGTCCATCTGTTTTAAATCTAATGTTTTTCATCAGAGATATCAATGTCATCCTACAATTCAAGAATAAGCATTTATAAATATTGGTCCAAAGATTAGATACGGCAAGAGCATTGCTAAGGGACTTCACACGAGCTGGCACTATAATTGGGCCTGTTGTACACCTAAACATTATCCAATTTAATCAACCAAAGTCCTCATACAAATTGGAAATCTGAGGGTAAGAAAGATTTGCCAAGAAGAAAACCCAGAATTAAGCCCAGAATGTTCTAGCTCTAAAGCTCATGCTCTTTTCATCCATTTAATGTCAAAATTTCCCAACAATGAATTAGCGAAATTAATATATTCTCTTTGTATGTGACTTAATTAAAAAGAAGACAAAAATTGAAAGTGATCTCCCTACACATACGCACAATTCCACTCTTCAGAAGCAACCACGTTAACAGCTTGAGGCATATCCTTTTTATAACTATTGTTTTCTCCCACTACATCCAGGAGAGAGGAGCTATAAATCCCCTCTTTTCAACTGGAGGAAAAGAGTCCTCATTCCAGGTTTTCCTAGGAACATCCTCTCTGTCCTTTTACAAGAGAAGCAAACTCACCTTTCCAAAGAGGAGACTCTCCAGAAGTCTGAACAAGAAGAGATGCTAAAGGAAGTTAACCTGTGACTTCAGAATGTTGCTTTTCACCACATGACTTCTGACTCTCTTCAAACCTGTGACACAGAACCCCTGAAAGAATAGTTCACTCTTCTCATGGAGGAACGGTGGTGATTTTTGAAACCAAAGATGACATCAATGACCTGTTGTTAATAAGATGCATACTTCGAGTTGTTTTTCCAGGAATGGTCAAGATTCGCCGAGTGCCCCTATAGTGAACTGTACACCCCTCCAGTGTGTCTGATTAGAAAGAAGGGCACAGTGGATGACCACAGAAACCTTTTTCTGTACAATAATATTTGCTACTGCCTATTTAAATCCTTTTTAAATAAAACCAGTTATTTAAAATCAGTTACTGATTTTTATACCACATACTTTTTTTAAAAGTTATTATTTTCACTTTAAATCTCAAAATAGTTCCATGAGGTAGATAGATATTATCATCCTGACTTTACAGTTGATGAAAATGAGACAGAGAATTTATATAACTTGCCCCAAACCATACAGCTATTACGTGGCAGAACTGGGATTCAAGCCTCTATCTTTTTTCACTATATGATGCCACTACACAATTTGTGGAGATATAGTCAAAGGGCTTTTTAGTAATACTTTCTATTTGTCAAATCAGATATACTAAAAAGATTTACACTTCCATACAACACGAGTTTGGGCATTTTTATTTTAATATAATGATGCATGTGGAAACCACGTCTTAGTAAACAAATATCCAGAGAAAGACTTCAGGATGGACTAGACTCAAAAACATGAGGCTTTGAACAGAGCTTTCAATAGGCATGGTGACAGTTGTTATGGAAACCATGGCTACACGAAAGCAACCAATGGCACCTCCTATCATAGTCAGTAACAGGGACTTCCTAATGAGGGTAGTAGATTGTGTCTGCCCATTGACCACTTGAGAGGTTTCTATTCAAGACTTATACTGCCTCCTCCATCCCATCCCTACCTCAGACTCTCTTTGGGGTCTTGAATACAACTAAAATAATCCATCAACCCATATCTGAAAGCAACAAGAAACTTACTACATGTACATAAACAGGATGGAGTTATAATAGGGATATAGGGATATTTTAAGTTGAGGCTACCAAGGCATTGCTGCCGTTCCACTGACTCTACTGACGACACCATGCCATCCTATTTTTGCCACTCTTACACAGCCAACAGAGGCCTTTTTCCATCCCTTCTCTTAAGGGCGCTGCCAGAAAAGGAATCAGAGGTTGGGTTTCTAAGGACTGGGAATCTACAGATCAGAGTTCCTTACAGAACACATTCTTTTTTTAAAAAAAAAGACCAATTCTATATTTCCTACAGAAATAAGTGCCTCCATTCAAAATAATTATTCTTTCTCAGTCTTGGCCACTCACTTTGAATCTCACTGACTGGACCATCCTCATGTTGGGACCTCTAAACTTTGAAGCACCCCAGAGCTCAGTTCTTAAATCTCTTGTGTTCACTATCCATGCCTACCTCCTCCAGGCCTGTGATTTTAATACAATCTCTATATTGATGACCCTCAAATTTATACTCCAGTCCAAATGTATACCTCTGTTCTTGACTTCTCCAACTCACCCCATAATTTTTACATATAAATGCATATTGGTATATAAATTTAACACAGTTGAAATCCAACTTTTTATTCCTCCCAACCTCCTCTGCTCATATCTGCTCTTACCCCAGTATCCCGAACTCTGTAAATAACAATTCTATCCTTCCAACTGCTCAGGCCAAAATCTTTGGCATCATTCTCGACTCTTCTTTTTCATTAACTTTTATTTTAGGTTCAGGAATGAAAGTATAGGATTGTTACATAGATAAACTTGTGTCATGCTGGTTTTTTGTACAGATTATTTGATCACCCAGGTGTTTAGCCTAGTACCCATTCATTATTTTTCCTGATCCTCTCCCTCCTCCCACCCTCCACCCTCCGAAAGGCTGCAATGAGTGTTGTTTACCTCTATGTTTCTATGTGTTCTCATCATTTAACTCCCACTTATAAGTGAGAACTTGTGGTATTTGGTTTTCTGTTCCTGTGTTAGCTTGCTAAGGGTAATAGCCTCCAGTTCCATCTACATCCCTGCAAAGGACATACAGATGCCAGCAAATCCTGCCATATCTACTTGGAAAACATACCCTGAATCAAAATACTTATCACTACTTCTACCATTACCACCCTCATCAAAATTACCATCATCCTTTACCTGGACTGTTGCAATAACTTCCCAACTGGTCTCCCAGATTCCACACTTGCCCTTTATAGTCTATTATCCACAGGGCATTCAGACAGTTCATTGAAACATCCAATGTTGTCACTCCTCTGCTCAAAATATCCAATGGCTTCCCATCTCACGAAGAGTGATCTACATGGTTTGGCCATAGCTATTTCTCTGACTTATCAATATCATCATAAATGCCCTTGCTTACAGCATACCAACAGCCCTGGTCTCCTTGCTGTTCCCTGCGCACATTCAGCCCCCTCCCTTTAAGGGTCTTTCCACTTTCTGTCTCTTGCCAGGAGTGCTCTTTGCCCTAGACATCCATAAGGCATGTTTCTCACTCTCCTTTAATTTAGGTCACTATTTAAATGAAATCTTATTAGGTAGGCAATTCATGACCACTGTATTTAATATTGTACCTAATACACATCACACACACACACATGCACAGGCACACACACATGCATCTTTCTCTTCTATAATTTTATCCTCCTTTATTTTCCTTCATCATATTGTGCTGGATCTGACATCTTGAACTTTTGTTTTTTATCTGCTCTCTCAGCTATTAATAGAATATAAACTCCATGAAAAAAAAGAATTTTTCTCATGTTGCTGTTTTCTGTACAAAAAGTGCCTAGAGAGTATTAGGCACACAGTACGTGCTCAATGGATATTTGTGAAAACATTGAATGGATGAGTGAATGAAAGAAAGTGGCCCAGACTCACCTCCACCAACACTCCATTATCTTTTCTGCCAAAGGATGGTTACTATTCCAGCTGCTGACTGGAAGATGGTGGTGAAACTGCTTATTAGATAAATTTCAGACAGTATCTGAAGGTGTGGAAGGGTGAAGTAGGATGTGGTGGAGTCAAGGGTTAATATTGCCAGAATAATATTGTATGTCTTAAAAGTGAGAGAGAGGCCAGGAGCGGTGGCTCACAACTGTAATCCCAGCACTTCGGGAGGCCGAGGCAGGCAGATCACGAGGTCAGGAGATGGAGACCATCCTGGCTAACATGGTGAAACCCCGTCTCTACTAAAAATACAAAAAATTAGCCAGGTGCGGTGGCGGTCGCCTGTAGTCCCAGCTACTCTGGAGGTTGAGGCAGGAGAATGGCATAAACCCTAGAGGCGGAGCTTGCAGTGAGCCAAGATCAATCCACTGCACTCCAGCCCGGGCGACAGAGCGAGACTCTGTCTCAAAAAAAGAAAAAAAAAAGTGAGAGAGATTAAATATACATCAGATTAAGGCATGGGGTGTGTGTCTGTCTATTTCAGACATCTTTTATAAGTGCACTGTATTAGTCCATTCTCATGCTGCTGATAAAGACATAACCATAACTGGGTAATTTATAAAGGAAAGAGTTTTAATTGACTCATAGTTCAGCATGGTTAGGGAGGCCTCAGGAAACTTACGATCATGGCTGAAGGGGAAACAAACACATCCTTCTTCACATGGCAGCAGCAAGGAGAAGTGCTGAGCAAAAGGAGGAAAAGCCCCTTATAAAACCATCAGATCTCATGAGAACTCATTCACTATCACGAGAGCAGCATGAGGGTAACCAACCCCATGATTCAATTACCTCCCACCATGTCCCTCTTATGACATGTGAGGATAATGGGGACTACAATTCAAGATGAGATTTGGGTGGGGACACAGCCAAACCATATCAGGGCACTAATCCAATTAATAAGGGCTCTATCCTCAAGACCTAGTCACCTGCCGAAGCCCCACTTTCCAGTGCTATCACTATATGTGATTCGGTTTCAACTTATGAACTTTGAGTGAAGACAAATATTTAGACCACAGCATTCTACCCCGGCTCCCCAAAATTCATGTCCTTTTCAAATACAAAATATATTTATTTCATCATAATAGCTCCAAAAGTCTTAACACATTTCAGCATCAACTTCAAGGTCTAAGTGCAAAGTCTCATCTAAATATCATCTAAATTAAATATGAGTAAGACCTAAGGTACAATTCATCCTGAGGCAAATTGCTCTCTAGCTGTGAACCTGTTAAATCAAATAAGCTATGTGCTTCCAAAATACAATGGTAGGATAGGCATAGGATAGACATTCCCATTCCAAAAGGGAGAAATAGAAAAGAAGAAAGTGGAACAGGTGCCAAGGAAGCTCAAAACCAATAGGGCAAACATTATTAAATCTTAAAACTCAAAAATAATCTTCTTCGACTTGATGTCCCACCTTCTGGACACACTGGAGTAGAAGGTTGGCCCCGAAGGCTCTGGCTAGCCCCATCCCATGGCTTTGCTGGGCCCAACGCTCACCACAGTTCTTATAGGTTGAAGTTGCATACCCAAAGCTCCTCCAGGCTAGAAACATGTGCTGCTTGCTCTACAAATCTAGGGTAGCTGTGTTGGCCCAAACCCTACAGCACCACTAGGCATTACCTTAGTGGTAACTCTCTGCAGTTGCCTAGCCTTTGTGGCTGCTCTCTGCTTGGATCATGTGCACAAGGCTCCAGGCAGCAACATCCTTCAAAATCTAGCTAGAAGTGCTATGGCTCCATGGCTCATGCACTTTGTATGTGGACAGAGATGGCACCTTGTGGACCCTACCAAGGCTTACCACCCATGTCCTCCAGAAGGGTGGCCACTATTGTCCACACCACACCTGGGCCCACTGAACCCACACTTAGGTGGCCAAGGAGCACTGCATCAGAATACCAGGGAATGGTGCCTTGAAATTATTCTGCTCCCAGGTCCTCACACTCTTGGCCTCTGTTGGGAGGGGCAGTCACGATGATCTTCAAAATGCCTTTCGGGGTCATTCTTGCATTGTCTTAATAAATAACATCTGGCTTCTGTTGAGATGACCAATCCATGCTAATCTCCTTTTCAAATGATTGCAGAACCACACACTTGTTCTTTCCCCCAAAAAAAGTCTTTCTCTTTTTTTTCCCAATATGGACAGGCTGAGAAGTTTCCAGATTATTAAGTTTTGTTTCCCTTTGATTAACAATTCCATCTTTAAGTCATTTTTGTCTTTTTTCGTTTTACTATATGCAGTTATGAGAAGCTAAACCATACCTTAAACACTTTAGAAATTTCCTCAGCCAAATATCCAATTTCATCACTCACAAGTTCCACCTTCCACAAAACACTAGAACAGGAACACAATTCAGCCAAGTTCTTTGTGACTTTATAACAAGGTTGCCCTTTCCTCCAGTTTCCAATAACATGTTCCTCATTACCATGTAAAACTTCATCAGAATGGCCTTTATCATCACTATTCCTATCAACAGTCTGTTCAAGATTGGTGAGGTATTTTCTGAGAAAATTGAGGCTTTCTCTATAGCTCTCCTCTTTTATTTTTGGGTCCTCAGTAGAATTGTCCTTAACTGTTCATGGCAATGTAGGCTTTTCCTGGCATGTACCTCAAAAGTCTTCCAGCCTCTACCCATTTCCTGGTTCCAAAACAGCTTCTACATGTTAGTTCTTTGTTATAGCAACACCCAACTCCTGGTACTAATTTTCTGTCTTAATCTATTCAGACTGCTAAAACAAAATGTCATAAGCTGGTAGCTTATAAAAACCAAAACTACATATATTTCTCATAGTTCTGGAGACTGTGAAGTCCAAGATCCAGGCACCAGCAGATTCAGCATCTGGTGAAGTATTATTTCCTGGCTCATAGATGAGCCTTCTTGCTGTGTCCTCATATGGTGGAAAGGGTGAGGAAGTTCTCTCAGACCTCTTTTATAAGGGCACTAATGCCATTCATGAGGGTTCTACTGTCATGACTTACTCAGCTATTAAATGTCCCACCTCCTAATATCATCACATTGGTGATCAGGTTTCAACATATAGATTTGATGGATATGAGGTAGATAAAAATATTCAGACCATAGCACATATATGTGTATAATATATAACTCTTGGTTATATTGTAACATGGAGGCATAGAGCTGTGCTATCTCCTAGGAAGTGCTAAGAGGACATAGATCTCAGACAGCTTAGACATGTGGTAGTAGGCACTGGGTACACAGGTGCACTTACTAAAGCAGAGGATTTTATATATAAGCCACAATGTTATTAAGAAAAAATATGCCTCTGAGCACCATAGTAAAGGAAATCAAAATATTTCATCCCAAAATATACTTCTTTGACATATTTTGAGATGGTTGTACAGAGGGCCCACAGACAGAAGTAGTCCTACAAAGCTCTTTTGTAGGGGAGATTTGTGTCTGTAAACAATTTGAATTGATGCATCCAGGTTTTCTCTGAGGCCCTCCTTTGTCTGGATCTATGGAAGATTAACTAAAGATTAACTAAGGATCTGACACTTTTAAAGGCCTGAAGAGACATTTGTTATCTATATCTCAGAGGGCTGCTATTTCTGAGGTTTCATCTACATCAGGACCACCTGTGCTAGTCAGGCCTCCTATTATCTCCCTCCCATAACCTGTCTTGCCACCGTATCATGATTTACCACCATGATCTGTTTTTGGCCATGCTCTGAGCCTCCATTCTTTCAGTAATCTCATGATGGTATAAAATCATCAACCATTTGGCAGCTTGTTTTGAAATATTATTTTGTAAGAGTCCCATGCACACTAATACATTTGTAGGCCATTTCTCTTTTTAATCTGCCTTTTGTCAGTTAATTTCTCGGTGAACCTTCAGAAGTTTTTCCCTTGGGCCCTATGATAGTACCCAACAAATATGCAGACCTTTAAACTTAAGAATGTGAGAATAGGAGATATACAGAAATCTAGGTGTATGGGCATATCATTAACCCTGGAGAAGATAGCCTGAAGATGGAAGGGCCCATCTACTCTTCTGGAAGGAAGTGACCCAACCCTGGAAATACAGCAATACTAGATATGTTGTAGAGAAAAGGCTTAAGCACCAGAAGTGGGACACAGAGTGGGTCTGTGTCTCAGAAGCAAAACAAAGGCCCAGTTTGTGAACTTGAAGCACTAGGTCAGGAGCAACCTGGGAACCACTGGAAAATTTATCTCATAGTGTGGATATATAAGTCATAAGTTCTATTATTTTAAGTCAGAATTGATCCTAGATACCATCTTGGGGCTGTTTTAGGGTCCCATGGCCATAGCTAAGGAAAGGAGAATTGCAGAGACTGGAATCTAGGCTATGCCAAATACTTCAGAGTGCTACAGTTACACAATTAAGCAACTTAAATATTTAAACAATTTTATTGGATAAAAATTATGTATAGAAACTGAACATTGAGGATACATCAATAATGTATCAAGTTAAATTTCTGTGTATGTGGCAGGGAAGACTAGAATTTAAGAAGGAAAAAACATCTCCTTATTCAAGATGCTAAAAATACCAGCTTTGTGTGCCATGTTGAACATTACTGTTGAATACAGCCAAGTAATTAAATATATCAAATCTAGCTTACATTTTCCAAGCAAATATAGCAATGCTAAAAAAGTTTAAAGAAGTTATGCCTCTGTTTAGCATACCCTCCCTAAAAAATACTTTGTTAGTTTTTAAATAACCATAAACAGATAAATTCAAAAGGTAAGATTTCCAGAAAATAGGTAATTCTTATTATTTTGGCATAATTGGTTTGAAGAGGGTTTTTTTTTATCATGGCATGATTTTTCCTACCTATTCTCTTAAATCAAATAACTTGCTTTACATTGCCTCCAGGGAAGAATGTGGCAGGCAGAAAGCAAGAATAGCTTCAGAGACTCTGCATTCTGTGTTCCCAAAACCCAGGACTTTAGGGAAATTTAAAGTACTCACTTATAGACAAGACCCCAATACCCACTCCTACCTTATATAAAAAAGTATTTCTCCAAGACTAAGGAGGAGATAAAGGAAAAGGGTAGAGAAAGACAGAGAGAGAGAGAGAGAGAGAGAGGGGGTGAAAGCCAAGAAATTAATGTGTTCCTGGAAGAGGAGCCTGCACATCCTCTCCAGCAAAGGCCTACAAAGATTAACAAATCCCAGAAAGAGAGGAAATGGCTACAATGTGCTAGGTATAGAGGTTAATGGAGCCAAACACACTGGCAAAAACTCCTGGTTATCCAGGATAGCTCAGATGCAGCCAAGACAACTCCCAGGATGGAGGGGCCATAGAGACAAAAGATGTCTCAGTAGCCACCTGCACAGACCGGCTGCAGGTCAGAGAGGCTCCTGCCAGCCCATGTCTTAGCATTACATGAGGTGCCCTGACCCCTGATAAAACCCTAGAGCAGGAGAAATGCCTCCAAATTTACTAATATTACATTTTTACCACCCCATACCTCTGCACTGAGCCAAGATAGAGTAACAAGGACCAAATTTACCCTCCTTCCTGAAAGGACAACAATAAAAACAAAACAGGTTATATAAACCAATGATTCTAAAGACATTGAACATCAACTAATGAGAGACAATGGTCCTTGAGAAATGGGGAACAAAGGAGATAAGCTCTATGGTTATCCCAGATTACTGCCTTGAGAGCAGGCTCCAGACCGCAGCTCAGGGAGGAGGAACTCAGGCAGAGCCCAGCAGACTATCTGAATTGAGACAAACCTGCAGAGACCAAGGCTACTAGAGTTTGTCAACCTAGAATTTTATATCCAGCAAAAATATCCTTCAAAAATGAGGGTTGGAGTTAGAGGAAAATGACAGACAGGAGACAGGATTAAATTGCACTTCCCACTCAGACAAACAGAGCAGCATGTGGAGACTCACATCATGAACTTTTACTCCAAGAACTACTGAAGGAACATACCAGGAAATCCGAGAGAATCCACAGACCCTTTGAAAGAAGTGGATTGTTCCTGCAGGCCCCAGGAGACTGTGAGTGCCCAAAGTCTGAAGGAGGGATCATCTACCCACAAACACACACCCTCACTGGGTAACCTGAAGGTCCAGATCACGGGTGAAGGTTTTGACCTCACCTGGAGCTGAGACAACATTAGAGAACTGAGCAAAATACAGGGGTACAAGAATCAGTGGGAAGAGCTCTGTGGTCTCTCTCAGTCCCCAGAAAAGCCATTTCCAACTTTGTATCACAGAGGTCTTTGGTGATAGCTGCCAGAGGAACGGGGAAAAGACCACAGGGAGAAGGAAACTTCCAGCTGAACTCTGTAACAATTTCAACCAAACAAATGTTTCCTGGACAGAACGCGGGGGAAGGGGTGAATCCGGAGTGCAGACACAGCACAGAAACCATGCCAGTGGAGAGGCACAAAAACTGAAAGCCCTGCTTGCTTTCACACCCAGGAATCTGGTAGTCTGGGGCAAGTTCCCAACCCTGCTCACCCGCTGCCTGGAAACAAACAGTACTGCTGGGTGAGGGCTTGTGGGGCACAGTGAGGGCGAGAGTGGTCTTTTGGGCTGCATGAGAGTTGGGTGAGGCTTGTAACTGCTGGCTTTCCCCCACTTCCCTGGCAACCTGCATGAAAGAGCAGAAGCAGCCATAATCCCCCTGGGAACATAACTTCATTGGCCTGAGAACCACACCCCCAGCCCCTTGCAGCAGCTGCAGCAAGCCCCACCCAAGGAAAGTCTGAGCTCAGACACACCTAACCCTGCCTTCACCTGATGGTCCTTTTCTACCCACCCTGGTAGCCAAAGACAAAGGACATATTTTCTTGAAAGCTCTAGGGCCCCCAACCACTTCCTGATTCTCCCTATACTACCATAGCTGATGCTGTCTTAAAAATGAGAACTCCTTGCAGGAGGCCAACCAGCACAAAACTAGTGCAATAAACAAAACTACAACTAAGTATCTTCACTTAGTGAATGGACTTCAGAGTCCATTTCACTTCCCTGCCATCTCCACTGGAGCATGTGCTGCTATCCAAGGCTGAGAGACCTGCAGACAATTTACATTACAGGACTCTGTGCAGACACCCCCCAGCACCAGCCAGGAGCCTGGTATCTCTACTGGGTAGCTAGATCCAGAAAAGAAATAACAATCACTAAAGTTCAGCTCTCAGGAAGCCACATCCCTAGGAAAAAGGGGAGAGCATTACATCAAGGGAGCACCCTGTGGAACAAAAGAATCTGAACAGCAGACCCTGAGCCCAGGATATTCCCTCTGACATAGTCTACCCAAATGAGAAGGAACCAGAAAAGCAATTCTGGTAATATGACAAAACAAGGTTCTTTAACACCCCCAAAAGATCACATTAGCTCACCAGCAACAGATCCAAACCAAGAAGAAATCATTGACTTGCCAGAAAAAGAATTCAGAACATCAATTATTCAGCTAATCAAAGGTGCACCAGAGAAAGGTGGAATGCAACTTGATGAAATTGTTTAAAAAGATAGAAGATATGAAGGGGAAAATCTTCAGTGAAATACATAACATAAATAAAAAACAATCACAACTTCCAGAAATGAAAGACACACTTAGAGAAATGCAAAATGCCCTGGAAATTCTCAGCAATAAAATTGAACAAGCAGAAGAAAGAACTGCAGACCTTGAAGACAAGGTTTATGAATTAACCCAATCCCAAAAAGACAAAGAAAAAAGAATTTTTAAAAAATGAACAAAGTCTCCAAGAAGTTTGGGATTATGTTCAATGACCAAACCTAGGAATAACTGGTGTTCCTGAGGAAGAAGAGAAATCTAAACACTCAAAAAACATACAATGGAATAATCCAGGAAAACTTCCCTTGCCTTGCTAGAGATCTAGACATCCAACTACAAGAAGCTTAAAGAACACCTGGGGAAATTTATTGGAAAAAGATAATCTCCTAGGTACATAGTCATTAGGTTATCTAAAGTCAAGAGAAAGAAAAGAATCTTAGGAGTTGTGATGCAAAAGCACCAGGTAACCTATAAAAGAAAACCCAGCAGAAAGGCTACGAGGTAGAAGAGATTAGGGACCTATATTCAGCCTTCTAAAACAAAACGGTTATTAGCCAAGAATTTTGTATCCAGCAAAACTAAGCTTAGTAAATGAAGGAAATATACAGTTTTTTCAAACAAATGCTGAGAGAATTTGCCACTACCAAGGCAGCACTACAAGAACTGCTAAAAGGAGCTCTAAATCCTGAAACAAATCTTCAAAATACACCAAAATAGAACTTCTTTGAAACATAAATCTCATAGGACCTATGAAACTAAAACAAAATAAATTTTTAAAAGGTATTCAGGCAACAAATAGCACAATGAAGAAGTAGTACCTCACATCTCAATACTAACTTTGAATGTAAATGGCCTAAATGCTCCACTTACAAGATACAGAATAGCAAAATGGATAAGAATTCACCAAGAAAGTATCTTCTGTCTTCAAG
Organism: Homo sapiens; assembly: GCF_000001405.40. Taxonomy (NCBI): domain Eukaryota; kingdom Metazoa; phylum Chordata; class Mammalia; order Primates; family Hominidae; genus Homo; species Homo sapiens. The sequence goes on from NC_000008.11 coordinate 33,301,439, forward strand.
AGACTCACCTAACACATAGGACTCACATAAACTTAAGGTAAAAGGGTGGAAAAAGATATTCCCTGCAAATGGACACCAAAAGCGAGTAGGAGTAGCTTTTCTTATATCAGACAAAACAAACTTAAAAGCAACAGCAGTCCAAAAAGACAAAGAGGGACGTTTTATAATGATAAAAGGACATGTCCAACAGGAAAATATCACAATCCTAAATATATATGCACCTAACACTGGAGCTCCAAAATTCATAAAACAATCACTACTAAGAAATGAGATAGATGGCAACACAATAATAATGGGAGACTTCAATATTCCACTGAAAACACTATACAGGTCATCAAGACAGAAAGTCGATGAAGAAACAATGGATTTAAACTATATACTAGAATAAATAAACTTAACAGATATTTATAGAACATTCTACCCAAGAACTGCAGAGTACACATTCATTCACTGGCACATGGAACTTCTCCAAGACAGACCATATGATAGGTCACAAAACAAGTTTCAATAAATTTAAGAAAATTGAAATGATATCAAGTACTCTCTCAGACCACAGTAGAATAAAATTGGAAATCAACTCCAAAAGGAACCCTCAAAACCATGCAAATACATGGAAACTAAATAACCTTCGCCTGAATGATCATTGGAGGAACGATGAAATCAAGATGGAAATTTAAAAATTCTTTGAACTGAACAATAATACTGACACAACCTATCGAACCCTCTGGGATAGAGCAAAAGTGGTGCTAAGAGGAAAGTTCATAGCCTTAAATGCCTGCATCAGAAAGTCTGAAAGGGCACAAAGAGATAATCTAAGGTGACACCTCAAGGAACTAGAGAAATAAGAACCAATCAAACCCGAACCCAACAGAAGAAAAAAAATCAGAGCAGAACTAAATGAAATTGAAACAAAAAAATACAAAAGTAAATAAAACAAAAAGCTGGTTCTTTGAAAACATAAATAAAATTGATAGACCATTAACAAGATTAACCAAGAAAAGAAGAGAGAAGATCCAAATAAGCTCAATTAGAAATGAAATGGGATATATTACAACCGATACCACAGAAATAAAAATATCATTCAAGGTTACTATGAACACCTTTATGCACATAAACTAGAAAACCTAGAGGAAATGGATACATTTTTGGAAACATACAACCCTCCTAGATTAAACCAGGAAGAAATAGAAACTCTGAACAGACCAATAACAAGCAGCAAGATTGACATGGTAATAAAAAAAAAAGTTGCCAACCAAAAAAATGTCCAGGACCAGGCAGATTTACAGCTGAATTCTACCAGACATTCAAAGACGAATGGGTACCAATTCTATTGACACTATTCCACAAGTTAGAGAGAGAGGGAATCCTCCCTAAATCATTCTATGAAGCCAGTAGCAGCCAAATACAAAAACCAGGAAAGGACGTAAAAAAAAGAAAACTATGAACCAATATCCCTGATGAACGTAGATGTAAAAATCCTTGATAAAATACTAGCTAACCAAATTCAACATATCAGAAAGATAATCCACCATGATCAAGTGGGTTTTATACGGGGGATACAGGGATGGTTTAACATATGCAAGTCAATAAACATGATACATCACATAAACAGAGTTAAAAACAAAAATCACATAATCATCTCAATAGATGCAGAAAAAGCATTTGACAAAATCCAGCATCCCTTTAGGATTAAAACCCTCAGCAAAATCAGCATAGAAAGGATATACCTTAAGGTAATAAAAGCCATATATGCTTTTCCTGCATCTACATTCATCAGGGTTATTGGTCTGTAGTTTTCTTTTTTTGCTATGTCCTTTCTTGGTTTTGGTATTAGGCTGATATTGGCTTCAAAGAATGATTTAGGGAGGATTCCCTCTCTCTCTCTCGTGGAATAGTGTCAAGTCAATAGAAGTGGTACCCACTCGTCTTGAATGTCTGATAGAATTCAGCTGTGAACCTGTCTGGTCCTGGACATTTTTTGGTTGGCAATTTTTTTTATTACCATGTCAATCTCTCTGCTTGTTATTGGTTTGTTCAGAGTTTCTATTTCTTCCTGGTTTAATCTAGGCAAATCAAAATCACAATGAGATACCGTCTCATGCCAGTCAGAATGGCAGTTATCAAAAAGTCAGGAAACAATAGATGCTGGCAAGGCTGTGGAGAAATAGGAATGCTTTTATGCTGTCGGTAGGAATGTAAATTAGTTCAACCATTGTGAAAGACAGTGTGGCGATTCCTCAAGGATCTAGAACCAGAAATACCATTTGACCTGGCAATCCCATTACTGAATATATACCCAAAAGAATATAAATCATTCTACAATAAAGATACATGCACACATGTATTTATTGCAACACTGTTTACAATAGCAAAGAAATGGAACCAACCCAAGTGCCTATCAATGATAGACTGGATAAAGAAAATGTGGTACACATACACCATGGAATACTATGCAGCCATAACAAGAAATGAGCTCATGTCTTCTGCAGGGACATGGATAAAGCTGGAAGCCATCATCCCCAGCAAACTAACACAGGAACAGAATATCAAACACCACATGTTGTCACTCATAAGTGGGAGCTTAACATTGAGAACACACAGACGCAGAGAGGGAAACAACACACACCAGAGCCTGTGGGGTGTTTGGGGGTGAGGGGAGGGAACTTAGAGGATGGGTCAGTAGGTGCAGCAAACCACCATGGCACATGTATACCTATGTAACAAACCTGCACGTTCTGCACACGTATCCCATTTTTTTAGAAGAAATAAAGAAAAAACGAAATTGTGGTACATATATGGTGTATATATATGTATACATGTATATATGTATGTGTATATATGCATATGTGTATGTATATATGTGTATATATGTATGTGTACATATATGTATGTATATATACACATATATACACACACATACATACACACATATATACCATGGAATACTACTCAGCCATAAAGAGGAACCAAATGATAACATTCGCAGCAACCTGGATGGGATTGGAGACCATTATTCTAAGTGAAGTAACTCAGGAATGGGAAACCAAACATTGTATGTTCTGACTCATAAGTGGGAACTAAGTTATGAGGATACAAAGGCATGAGAATGATACAATGGACTTTGGGGTCTCAGGAGAAAGGGTGGGAGGGGGGTGAGAAATAAAAGACTACAAATTGGGTACAGTGATATTGCTCGGGTGATGGGTATACCAAAATCTCAGAAATTACCACTAAAGAACTTATTTGTGTAACCAAACACCACCTGTTCCCCCCAAAACTTTGAAAATAAAAAACAAAATAGAATAAAAATGCATATGTAAATAAGTTTAAAAAACAAACAAAAATGAAAGCCAACTGAAAAACACAAGCAACAAAAACAAAAATAGATAAATTGGACTTAATTAAAAAGCTTCTGTATAGCAAAATAAATAACCCACGAAGTGAACAACCTGCAGAATGAGAGAAAATATTTGCAAACTATGCAACCAACAAGGGGCTAATATCCAAAATTTACAAAGAACTCAAGCAACTCAAAAAAAAAATAACCTTATTTAAAAGCGGGTGAAGGAAAAAATAATAACCTTATTTAAAAGTGGGTCATTTTTCAAAGGAAAACATACAAATGGCCACACATGTTTTGAAAATGTTCAACATCAATAATTATCAAAGAAATGCAAATTAAAACCACAATGATATATCATCTTATACCAGTCAGAATAGCTACTATTAAAAAGTCAAAAAGTAACTGATACATTGTTGGTGGGAATGTAAATTAGCACAACCTCTATAGAAAACAGCATGGAAATTTCTCAAAAACCTAAATAGAGAACTAACATTTGATCCAGCAATCCCACTACTGAGTATCTATCCAAAGGAAAAGTCATCATTATATCAAAAAGATATCATACACATATGTTTATCACAGCACTCTTCACAATAGCAAAGATAGGGAATTATCCTAAGCATCCATCAATGGATGACTGCATAAAGAAAATGTGGTAATCAGTCAAGAGAAAGAAATAAAGGTTATTCAATTAGGAAAAGAGGAAGTCAAATTGTCCCTGTTTGCAGATGAAATGATTGTATATTTAGAAAACCCCATCGTCTCAGCCCAAAATCTCCTTAAGCTGATAAGCAACTTCAGCAAAGTCTCAGGATACAAAATCAATGTGCAAAAATCACAACCATTCCTATACACCGATAACAGACAGAGAGCCAAATCATGAGTGAACTCCCATTCACAATTGCTTCAAAGAGAATAAAATACCTAGGAATCCAACTTACAAGGGATGTGAAAGACCTCTTCAAGGAGAACTACAAACCACTGCTCAGTGAAATAAAAGAGGACACAAACAAATGGAAGAATATTCCATGCTCATGGATAGGGAGAATCAATATTGTGAAAATGGCCATACTGCTCAAGGTAATTTATAGATTCAATGACCTCCCCATCAAACTATCAATGAGTTTCTTCACAGAATTGGAAAAAACTACTTTAAAGTTCATATGGAACCAAAAAAGAGCCCACATTGCCAAGACAATCCTAAGCAAAAAGAACAAAGCTGGAGGCATCACGCTACCTGACTTCAAACTATACTACAAGGCTACAGTAACCAAAACAGTGTGGTAGTGGTAGCAAAACAGAGATATAGACCAGTGGAACAGAATAGAGCCCTCGGAAATAATACCACACATCTACAACCATCTGATCTTTGACAAACCTGACAAAAACAAGAAATGGGGAAAGGATTCCCTATTTAATAAATGGTGCTGGGAAAACTGGCTAGCCATATGTGGAAAGCTGAAAATGGATCTCTTCCTTACACCTTATACAAAAATCAATTCAAGATGGATTAATGACTGGAATGTCAGACCTAAAACATAAAAACCCTAGAAGAAAACCTAGGCAATACCATTCAGGACATAGGCATGGACAAGGACTTCATGTCTAAAACACCAAAAGCAATGGCAACAAAAGCCAAAATTGACAAACGGGATCTAACTAAACTAAAGAGCTTCTGCATGGCAAAAGAAACTACCATCAGAGTGAACAGGCAACCTACAGAATGGGAGAAAATTTTTACAATCTACCCATTGACAAAGGGCTAATATCCAGAATCTACAAAGAACTTAAACAAATTTACAAAAAAAACAACCCCGTCAAAAAGTGAGCGAAGGTTATGAACAGACACTTCTCAAAAGAAGACATTTATGCAGCCAACAGACACATGAAAAAATGCTCATCATCACTGGCCGTCAGAGAAATGCAAATCAAAACCACAATGAGATACCATCTCACACCAGTTAGAATGGCAATCATTAAAAAGCCAGGAAACAACAGGTGCTGAAGAGGATGTGGAGAAATAGGAACGCTTTTACACTGTTGGTGGGACTATAAACTAGTTCAACCATTGTGGAAGACAGTGTGGCGATTCCTCAAGGATCTAGAACTAGAAATACCATTTGACCCAGCCATCTCATTACTAGGCATATACCCAAAGGACTGTAAATCATGCTGCTATAAAGACACATGCACATGTATGTTTATTGTGGCACTACTCACAATAGCAAAGACTTGGAACCAACCCAAATGTCCAACAATGATAGACTGGATTAAGAAAATGTGGCACATATACACCATGGAATACTATGCAGCCATAAAAAGGATGAGTTCATGTCCTTTGTAGGGACATGGATGAAGCTGGAAACCATCATTCTGAGCAAACTATAGCAAGGACAGAAAACCAAACACCGCATGTTCTCACTCATAGGTGGGAATTGAACAATAAGAACACATGGACACAGGAAGGGGAATATCACACCCCGGGGCCTGTTGTGGGGTGGGGGGAGGGGGAAGGGATAGCATTAGGAGATATACCTAATGTAAATGACGAGTTAACGGGTGCAGCACACCAACATGGCACATGTATACATATGTAACAAACCTGCACGTTGTGCACATGTACCCTAGAACTTAAAGTAAAATTAAAAATATATATATAATAAAAATAAAAAATAAAAAAAGAAAATGTGGAATAATACACAATGGAATACTATTCAGCCATAAAAGGAAAATAAAATCATGTCTTTTGCAGCAACATGGGTGTGAATTCAGAAACAGAAATTCAAATACTGCATGCTGTCACTTATAAGTAGGAGCTAAATAACGTGTATACATGGACATTCGGTGATAGACACTGGAGACTTGGAAGGGTGGGAGGGTGGGCAGGGATGAGGAATAAGAAATTCCTCAATGGATACAATGTACATTATTCAGGTGATATATATACCAATAGCCCAGCTTCATTTTATGCAATATATCCATGTAACAAAATTGGACTTGAACAATTTTTATGGATTAAACTACATATGTAATTTATATGTATAAATTATGTCTTAAATTTTTACATATAAAAAAAGAAAGTGAAATAAAGACTTTTTCAGACCTGCGAAAGCTGAAAAAATTTACCACCAAAGGAAAAGGATACCTGATGAAAACATAGATTCACACAAAGGAATGAAGATCAAAGGAAATGGTAATTACATGGGTATATATGTAAGGTATTCCTCCTCTTATTATTTAATCTCTTTTAAATATAATTAACTATTTAAAAACAAATAGTAACCATGTATTTTGGGATTTATTGCATACGCACAAGTAAAATGTATGATAACAACATGAAAGCTGGAAAGGAAGAAACATAATGTTGTTATACTATGTGTGAAGTGGCAATATACTATCAGTTGAACAAAGACTGTAATAAGATAAAGATGTATACTATAAACCTTAAAGAACCTGCAAAATAACAAAACAAACAGTTGTAGCTACCAAGCCAACAAAGGAGATAAAAATTGAATCATAAAAATTAATCTAAAAGAAGGCAGCAAAGAGAGCATTGAGCTCTATCAGGAGACCTGAGTTCCAGTCCTATTCTGTCTCTGGCTAATGGTAAGAATGCAGTCAGCTTTTCTCCCTGGATCCATTTTCCTCTCTGTAAAGTGAGGTGTTTGGACTAGAGTCTAGTCTAGGAACTGGATGATCTGCAAGGCTCCATGGAGCCCTAACATTCTAAAGCATCAGATCTTTTTACCAGAGATCACTGTGGAGGAAAAATTAAATATTCAATTTGAACTCAATTGAACATGGACACAAACAATGGTCACCAAGTCCCAGAACAGGTTGTGTGAGCCCCTTGAGGCATTCATCCTGCACTGTTTCGGAGAAATCTGTATTTCAATCTATTCCTATACATTAGTTAATGAAAAACAATAGACAGTTGCAAAAACAAGTTGACCTTTTTGTGTTCCTGGAGCCCAGTCACAAAGGGCCCTCGTGACTGGGCCTCATGTCAAACAACTTGTTACAAAAAGAGCTAGGGTCCCAGACTCCACCGAAGCTTCATGAGACCTCTCCTCATCTGTGCATTCTGGAGCCCAGGCTGTTGCTTCCCAGTCTGGTGGTGAATCGTCCATAGTCTAGTGAGTGTAGTGTCTGACTCTGGAGCCCAGGCTGTTGCTTCCCAGTCTGGTGGCGAATCCTCCATAGTCTGGTGGGTGTAGCGTCTGACTCTGGAGCCCAGGCTGTTGCTTCCCAGTCTGGTGGCGAAACCTCCATAGTCTGGTGAGTGTAGTGTCTGACTCTGGAGCCCCGGCTGTTGCTTCCTAGTCTGGTGGTGAATCCTCCATAGTCTGGGGAGTGTAAAAAAAAAAAAAAAAAAAAAAAAAAAAAATATATATATATATATATATATATATATATATACACACACATATTTTTTTCCTTTCCCCCTTCCCATTGCAAGTTGCTTATTACATCAATCTGCTTATTATATCAATTTGCTTATTATATCATTGGCTTATTATATCTGCATTGCCATTTACATGGGATAAAGGTTGTTTATCCTTAAAGGTATTGTGTGTGTGTGTGTGTGTGTGTGTTTTTCTCCCCTCGTGCGTCTTCCGCACAAAACAGTCACCTGAGACCTTAGAAATGAGAGCTTGGTTGGAGAGTTGAAGGAGGCTGAGAGAAAATGCCATTAGAATTTCCCTGTGGAAGGAAGATTGGATCAGGATTTAAGAACCCTGAACTCGAGTCTTCTTCTCTGCTGACCGGCCCAGTGACAGCAGGCATTTAGATTTCTGGACCCTCATCCATGCAGTCAGATGATTGATGAATCCTCAGGTCCTTGTTGCTTCCAACATTTCAATTTCTGTTTCTAGGTATCATCATCAATTGTTCCCAGGCGCTTAGTCAGTACTCAGTAAAAATAAATTAAAATATGTCTCACAAAGTCTGACCATAGTTTTGAAATTATATTAACCTTTAGGCAATTGTGGATAAAAACATTTCAGCCAAGCCCTGGCTGGATAAAATGAATGAAGCCAACCAGCAACTTGGCAGGGGAAACTGAATGGTTATCCAAGGCAATGCTTTCTTCTTTCCATCACCATGGTTACACACAAACAATTCCAACTGTTGAGGGAAGTCTTCAAGACCCAATTCTCCTGCTGAATTTCCAACCCCCGTGCTGCATATGATTTATGCTTTTATCATTAATATCTTCTCTATGCCTGAGTAGATTAAAAATAGGAAGGGATGGAAGGAGTATTTTCTGAAATGTAGCATATTGTGACCATTTGAGAAACTACTTTCATGTGGATCTGTTGACTGGGCTTAAAAATCTGATCTGACTTCTATCTTTGACAAACAGAATCATAGAATTCTTCTTATGACTCCTATCTTTTACTCCCCAGAATTTTGCCACACCACTCACAGCTGCTGAGATTTTACTAAATTGAAGGTAACTCAGAATTACTACCAAAAAAAAGAAGTTTTTTACAGTGTGCTTTACAGAAAAAGCTCAAAAACAAAATAAGGATTTGATATACAATTTCCTTAAAGTCACAACTCAGTTCTTCGTCTTGTTTCTCTGTCCACAGATGTGTTCTCTCATCAAATGTGTCCTTTTTCAAAACACAATAAAAATCCCCAGCCGGGCTCAGTGACTCATACCTATAATCCCAGCACTTTGGCCTCAAGGCAGGCAAATTCCTTGAGGCCAGGAGTTTGAGACCAGCTATGGCCAACATGGCAAAACCCTGTCTCCACAAAAATAAAAAGATTAGCATCCAGTCCCAGCTACTCGGGAGGCTGAGGCAGGAGGATCCCTTGAACCAGGGAGGCAGAGGTTAAAGTGAGCTGAGATCGTGCCACTGCACTCCAGCCTGGGTGACAGAGCAAGACTCCATCTCAAAAAAAAAAAAAAAAATATCTCCCACAGAAAAGACAGAACATTGTCGAGCAGAGCTGTGCCATTTCCATCTATTCTCCTGTGGCTTTCAGACTCTGCAGAACTTAAGTAATGCAAAGAGATGATGCCTGGTATCAGCTAGGCGCTTTAGCAGGCAAGAAATTGAAACTCAGCCCAAACCCAATTCACTATTTATTTGTAAATTTATTTTCTTATAATACAGAATGTCCTCATGTAAGGTTTGGTTAGTTTAGTTCCTCAACAATGTCATCAGAGACTTAAGCTATTTTTCCCTCCCTGCTCTGCTGAACAAAGCATTCGCTTTATCTTGGGGCTGGTACCCTCCTTGTCAGAGGCTGGGAAAACATATCCTTGATAATATCCAGTGGGAGAAAGGACCTGGTTTTTCTTTGCAGAAACCTCAAGCAAGACTATTCTCCTTGCTTTATTTGCTATTACATCCTCAATACCTTCAGGGTAGCCATGAAGACCTTCTGCATGCCAGCTGAAAGTTATCTGCATATTCCCATTTCCTGGACAAATTGTAATTTTTCTCCATGTTCTTTTAGATTAACACTGATGGGCTTTAAAAATCAGTAATTGACAGAGGTCACAATCTTATGTACAAGAAGTTTTTAGCCAGATATTTGAAGTATCTAGCATGTGGTAAAAACTCAATAGATACATGTTGAATCAATGAAAGAATAAATGAAGCACATTGCCCTAAATTGAGTTGAGCCTGAATCAGTCACTGGTAAGGGAAAGGGGATAACCATCATTACTTTCTCATCCAAGGGGATATGACCATACATCAAATACAATCCCACTGTAGAGAATCCTTCCTCTAGAGCGCCTTACCCTCACTATATAAAGACTGAAGCAAAAGCTTTGAAATTAAATTATTTTTATGTTAATGTCGGTTTTACTTCCCCTGCAAGGTTAAAGTTTGGGAAAGGTGCACTCTACTGTAATTTCTGAACATGGAATAGAGGCAGGAGGAGGATCCCTATTCCTTCTACATAAGCAATTCCCAAAAGTCAGTGGGGGAGGCACATTCCAGGAAAATTCATTCATTCAAGCTTCAGATGCCCTGTCTTTTGTTCTGATATGTTTTTGTGGTGGATAGAATCATGTCCCTCCCAAAAATATGTTCAAGTCACAACTCCCAATACCTGTGAACTTGACCGTATTAGGAAATAGAATCTTCATAAATATAATCAGGTAAAGATGAAACATACTGAATTAAGGCAGGCTCTAATTCAATGACTGCTGTCTTTACAAGAAGAGAGAAATTTGGCCAGGCATGGTCACACTCGTAATCCTAGCCTTTGGGAGGCCAAAGCGGGCAGATCACTTGAGGTTGGGAGTTCGAGACCAGCCTGGCCAATGTGGTGAAACCCCGTCTCCACTAAAAGTACAAAAATTAGCCAGGCGTGGTGGCACATACCTGTAGTTCCAGCTACTCAGGAGGCTGAGGCAGGAGAATTGTTTGAACCCAGGAGGCAGAGGTTGCAGTTAGCTGAGATTGCACCACTGCACTCCAGCCTGGGCAACAGAGCAAGACTCCGTCTCAAAAAAAAAAAGAAATAGAGAGAGAGAGAGAGAGAGAGAAATTTGGACATAGAACACAAGGACAATGCCATGTGATGACAGAGGCAGAGATGGCAGTGATGTGCCTACAAGCCAAGGCATGCCAAGGATTACCAGCAATCACCAGAATCCAAGAAGAAGCAAGAAAGGATTCTTCCCTAGGCCTTTAAAGAGAAGATGAGTCTCACCACCTTCCACATCCCCCCTCTCCTATCTCTGTTTCTAGCATGCAACTATGATGAGTTAGTTTTACTAACAACTTACATGAGATTTTATATTCCAAGTAAAGTTTTTCAGAATCTCTCCCAGCACCAAAGACCACCCAGATTAAGGAAGCTCATAATAGTCTAGGAAGCTCTTTGTCCACCCAGATGGTCAGCTTTTTCAGAACTGAAAACTTTCATGTTTTCATTTTAGAGTTCATCCTGTGCAGTTTGTGGCAATAGCTCAGAGCCATACCTTTTATCAAATCCCCAGAACGCTATTTCCATCCTTTCCTTTCATCTTTCTGAAGTGTCACAAAGCTACCAGTCTAGAAACAGCCATCTAAGTCAACCTCCTCCTGGCTAGACATTTGCAATTTCCAAATGATCGGAGTCACATGTGCCTTCTAGCACCTAGGCCATGAGACATGCATACCACCCTGCCTCCTCGGATCTTGCTGCTTCTGCTGCCGATGTCTCATTTATTCACTCATTCTATGATGATTCCATTACCATCTATTATTAATTAATATGTACTGAGTACATACTCTGTGCCAGGTACTACTCCAGGCTCTAGGAATACAGCAAGGAGAAAATGGACAATGAATGCCCATGTGAAGTGTAATTTCTAATAGGTGAAAATCATAAATAAACAAAGCATGCCAAGTGTTAATGGAGACCATGGAGGAAAATTAAGTAGGGAGATTAGAGAAAGGGGTTAGTGGGAGTACAATTTTTGAGGGACAGTCAGGGTAAGCCAACTTCTGGTTATTACAGCAAAATACAACTACAAACAGTACTTGCTTGCACAAACGCTATTTATTGCTATGAATGGTGGTAAGTTTTTCTTTTTGATTTTCTAGGATGTGTCATTCCTCAGAATGCTAAATCCTCAGTTTCTCTTCTATTTCCATGAGGCAGCTTCTTTTCCGATCCTAACCCTTCCACAATCATAATCTTCGCCCTCTTTGGAGCTAATGGTTGCAGGCATTCTCGTGGCTCTGCTTGAGCTGTACTTTCTCTGAATATGGTGCACAGAACTGATATCCTCCCTATTCCAGATGGGCTGTGAGCAACACGGAATAAAATGGAACCATCATCAGCACAGAACTGACATCCTCCCTATTCCAGATGGGCTCTGAGCAACACAGAATAAAATGGAACCATCACCTCTGACATTCCTTATTCTGCATACTTTCTTTCTTTTCTTATTTTAAAGATACTTTGCTACCTGAGAGCATAGATTCAAATTATCCTGAATATAAACTCCTCATATTTTATGTATGCTGGTGTAAACACAATTGTGCCCATTTTTCTCTTCTTTTTTTAATCACATTGCACTGTTGACTCATATGGAACCTAGAGTCAGTTAAATTGCTAAGAAATATTTATGGCTCCCAACTCTAACCCCAGGCTCTTTCCACTCTGCAGAGTCTCCTCCCTCTTGATTTCATTAGCTTTAGGAAAAATTTAATGAGTTAGGGCAGTAGCTGTGGCAGTCAGGACACACAGCACGTAATGACCTCTAGGTATCCTTTGTGCTCCCTATAACTCTGCCTACTTTATGCTAGAGATTTGATTAACACCATCCCAATCTGCAAAGCTTTAAAGTGCTGAGTTATCATCGGCCTATTTTTTCCCTGCTAATGTTTAAAAAGAAATCAATTGATGGCAGCTCATGTTTCTGTCCTTTTCGTCTCTTGCCAGAGGTGAATCCCACTGTTTCCGAGAGAGAACAGGCTGTGTGCCTGCCCTGCAGCCTCTCCAACTGAGGGTGAAAAGAAAATCCACATTCTCTTCTCACTGCCTTGTGACAATTCAACCACGTGGGATGGAGGTTAAACCTCTCTAATATCCACTCCCAAGGTGTTCTTTTGTATTATTTGCCTTTCAAAGTCAACAGGGACAAAACATCAAAAAGGCACTAACAGACAGTGTACTACAGCTGTTACGAGAGTTTAAATCCACCAGTTATTAGCTGTGAAATCATGAGCAAGTTAACCACTCTGACTCTGTTTCCCCTCTGTTAAATGGAGTCAAAAATAGTAGCTACTTTCCAAGCACACCATAAGCATTAAATGAGCTCACATGTGTAAAGCACTGGATCAGTAACTAGCACATAGCAAATACCATGTACGTGTTAGCTTCCATTTGGGGTTAGAATTAAATACATAAATTTGTGGTTTACTTCCAGTTACATTGGAGGCAGATTACTTGCTCTCTGTTTTTCGTAGGAAAAACGGTGATATAGCAGGTTCTGAAGTCAGACAGATGAATAATATCTGAGCTCAGTTGCATGACCTTGGAAACATTATTTACCTTAGGTAAGCCTCAACCTCCTCATCTGCCAAACAGTGGTAATAACACCGCCTTTACAGAGCTGTTGTAAGAATTAGGTGAGTTCAGTGTTCATAGGGCTCCTATTGAAAATGCACATTGAGTGTATGGCTTTGGATGCACAAATTGTAATGTTCATCCTTGATGGGAGAAGATGATTGCACAACAATTATGCTTCAGTAGAACCAAAACTTCTTTCTTGTTTCATGAGAACGTTTGCTTATCAGACTGCACATTTACTTTTCAAAGCTAGCTAGGTGCCTGGCAAAGAATGTTTATAGAGCATACCTCTGTGTGTAAAACCAAGGGCAACGTGATTCAGACAGCTAACACAGAAGTGAGCCTTGCCCAATAAATGCTTTCACTATACTGCCATCCCTGAATCACTCAAAATGAATTTGTGTCCTTGCTCATCTAATTTTCCTAGTAAATATCATCAGTCACCTTGAAGTAGGTCATTCCTTGCTGATAAACAGCCCTTAACAAGGCTATAAGCAGTCAGTGTTTACTACTTGATCATTAATCCCTAAAAATGCCCTATACCCAAATTCTTAATTGCTTAGACAAATGATTTCTATGGGTGATTAAACATCAGAGGGAATCTGCAGCAACTGCTAATAGCAAGGTAGTTCTTTGTGACATTATGGCTACTCTCTTCCCTCAATCCCAGGAAAAACTGAGTGAGAAGTTGAGAGAACTGTGACGGTCGTGAAGAGGGGGTCAGAAAGTGGGGGCCGTGTCCTGCCTTGTCTTCAGGAGACATGGAGACAACCAATCTGAAGAAAGGGAAAAATGAGAGAGAAACCGATGGGAACAAATGCAAAATGAAGACAGAGATAGTTGGGATAAGTTTTATTGCTTGTTCCAGCTGTTCCTGGAGGACATCTGCAGTCATGCTCTGAGATTCTATGAGACTCCCTAGCATTTGAATAATAAGACCTCTTTTTTTCATTAAGCTAGTTAGAAACCTGTCACTGAAAAAACAGAAATTCTAGAAAATATATTTTCTTCTTCCCTTTGATACTGCCTTCATGACGGATCATTTAAATCCAAGCACATCTCCTATTTTTCCTTTAAAATAATGTATGTTTCCTCCATGTTTATGTTATAGTTAGAGATGAGTGCCTAGGATTTATGCAATCTTGGCATTTCCTGATACTGTCTAATTGTGGGGCTGGGGAGTGGATTATCTTTGCTGCCAAATGTCAAGAACACCTGGATCTACCTGGAAACATAGCAAGTGCTAATTAAGAAACAATGCCAGGAGTGCAGGCTTGTTCATGCTGCACTTCTCATCACTGATCTACTATTTATTACAGGATATGGGTCATTATGGGGATAAGAGAGGTTCTGTATGAGTAGGTAACCCTTTGAAGTGGACTTAAAAAATTGACTTCCTGCTTCTATGGTGCTGGTGAGAATCCTGGGGTCAGGAGAGCTTCCTAAGATTCTCTATGCAAGGCCAGTTCCTATCTTCCCCACTTTACCTTGGCAAGCACAGAGAGACATGGTTACTAAGGGGTAACATCTCCCTGAGGTTGCATCTATGGTTAGTTAGTGAAAATAATATTAGAAAGGTCTAGTGGGTTTTGAAAACCATTTTGAAAAAGCAAAATTTTAGCCAGGCACGGTGGCTCATACCTGTAATCCCAGCACTTTGGGAGGCTGAGGCAGGTGGATCACCTGAGGTCAGGGGTTTGAGACCAGGCTGGCCAACATGGCAAAACCCCATCTCTACTAAAACTACAAAAAAAAAGAAAGAAAGAAAGAAAGAAAGCTGGGCATTGTTGCAGGCACCTGTAATCCCAGCTACTTAGGAGGCTGAGGCAGAAGAATTGCTTGAACCCAGGAGGTGGAGGTTGCAATGAGCCAAGATTGGGCCACTGCACTTCAGCCTAGGTGACAGAGTGAGACTCTGTCTCAAAAAAAAAAAACAAGGAAAGGAACAGCAAAAATTTGTTGTGTCTGTGAATGTGAGGCAAGGTGACACAGATTAAAGTGGAGCAATGACTTCCTGTTCTCTTCCCATATTTCTCACCACTTCCTTCCCATGATCCTATGGCCCTGTCTTGAGGAATTCACTGTAATTATTCTGTCTGATTCTCCATTTAAAGGCAACTTTTGAGCAAATGTGTAAAGTAGTGGTTCAATGTCCCCCACCTGAGACTGAGACAGAACCCCCTCATCAACCCCCTTCTTAAGGGCCTGCTGGGCCCCACTAGGCATGAAAATAAAGGAAAATCTTGAGTTCCTTCAAGGAAAATGCCAGGCACCTAGCTAGCTTTGACAAATAAATGAGCAACCTGATAAGTAAGAAAGTAATAATAGCTTAAAACAGTAGCAAAAGAAGTTATAGCCACAAAATACTTGGTTCCCCATAAAAACTAAAGATAACAACATATGTCCTTGAGTTGTTTTCAGAAGCCTGGACCCCCACCAAAGAGAAAATACTGTCCACTGGCACATCAATTTCAGATAAGGGGGAACCGAGGACTGAACTCTGACAGTTATTTTTTGTTCTAAATTTATTCTTGAGGGGTCTGAAGGAAGTCATGCCCACAGGCCAGACCTCAACGTTCCTTTCTGCTGACCCCAAGTTTTTAGACAAAGCTTCACTTCCATAGCCAATCAGAAATCAGGGAATCTTTGAATCTACCTATGACCAGTAAGCCCTCACTTCAAGATACTCCACCCTTTTAGGCCAAACCAACGTATAACCTCCATACTCGGTTTTGGAATTTTGCCTGTAACATCTGCTTTCCTGAAATGTATAAGCCCTGTCTTTTAAAACCCTTGCTTGTAAGCAAGCCATCAGGGAGGTCAGCTCTCAAGTGTGAGCTGCCCAATTCTCTTTGCTGGTTGCCCTGTAAATAAACACCCTCCTTTTTCCCCCCAGCAAAACTTCAGTGTGGATGTTGGCCTTACTGAGCTGGGCAAGCAAACCCCAGTTTGGGTCTGTAACACACCCACTCATCAAGCTGTCCCTCCGCGCCTAGAGCCTCAGACTTGACTTCCTTACCAGAGTCTTCATTTCCCCCATCAGGGCCCCAGGCATTTCCAGCCTTACTTCTCCATCCTTCATCCTCATGTCAGTTGCCTTCCATGTATTCACTGCTCTGTTCTCTGTTGGTTTCCCAGTAAATTATCCCTTTTGTGCAATATACTTTCAAACAAATGTCTGGTGAATAAAATGCCAATTTCAAAGAAATGCCTTTCATGGTAGAATTGCAGGCAAAGTGTCAGACAGGTGAGAGAGTGCAGTCTTTTGATGCTCTGGGCATAAATAGCCTGTTATCTATGCATTGGACCAGCTTCTACGTCTCTGTATCTGAGTCCACATGTAAGAATTCCATAGTGCAGCAAAGTGCTTAGGCTTATTTTATTTCCTGCTGTTTTGTATTTTCGTCTGAAGTTTAAACTGCTCCACAATAATATACTGTTTCACTTAACCTAAAAAGGAAAGCTTGTAATTCAGAATCTTGGGGGTGCTTAAAAGCTCAGGCTAGAAATAAATATTTATACAAATCCTACAATGTCTAGCACATTCCCTTGCACAAAAAGGGAAAAGAGTGAGGGGAAGGCAAGATTTTATGCACACATACACACATGTATATATGTATTTATATGTGTGTGTGTATGAATTCTATTATATTATTATAATATATAATGTACATATATTATAATATAATATATTATGATTATAATAATCATAATATAATTAGCTATTTTATATAAATATATATATAATATATAAATATATTGTATATATATTTATATAATATATAAATATATTGTATATATATTTATATAATATATAAATATATTGTATATATATTTATATAATATATAAATATATTGTATATATATTTTATATATATTTATATAATATATAAATATATTGTATATATATTTTATATATATTTATATAATATATAAATATATTGTATATATATTTTATATATATTTATATAATATATATATATTTTATATATATTATATATATATATTTTATATATATTTATATAATATATAAATATATTTTATATATATTTTTTATATCTTTATATAATACATAAATATATTTTACATATATTTATATAATACATAAATATATTTTACATATATTTATATAATACATAAATATATTTTACATATATTTATATAATACATAAATATATTTTACATATATTTATATAATATATAAATATATTTTACATATATTTATATATTATATAAATATATTTTACATATATTTATATAATATATAAATATATTTTACATATATTTATATAATATATAAATATATTTTACATATATTTATATAATATATAAATATATTTTACATATATTTATATATTATATAAAATATATTTATATATTTTACATAATATATAAATATATTTATATATTTTACATAATATATAAATATATTTTATATATTTTATATAATATGTAAATATATTTTATATATATGTTTATATAATATGTAAATATATTTTATATATGTTTATATAATATGTAAATATATTTTATATATATTTTATATATATGTATATATTATAGAAATATATTTTTATATATAGTATATATTATATAAATATATTATATATATATTTTTTATATATTTATATAATATATAAATGTATATATTTTATATATTTATATAATATATAAATATATATATTTTTATATATTATATAATATATATATATATTTATATAATATATAAATATATATATTTTATATGTATTTATATATTATATAAATATATATTTTATATGTATTTATATATTATATAAATATATATATTTTATATATATTTATATATTATATAAATATATATATTTTATATATATTTATATATTATATAAATATATATATTTTATATATATTTATATAATATATAAATGTATATTTTATATATATTTATATATATATAATATATATATTTAGCCAAACATTATTAGTTCTGATGTACCTGATGCTGACACTGGTTGAAGAGCTTTCAGGCTTTCAGGCCAGCTCCTGAGGCATAGTCTTTAAGAGGTGAAGAAGGTATAGCTAGCTGCACCTGGACTTGAGTTACTGATCAGCTCTTGGCACTGACATAATGAATAAATGAATTCATGATTCATGGAATGGAGAGTTACTAAGGATGTACTATGTGCCAGACACTGGAATAGACTATACCATCCTCTGCTTATAGCTTTGTGTTTTCCATTCACTGCCTAGAAAGACTATATTAAGAAATGCTTTGGGTATCTAAGAACAGAGACTATGCCATGTGTATGTCATTTATATGAGATCTTATAAATGATTTTATGAGATCTTAACCTTTTAATTGCTGATGATTTGATTGATGCTTTGATTGCTAAGACATATGGAAGGGGGGCATCTGATACACATTTTTGTGTTCACTTCTCAAAATAAATTAGGGGGAAGAGTATAACCCAACATTGAAGTAGAACAAAATAAAGTTATGATCAATGATAATGAGATAATATTCCAATAATTTGCAACTAGCCTAAGAGAGTTTATTTAGCTCTCAGTACCTAGAATGCTACATTTTCTTTTTTAATTCTGGGGTGTTGACCAAGTTTAAATTCTTCTGGCATGTTAGGATTTATAATGGATTCTTCCAAATCAAACACTATTTGCAATGGTTTCTCTTCTATTGCAGCACAATAAACTACTCCAAAACTCAGTGGTTAAAATTAATAATTAATTCTTACCTTCCATAGATCTGGGGTTACTTCAGCCAAGCTAGGTAGTTTTCGGTTGAGATCTGTCACGTCAGATGGAGCTGTGACTATCTGAAGCTTAACTGGGCTGAACGATTAAGATAGTGCACTTATGGCTGACAGTTGATGTCAATTAAAGACTGGAAGCTGAAGTGGAGCTTTAAACCAAAACACATGGCCTCCATGAGGCTTGGGCTTCTCATAGCTAGACTTCATGGCAGCTGAGTTACAAGAGGTAGAGTCAGAAAACCAAGCATTCCAGGAGGCTCAGACAAAAGCTACAAGGCTTCTAATCCCAGAAATTATCACTTCTGAAGCATTTCATTGGTTAACAGTAAGTCACAGGATGAGTCCAGATTCAAGTGGAGAGGGCTACATAAGGGCAGGAATACTGGGAGGCCTGGCTCATTGGAACGCCATTTTTAGACGCTAGCTACCACCATCAATATTCATAAGACCTCCACCTGCTACTAATGATTCATAAGACCTCCACCTGCAAAATACACTCACTCCTTCTAAGACTTCCAAATCTCATCCCATTATGGCCCCTGGCTCAGGTATGAAAGTCCAGAATCTCATCATCTAAACCAGGTCTAGGTAAGAATAGGCTAAGTATAGTTCCCGAGGTGCAAGTTCTCAAGTGGCAGCAATTCTCTTCCAATTGGCTATTACTACATAAAAAGCCACTGAAAGTTCTCTGGCTTATAAAAAACGTGATTTGTGAGTCAAGGATTCAGAGAAGATACAGCTGAAGGGTTTGTCACATGGCACCAGCTAGAGCAGCTGGGGCTCATAGATCACTTCCAAAATGGCTTTTTCACTCACACATCTGATGCTTCGTTGCTACCTGGTATCACTTTCTCTCCTTCCTTCCCCATTTCTCTCTCCCTCCCTCCACAGCATCTCTGCCACTGAGATAACTTTATGTGACTTTGGCTTCTCGCAGCAGGGTGGTCTCAGGATAGTTGGACCTCTTATTTGGTCACTGGCTTCCCCCAAAGATGCTCTCGAAAGTCCCAGACCATCTCTTCTGGCATATTATATTGTCAAGCCAAGTCACTAAGACCAGCCCAGATTCAAAGGTAAGGAAATAGATTCCATTTCTCAATGGGGGAATGACATGCTTGTGCCTGAAGAAAGGAATTGATGGTGGCCATCTTGGAAACAAACTAACAAGTATTCCTTATTGCCTACCAAAAACATGGGGATCTCCTAGGAAAATAACTCTTCTACTCTTCTGCCAGGTCTCAGCCTAAATGTCACTTCCTCGGGGCAGCTTTCCTTGATTCCCATAGAATACTTAGGTGCACCTTTTGAATGCTTATATAATAAGCACCCATATCACAGCAACTGTTACTACCTTTTAATAAAATGGCTTATTTAACTATATGTCTCCATGACTAGTTGCTGCAATGAGTATATGTCTGGCTCACCACTGCATGCTTAATACCCAGCATAGTACACCACACATGATCAACCCTCAACAAATACTTAACGGAATAAAAATGGAAACTGATTATGTCCATGGCCAACCCTGCTGGAGCTATCATTTGGTTTCAAGAGTCAGGACTGAGTTCTTGGTCTTCGTCTTTCCCTTTTATTTCCTTCCCCTTCAACTTTTCCCTAAATGTATAAGAGCAAGTTTTCATGTTAATAACATCATCAGGACTTGTCCTGAGCCCACTTTTTCTGCTGCAGCTCCTGTGGGCTGGAGGAGAGATTAACATGTGTAAGACACAGAAGGGAGGGGCCCTAAGCTGCTCCTGAAAATGAATCTCCCATGATGCACCAGCCTTGAGCTTAATAGGGAGCATGATCTTCAATTTGCTGAGTGTAGCTCTACAAGGGCCCTGAGCTTGGCTTGTGACATGCCATTTCTCAGAGGATTTCTACTGCTGCTGCTGCTACAGGGAAGGATTGATGACTCTGATAAGAGATTTGAACACAGTCCTCTTATAAAACAGAAGGGATGGGGTTGTCAGGCTAATTGGGATGGCAGGCAGGTGTATGTGCATACCATACATAATAATGCATGCATATTATATACATAGTATAAAAGGGTAGAATATTTGAGGATAAAGCAAAAGCCAAAAGGACAAAGACAACAGGCAATCTAATCCACTTAATGGGTCAAGGAGCTCAGAGCTGAGCTGCAAATGCATCATTTGATAACGGTAATGAAAAAGACAGCAATCTATATCTACAAATAGCATTAAGGCAGATTTGGTTTAGAGGCCAAACTAAGTTGATCTGAAATTTATGAGACTGGCTGTCTCGCAGACATGCTTGGCAAGGGAGGTGCATTCAATTCCTCCTTTTTTCCTTCAGAGCTCACTGTGAGTTAGATTTTGTTTCTGAGGTGGGTTTTCCCAATAAGTGGAGCTTTTTTTTTTTCAAAGACAACTAAGTGTTTTGCCACCCAAGCTTATCTTAGTCGTGAGGATGCCAATTTTACAAGTGGGCAACAATAATTTTAATTGCCCTTTTGGGCATTTCATTTCAGTGTCCAATCTCTGTGGCTCTCCCGCTTGCAAGGAAACAGGAGCACACATACAAGTGCACACACACAGTTAAAACTTGCAGGTGGCTTGAGCTGGAATTTGTAGCAAGGCATGTGTCTGAGTCATGACTTAGCAGCTGGTCCTAGAAAATATCTGAACTGTGTGTCTTGATGATGCGGACAGTATGTTTCATGTCTGCAAACCCCATCACAATATTCTGGGCAAAATGCTGTTGGAAACGTGCCTTATTTTCGACCAAAGTTCTCGTACATCCTCCACAGGAATGACAGTGCGTTGCACTGCAAATCTGCAGGGTGCATGAAGCTTTTTTCTTCTTCTGAGTCCTCAGTCAATATCAGGTAGCACTCACAAAGGGTAATGAAGTCTGCTTTCAACACAGCGATGTTCCTATAATTATGTGCTGATTGACCTTCACTTTGTGCTGTGCCTGCAAAGAAAGGGGACCCTGATATATTGCACAGCACAGAATATGTGCAAGTCAGATGCCTTGGAGTAAGTAATGAGCTTGTCCCTACCACATGTGGTGGAAGGTTTCACTGTAGACTTACTCCCAATTCAAGAATATATAACAGCCTACCAAATCAGAAGTTTGGGAAGGGATACGGGGCTATCAGTTCTAAAAACAGCCACCCCGGGATTTAGATCTTTACCTCTCTTGTCAGAAACCTTATAATAAGTGAAGTAACTTTTTTTACTTATTCCACAAGTTCAGCCTAGGCACGTGCTGCCTTGTGAAAGAAATATTCATTCTACATAAGATGATGTAACTGTATGGATAAGTTCTCACCCCTCTTTCATGCTTTAGTTTTTCTCTGCTTAGGTAACTACTGTAATGAATAAACTCAGAAATATACAATGACTCAAGTACAATAGACATGTATTTCTTGCTCACCTAAGAGCCCAGAGCAATTTCAAGGAATCAGGGCTGGGTGGTGGGAAGGAATGCCCTGCCCTATACAGGCATTCAAAGTGGAGGCTGATGGAAGCTTTTTCAACATGTGATGTCCATAGACTCCCCAGAGGTTTCCATCCCAGTCAGCTGGGATGTAGTAAGAAGCACAAAAAAGCCCATGTGAAAGGTTGCATGAACTATGACCACATCACTTCTCCCCACACATTCCTCTGGCTAGAAGAAATCAGCCACACCTCACAGCAAGGGAGGCTGGAAATGTCACCTAACTGGGTGCCCAGGAGGTAGAGAACATGGATAATGGTGAGCAAATAGCAGGCTCTTCCCCTCTCTGTCCTTTTAGTGTTGGAGTTCCCAGTTTTTCAGGGTCTGCCTCGATATTGTAATAGAACATGCTCTCCCTGGACCCTTTTTTAGGATGCAAGGATTTGTACATGTAAGATAATCTCAAATGTCCAGCCAAAACTCACTTCCTAATTCAAGATTGAGACTCCAAAACCCTACTCTATATCTATCTGATTGTCTAACAGGCATCTCAAATGTGACAAATATAAAACCAAATTTGTTATCTAAACCCCAGCTGTAAAATGGAGGTAGTAATAGTATCTATTCATAAGGGTGTGGTGAAGATTAAATGAGTTATTACACGCAAAACACTTTTAAAAGTCCCTGGAACATAGTGGATGCATAACAAATGTTGGCTATTATTATTATTATTTGCACCCCCCCAACCCCACTCTTCTCCCACAAACCCTCCCCCATCTCACAGCACCATCGCCTATGTAATAGATGAATTTGGAAGTCATAGCTGCCCACTCCTTCTTTCTCAGCTCTTACCCTCATCCAGTCACTTTCAAATTATTAGAAGAGCTGCTGCCTGATCTTCATTCCCAGTGCTAGGCTCTGTCTCAGACACTTACTACTTCTGAGCTGCACAGTTGCAAAATCCTGCTACGTGATCACCCCTTCTCTGGTCTCTTCTTCTTCTAACCTTCCTTCAACAATACTGGCAGAGTAAATAGCTTAAAATTTCCTAAAAGATGTTCTCAAATACTTTAATGGCTTTTTTATTGTCTATAAGTATAAAATCCACTCTCCTTAAAGCTAAAAATTTGGGTCAAGCCAGATTGGAAAGGCTCTGAACTCTATCCTGGTGCCCACATCCCGTTCTTCCCTTTCTCTGTCTCAATCATAGCCAACTACCACACTTTTCACTATCTCTGTGTCTTGCTGATTTTGGTCCTTGTACCTAAAAGTTCATCCTTTTTTCTTTCTCCTAAATTTCTCACACTCAATTCAAATATCACCCCATCAGAGTGGCAGTCCACCCCCAATCAGAATTCATTTGGTATGCCTTCATTTTCCCTAACATATTATTAAAACATCTATCACTTATCAATTATGATTTGTCCTGAAGTTAACTGAGCCTGTGTCCTCTGTTTGACTATGAGTGCTTGAATGCTCCCAAGTGGAGTTAGCTATCACCACCATGATACGTTAATTTATTTTTTAAAGTTTCTCAGCTCACTGAAATGTAAATAGAGAATTGTATTTTTACCTCAGTAAAACTTCAACTGGGCTGTGTTGATTTCTCTACCACAAAGGGCAGTGGCTCCCTTTACAATATTGTAGCAGATTCAGTCAATATCTAGTACCTGTTAGATACAAGAATATCTCCTGGTCTGGATCCAAGACACCTGCTCCTTCTTTTTCTAGCCTGAAGTTCCTCAAGTATTGGGAGAAGGGATAGTGGATGAGAATCTCCTTACATGGTAGGGGCTCTCTCTGGACTCATTCTGGTTCAGTCTATTGTGGCTTCCAGTTAATGGTGTGAATGGTATTTCCAGGAAGAGAATGGCTTTAATCCAGCCCCCTCCATAACTGAGGACCTCTCCCAGAAGGGTTCCACTATCTGTACACACCCCGCGCCCACCTGTGTTTCCAGGCCAAGCAATGCACGGTTTGGTGCAGTTGTTCACTAGGCAGACCACAGCTGCTGCTTCTCCACCAAACCTGGTGCTATTTGCATGGAGCTGCTGGGACTGCTGGAGTCAGGTCCTCTCTGACACCTTCTAAGTAAGGCCTATGAAGAACTGGGATGAGATACAAATTACCTCATCTTTTCCCCTAACACTTTATACCACAATATATTTCAAGGCTGTTCACATGGCCTACTCCAGAGGGTCTTTCATCCTCAGAAATCTCCAGATCCAAATTCTCTTTGTTCAAGCATGGCCCCAAATCTCAGGGAACATGTGAGAGTCTGGGACTGAAAGGGACAATGTAGGCACTCCTACACTGGGGCTCCAGCATGGCCCTCCAGTACCCTTAAGTCATAGTGCCCTAATTCAAGATTGAGACTCCAAAACCCCACTCTACGTCTATCTGAGTATCTAATAGGCATTTCAAATGTGACAAATATAAAACCAAAGTGGTTTTAGTCATATATTCAGTATTACATATAGCTCATTTAATTGAACAAATATTTGTTATTTGTTCAATACAGTATTCAGTATTACATATAGTTCATTTAATTGAACAAATATTTGTTAAATGTCTACTTCCTACTGAGCTCAGGAGCTCGGGGTATTTCTGAGAACTTGACAGCTCAGCACACACACAGTCAAGGAGTGAAATGCCAACCTCCACAGCTTGAAGTTACCTCCAATCTTTACAAGAAATTCTTTTAGAGCTTCCTTTGCCTGACTTTAGAGATGGGAGGTCATAGCTTCTCACCTGGAATATTGCTCTGCTCATGTAGCCAAGACTCTCCTACGTTTCCTTTTCGTTTGTCTGTTTGTTTGAAATAGGGTCTCCCTCTGTGACCCAGGGTGGAGTATAGTGGCAAGATCATAGCTCGCTGCATCCTCAAACTCCTGGGCTTATCAGTCCTTCCACTCAGCCTCTCAAGTAGCTGGGACTACAAAAGCATGGCCCATGCCCAGCTAATTTTATAAAATGTTTTGTAGAGATAGGGGTCTCACTATGTTGCCCATGCTGGTCTTGAATGCCTGGCCTTAAGCCATTCTCCTGTCTCTGCGTCCCAAAGTGCTGGGATTACAGGTGTGAACCACTGCGCCCACTCCTGCCCTACCTTTTGGTCCCCTTCTCCTAAAAGGAGGGAGTAGTGTGATAGGAGGTGAAGGGGAGCCTGCACTGCTCTGGTCTCCCAGTAAGCCCTGGGCAAATGATGCTGGCCTCGTTTGCTGAAGAGCTTCTTTGGGATAGAATGTATGTAGGGCCTTTTTTCTTCAGCTTTGGGCCTTGGCTAAATTCAGGGTCAGGAAAAAAGTCATTGTGACACACTGTAAGATGTCTTATATATGTAGACTTCTGCTGGCCTTAGCACCATTTTCATAATACTTTTCTCTAAGTATATGTCTCCCTGCAGACACTGGAAACTCTTTAAAGGAATATATCTTCTTCATTTGCTATCTCCATTTCTTAGCACAGTACTGAGCATTTTGTGGGTATTCAATGACTGTCTGATATATTATTTTCTGACCCCCAAGAAAGTCGAAGTCTCAGGATCACAAGATGCCAAGCTCCTCCTGTTTCAGAAAACAAAACTCAGGTCCAGAAAAATGAGGTCATTTATCCAAGGGCACCCAGCTAGATGGGATTCCGTTTCACACACAAGTTCATACACTTAATGGTGCAGCAGAAGCCTAAGTAAGCCAAGCATATTTGATGACTGGCCTTTGGAGGAAAGAAAGTGGGTAATGGAAAACACTGCACAAATTCTAAAAGTTGATTTTTGCAGATGAAGCACATTTTTCATGCCCTGATCTGGGAGGGTTTGCCAGTGTGTACCGTGACTAATTCCTGTTGGCCCAGCCTAGACTTCCTGTTTTCAGGGCAGCGTGACAGATTTGTTGGTAGAATTTGGCTTTAATTCATTTCAGGCTGATCCTGGAAACCAGAGGCTTTGTCATGTCTCATGGCAACATTAACTCCATTTTTCTGCCTTCACTCCTTCTATTATAAGCAGAGGCCACTCAATAGGGCATTCTTAACTGCCTGCTGAAGGTGACAGCCAGAAGTATAAATAACTCTTCTCATTTAGTCTTTTATTCTTTTCTGGGAAAAGTAGTGATCTTCTTCTCTTATCTCTCAAGTGGATCCAAAGCTGATTAAATTCATTCAAGACAGCTTACATGTTTCTTGGTGAAACATAATTTCCAGGACAGGCTGTCCGAGGAGGGGTGACTCCTACAGTGTCATCGGATGAACCCACAGTGACTCAGGGTCAATAAAAGATTTTCTATGGGGTCCAGTCATGTCCACATTTAATTCCATCCATTAGAGCATGGAGTGGTTGAAACCTGAGATATGTCCAGGAAGGTTTTACTCCTGCTTTTTCTGTAAGCCAAAAACAAAAACAAAAACAAAAAACAAAAAAAAAAAGCAGCTCACTTTTTCAAAATTCCCCAAGTCGGGGTGGAAAGGAAAACAGGTGGAAAACAGAAGTCTGCAGCTCTGCCCAGAGCTTTTCACATGGGGGTGATTCCACGGGGCACTCTGGACAGTATGCAATGAAGACTGGTCTCTGGGCACAGATCCCATGGAGGGAACAGTCAATGAGTCAACAGCCTGTCTGCATGGGTACCTTCTGTATTGTTCACCTTCACGCATGGAGTAAGGCCTGATCTAAAAACTACCACCAGCCCGAAGCCATCCCTGGCAGAGAAATAGAAGTCACAACCCTTTATTAGCTGGTGAGTCTTGTGCCCAAACATGAACCAATTGTCATGGTCAGAGAGATGTAGAACACTGGTTGGCCATTGTTTAACCAACACCCAAATCTGTAAAGGCAAAAGGAGCACCCAGTGAATGGCAGAGCAGCACCCACAAAGATATGGGGGCAAGGGAGAGGGCATTCTCTAAAAAGAGGAGCCTGGGCAGACACCCATCCATCAGTAAAGACCCCTATACACTTTTTTATTTATACATTAAAATTCTCTCATTTTACCTAAGATAATTTTGATATTTCATGTGACATTTAGGTATTTTATGTAATGCCTAGTGAATCTATCGGACATCATGTTGAAATATATTTTTCCAAAGACTGTTAGGCTTTGTATATCATACCCAAGAATTGTACACACTGGCTACCTTCTACACTTTTCCAACAATATACCACCTGTCAAATTTCTACATCAAGTGTCCGTCTTTCCCAATCAATTTCTTTCTTTTCCCATCTCTAGGAGTCACATGAAAAATATTTAGAAATAAACAAGTACTTCAGGATGGAAAAGATGGGGAAGATGTATTGCTATTGATTGGGCATACTTATCTATGGGAAAATGTGAAATATAACAGGACATTTGGAGAGTCTAAGAGTAAGTGATTATTTTCAAATACATTTCCAGAAAGCTAAGCACTAGCAGAATTTTCTGAGACAAAATCTAATTCTTACAAGGTCTATTAAAGGAGAGGCTGTTACCTTTATGCAGGAGCTGGAAAGCTGGAAATTGCCTTCTACTGAATACTTCTCTTTATTCTTCTTATGATACTGGACCCATAACTATTACCTCTATGACACAACTGCTCAATACTGCAAAGGGAAAGTTAGACTGATTTCCCCATTCGTGACATAATGTGACTTGGAGTCCCCAGTGCTATAAGCAATGCCACAGAGAAGGAAGAGAGAGGCGCTTCCCCTTATTTTCATTTTACTCTTAAGTAAATGTGGACAGCCAAGAATTATAAGTGCTCATAATGAGGTGTTCTTGCAAGATTTAATGTGTTTCTAGGCTGCCATCAGTATAACTGTGGGATTTTGATATTTCTTATAAATGGGTCTTTCATTTCAAAGAACATTTTAGTTACTTTCTGTCCAAAGATTCACTTAAGCAAAAGCTTAACCTAATGGATAATAAAACAATAATATTCCTTTTTACTTTGTAAGTCTCCTCAACCAACAAATACTTAATAATAGAAGGAAGGTCTTCTCCACCCCAGATCATTTTACCCTTTAACTAATAATAATAATAATAGAAGGAAGAGATGAGAGGAAGATGCTGGTGTTTAGCAATTAGAGGGTGGACAATGCTTTAGTAAGGCAAGTTGGAAAAGGGGAAAAGAAACTAAAATTTTTTAAACGTTTGCTTCATTCCAAGCACTCTCTTAGATATGGGGTTGACAAAGATAAATATAAAAAGATTTCCAGGCCGGGTGCAGTGGCTCACGCTTATAATCCCAGCACTTTGGGAGGCTGAGGCGGGCAGATCACAAGGTCAGGAGTTTGAGATCATCCTGGCCAACACAGTGAAACCCCATCTCAACTAAAAATGCAAAAATGAGCTGGGTGTGGTGGCAGGTGCCTGTAATCCCAGCTACTCTGGAGGCTGAGGCAGGAGAATCACTTGAACTCAGGAGGCGGAGTTTGCAGTGAGCCGAGATCATGCCACTGCACTCCAGCCTGGGTGACAGAGCTAGACTCCATCCCAAAAGAAAAACAACAAACAAAAAAAATTTCCACCCCTCAAAGAAATCACAGGTTAGCAGGGAAGACAAACATGCACATTAGCTGGAAAAGTGCCTCACACATTGAAGATGTCTTTTAAATGCTTGTTGGCCTGATAATTTACCTATAATAAAATTTAAATTCTGGCTCTACCACTAACAACCTCTGTGGTGTTGCACAAGTGACTTAACATCTCTGTATTATTGGGAACCACTTTGCACAGCACCTGGCACATAAATGTAATTGTAGTTCATATTATCATTGTTGTTGCCTTTGGCTCCCTTCACCTCCTGTCCTGGCCCCTCTTCCTCCCTTCCTTAAAAACCCATGCTCCAGTCATCCCAAACCAGGAGCCCCTTCCCAGGCGTGCCATGGTGTTTCACATCTCTGCGTCTGTGGTTTTCTTTCTATTTTGTTCATCTCAATTGGGCTTCCCAACCTGGTTGTGAAGTCTCTATGGGGAGGCACTATGGTTTTTCACCTTTTTAATCCCAGCGCCCAGCATGCTTCCTAGAACAGTAGGAAGTAGACATTTAACAAATGTAGACATATAACAAATATTTATTCAATTAAATTAACTATATATAATACTGAGTAGGGCTGGGCATGGGCTCACGCTTGTAATCCCAGCACTTTGGGATGCCGAGGCAGGTGGATCACCTGAGGTCAGGAGTTTCGAGACCAGCCTGGCTAACGTGATGAAACCCGATTTCTAATAAAAATACAAAAAATTAACCGGGCGCGCGCCTGTAATCCCAGCTACTCGGGAGGCTGAGACAGGAGAATCACTTGAACCCAGGAGGCGGAGGTTGTAGTGAGCTGAGATCGCGCCATTGCACTCCAGCTTGGGCAACAAGTGTGAAACTCTGTCTCAAAAAAAAAAAAAGACTGAATATTATGACTAAAACTATACACTATCAAAGTAGAGAAAGAGTGATGGATTCTTC
The DNA here is from genome assembly GCF_000001405.40 of Homo sapiens. Classification (NCBI taxonomy): domain Eukaryota; kingdom Metazoa; phylum Chordata; class Mammalia; order Primates; family Hominidae; genus Homo; species Homo sapiens. The sequence continues at coordinate 33,331,409 of NC_000008.11, forward strand.
ATAGAGAAAGAATCATGGAAGGTTTCACATAGAAGCAGACGGCTTAAGTTGTGAATTTTGAAAGATAAATTCATCAAGGGATGGAGGTTTGGCCTATGCAAGTGTAGTTGGCTTAAGAAAAATACAAGTATTACCGGGGGCAGTGGCTCACACCTGTAATCTCAGCACTTTGGGAGGCCGAAGCAGGCACATTGCTTGAGCCCAGGAATTTGAGACCAGCCTGAGCAACATAGTGAGACTCTATCTCTAAAGATTTTGTTGTTGTTGTTGTTGTTGTTGTTTTTTGAGACGGAGTCTCGCTCTGTCGCCCAGGCTGGAGTGCAGTGGCGCGATCTCGGCTCACTGCAAGCTCCGCCTCCCGGGTTCACGCCATTCTCCTGTCTCAGCCTCCCGAGTAGCTGGGACTACAGGCGCCCGCCACCACGCCCGGCTAATTTTTTTTGTATTTTTAGTAGAGACGGGGTTTCACCGTGTTAGCCAGGATGGTCTAGATCTCCTGACCTCGTGATCCACCCGCCTCGCCTCCCAAAGTGCTGGGATTACAGGCGGAGCCACCGCGCCCGGCCTCTAAAAAGATTTTTAAAAGTAAGCAGGCATGGTGGCACACACCTGTAGTACCAGCTACTCAGGAAGCTGAGGCAGGAGAATCAAGTGGGCCCAGGAGATAGAGGCTGCAGTGAGCTATGATCAAGCCAGTGCACTCCAGCCTGGGCAACAGAAAAAGACCTTGTCTCAGAAAAGAAGAAGAAGAAGAAGAGGAGGAGGAGGAGGAGGAAAAAAAAAAAAAAAACGAAGCCAGGAGCGGTGGCTCATGCCTGTAATCCCACCACTTTGGGAGGCCGAGGCGGGCAGATTATTTGAGATCAGGAGTTCGAGACCTGCCTGGCCAACATGGTGAAAGCCTGTCTCTACTAAAAAAAGAAAATACAAAAATTAGCCAGTCATGGTGGCCTGTGCCTGTAGTCCCAGCTACTTGGGAGGGTGAGGCAGGAGAATCGCTTAAACCTGAAAGGTTGCAGTGAGTCAAGATCACCCCACTGCAGTCAAGCCTGGGCAACAGAGCAAGACTCTGTCTGAAAGAAAAAAAAAAAAAGAAGAAGAAGAAGAAGAAAGAAAGCGAGGGAGGGAGGGAGGGAGGGTAGTTGGTCCTAAATGTAAGAAATTTCACAGCGTGAGTGGGTGCTAAGTAGGGAGCTGAATGAAGGAGAAATAGAAGCACACATTTGTTCTCTAAGCAACAATTTTTTCATGCTAAGGAAAAGCACAACATAGATTGTTTAGCTTTATTTTAGCTTCTCTTCTGCATCAACAATATTATTTTTGTAAACTCGTGTGTAATGAGGAAGGAAGGGGCCTTAACCATTTCTCAGCCTTAACAGATAGATAGACCAAAAAATAACAAACAACTCTCACTGCCATTACAACTCCCCCATTTTCCAAGTCTCTTTTGCCCCAGCCCTTCATTTCCCATGGCCAATGGTGCCCTCTTCCCTATTCCATCCACAATCTGCACATATCTGTTCTCCTTCATCTTCGGGCTTGAGCTTGTATAGAAGCCAATCATAGCAACCTGAAGTTCAGGGAGAAAAGAATTTCAGCCAGAGTCATACATTTCTAAAATGTCTACAAGATAGATCAGCTATTTTCCATCTATTGGTGGGCAACAAAATGCTCCACCAAAAGGCAGACGCGGTACAAGCCCTACACCAAGGCAAATCGCCAAACTTCCCATTAGTTCTGCCTCTAAATGACTAGGGGTCAGCCCAGAAGGCTGAAAGGCCTGAGGAAAGTGAGGAAGGGACTTAAGCAAAAGGATCAGCGAGTGCAAAATTGATATGTTTCAGGAAAAAGAAGGAAAACAGAGGCAGAGTGGAAAGGATGGGAGAAAAAGTGGTAAGATCATGCACTAGGGAGGTAAGGAGGTCAGACCATGTAGTGGGGTTGAAGGGCTTGGTAGGACCTTTGGATGAAAAGACAGATATACTCCCTTCCTTTATAGAGAAATCGTCTACCAGGGAAAAGAGATGTCTAGAAAAGAATAATCCCAAACACAATAAACACTGTGAAATGAAAATGCAAAGAGTGGGGAATCATATAATGAAGGGGCTTAAAAAAGGCTTCCCTGGTTCTTCAAAGAGTATTGATGTGGCAACAGAAGAGCTGGGACCAGGGGTAGAGTATTCCTGAGAGAGCAAATGGAATAGGCAAAGAAATAGTGGGAAATAGTGGGGTACACTTGAGGCAAAAAGCCCAGGGGAGCTGAACACTGAATATAAGGAGGAGAGGGATGCCAAGAAGTGAGACTGGAAAGCAAGATGACACTGGACCCGGGGAGCCCTTGCAAATCATGGCACGGATTCAGGTCCATACTCTAAGAGCAAGAGGAAGCCCCTTTAAGCAATAGAATGACAATCAGACCAGGGTTCTAAGAAGACCGTATTGGCGGATGATTTGGTATGGCTGAAATACAGAGTGAGGAAGGGAAGTGGCAAGAGATAACACTGAAGAAATTTACTGGGGCCAGGTTATATAGGGAAAGACCTAGAAAAGTTCTTCTCTCCTTCATTTTTCTAAAAAGAAAAAGAAAAAAATAGACAATCCAACATGCACTAAGGAAAATATCATCTGTCTTGGGAAGCGTCACTTCCTTTCCCACTAACTTTATTCTCTTGGCCAACAAGCTGAAAGTTACCATTTTATCTTATTCATAGCTGTACAGTAACTGCCAACATAGGGGTCCCATACACTAGTGCTTCTCACACTTACTTGAATGTGCATAAGAATCCCCTGGTGACCCTATTAAGTTGAAAATTCCTTTTTTTTTTTTAAGACAGAGTCTCACTCTGTTGCCCAGGCTTGAGTACACTGGCATGATCTTGGCTCACTGCAGCCTCTGCCTCCCAGGTTCAAGCAATTCTCCTGCCTCAGCCTCCCAAGTAGCTGGGATTACTGGCATGCGCCACCACACTCGGCTAAGTTTTGTATTTTTAGTAGAGACAGGGTTTCACCACGTTGCCCAGGCTGGTCTCAAACTCCTGACCTCAAGTGATCTGCCTGCCTCGGCCTCCTAAAGTGCTGGGATTAGAGGTGAGCCACAGTACCCGGCCGAGTTGCAGATTCTTCAGCAGTAGTACACTGGTCCGGGACACGGTCTGAGATTCTGCATTTCTAACATGTTCCCAGGTAATACCTATGATGCTGGTCCATGAGCCACACTTAGAATAGAATAGCAAGGTAATATACAGTTCTAGAGCTAAACAGAAGATCTCCGGGCTTTCTGGACATAAACATAATAGCAGAGTTAAAACTACAAAATAAGCAAACAGAACCAGCCTCTGTTTACTTCGCTGCTTTCTGTCAGATAACTTGGATGTGGCATTGTCTTTCCAGAAAGTGACTTTAGGAGGTGTTCAGTGTGTAACTTCACTGAAGCAATTCAACTCCAACAATACTCCTCTGGGAGGCATAAGGTGAGACGCCTTCTGGCTATGACCCTACACCACAGTGACACCTGCTGGTGAATTGATGGATTACATTTTGAGCACATTTCTATAAGCAGGCTTTGAGAATAATTGTCTTGGGAGCCGACTTTTTCACAATTAAAACTGCCTGAAGTGCATCTTCTAGCTGTAAAAGGAACTTTTAAAAATAAGGCATCTGAAATGCCTTGATAAGAGTTAAGATCTGAGCAATGGTATGCTGATATATGTTTAGCAACCAGCTGTCCAGGAAAAAGAAATATATGTGTGTGTGTGTGTGTGTGTGTGTGTGTGTGTGTATCTTATACATTTTACTGATATAAAAGATTGCAGCACAGTAATGAAATGTACAACATATTTTATTATAAATTCTATATAGAAATTGACTCACAGAATGGCTATGCTTATTTTTACCAAACTTTGGTGTTGATTGCTAACCCATAATTGCAATTCAATCATGTTTTGACAAACAGACTATGAATAAGTACCTAATTAGCATGGAATTTGGCAATGAAGCCACTCAAGTCATTGATGACATGAATGTAATTCTGACATGAATGTTGGTTGATATTTAATGAATAAGGCAACAGTGAAACAACAAAGATATATGTTAGAACTTCACTCATTCATCAGTGACATAAACATAACTTTTCTTTAGAACTGGATAATACAATCGACTTTTGACTAATGTAGGGGTTAGGGGTGCCAAACCTGGGCATAGTTGAAAATCTGCCTATAACTTTTGACTCCCCAAAAACTTAACTACTAATAGGCTACTGCTGACTGGGAGCCTTACCAATAACATAAACAGCCAATTCACACATATTTTGTATGTTACATGTATTATATCCTGTATTCTTATAGAAAAGTCAGCTAGAAAAAGAAAATTAAGAAAATCATCAAAAAGAGAAAATATATTTACTATTTATTAAGTGGAAGTGAATCATCATAAAGGTCTTCATCCTCATGATCTTCATGCTGAACAGGCTGAAGAGGAGGAGGAATAAGAGGGGTTGGTCTTGCTATATGGGGGTGGTAGAAGCAGAAGAGATGGAGGAGGAGGCAGGAGAGGCAGGCACACCGGTGTAACTTTTTTTTTAATCCACGTATAAGTGGACTCGGGCAGTTCAAACGCATGTTGTTCAAAGGTCAACTGTCGTGTTGAATACTGAAAGACTATTTCTTCAATTTCTGTGTTATTCACAATGTAGTTACAGACACGACACAATTTTAAATTTAACCCACATTATTAACGTTTCTCTATCATTTTTTAAAGTCTAGATAGTCAACAAAATGATAAATCCTGCCCTGCTTTGTAGCATTTTTTAACTTCCTAGTTACAAATACTCCCATCATGACTGGCTTCAAGCTACGAGTGTGAAATCACTGAAAGTGGAGTTGGGCAGGGGCACCCCACCCTAAGGCATTTCCACCATATATATGAAACAGAGAGAAATAACCTCCAGAGGATAGGTACTGGAAAATTATAATACATCACTGGGAAGTGGTGAATTTTGAGTATTTTTAACCTTTGTTTTTAATATTATTTATTTGATTGTAAGTTTATGTAATTTAATTTTTTAATAGTGGCTGTTTTTAACAACCAGCTCGCACATCTTTTAAAAGTTTAACAACTGGGTCTCATAAGCTAGTAGGAGCCAGTTCCAGGAAACCACTGGGTCTGTTGGATTGAGGGGAGGTTTGGAGATAACATAAAAAGGTATTCAGAAAGCCTGGGAGGACATGCTGGGGATTTCACCCTGAAAAAGGTTTATGCCAGCTCTTGGCCAGGTCAGCAAAAAATGGCAGATGAAGTCATGGAATTGCAGTGGAATATAGAGCACAATTCCTGATATGGAGAACTGTTCCTGATAGTGAGAAAGGAACTGAAGTTGTCCTGCCCAAGAGTAGACATTAGCAGGAACATTGAAGGGCCAAGGCATGAGGGCCAAGGCAATAACAAGGTTACCAAAAGGGGAGAGACAGGGAGGGAAGAGAGAATCCTGGCCTGTCTCTCTTCTGAATCACCTATGCCACTGAACAGGCTCCTGTTTGACAATAGGGTAACCAGAATATTAGGGGAAAACAAAAGGTTAGCAAAGATGTTCTGCCCACAGTGCACATTCACCAGGAGTGAAGAGAGTGAAAGAATAAGGAAGACATTTACTCCTGAACTCTACCGCTAACCTAGACCTCCTCTAAAGAAAGATAGGATGATGAAGCCTCTGCCTTTGGTTTGATGTGAGTGCTGAGTCTTACTCTACTTACTCCCCACCTAAAGGGAAAAGTGGCTACATTTATTTAATTAGGATCTTGCTGTTTTAAAACCGGAAAAATCTATAGATCAATAAACCAGGAAGAGATTTTTTAAATCATCTAATCTAGTCCTCACATTTCACAAATAATTATAAACATTGACATTTCTGCACTCAGGAAGATGGAAAAGTACTTCTCCATAGTCCTTCTGAAAAGTACAGCTTTTTATCCTTCATATTATAAATGTAGTAGACTGACTAAGGAACTCAGTATTCAAAGAATGGCAAAGTGGCAAGTACCCTGGGTTTTCTTTTTGCCTAATACACATCAGAGTTGGAGCTGAAGAGGCAGGCAACTAGGAAAGGCCAAAGAACTAGGAAATGGACAGCCTAGCAAGATAGAAAGCTGGTAGATAATAACCCCTCTACTCTCACCAACAACCACAGAAATGAAAACCAGAAATGAAAGAGGGGACATTACTACCAATTTTACAGAAACCAAAGGAATGTAAAAGAGTACTATGAACAATTGTATGCCAACAAATTGGTAACCTAGATGAGATGGATGAATTCCTAGAAATATACAACCTGTCAACATTGAATCATGAAGAAACAGAAAATCCAAATAAGTTTACTAGGGCTGTCGTAACAAAATACTACCGACTTATTGCTTAAACAATGGAAAATTATGTTTCCACAGTTCTAGAGGCTGGAAGTCCAAGATCAAGTTGTCTGAAGGTTTGGTTTCTTCCAAGATCTATGGCCACATGCAGATGGCCACATTCTCACTTTGTTCTCACTCGGTCTTTCCTTTCTGTCTTTTTTGATGAGGAAGGAATACTTCCAAACTCATTCTATGAAGCCAGCCTTACCCTGATACCAAAGCACACAAATATCTGTTGTCTCTGTCCATGTCCTAATCTCTTCTTATAAAGACACATATTAGATTAGGGCCACCCCTAAAATCTCATTTTAATTGACTACTGCTTTAAAAGTCCTATCTCCAAATATAGTCACATTTTGAGGTAGTGGAGGTTAGGGCTTCAATATGTGAATCGCAGTGGTGGGACACAATTCAGGCCATAACAACCTATAACTAGTAGGGATAGTGAATCGGAAATCAGAAACCTCCCAACAACCTTCTAGATGACATCACTGGTGAATTCTACCCAATTTTTTTTTTTAATTAACACCAACACTTCTCAAACTCTTCTAAAATGTAAAAGAGGGAGAAGCACTTCCAAACTCATTCTATGAGGCCAGACTTACCCTAATCCTAAAGCCAGACAAAGACATTATAGATAAGAAAACTTGCCACTTGCCATTGGCTAGTAACAAGATCCCCCCTCCTACAGTGTCAATGGAGACCACATGAAAAGTGTGGACTTCCACTTCTATAGGCAAAAATGAAACACCCTTTCTCCTGGCTGGAGAGGTTTTAGAAGAGGTCTAATGAAGAGTCATGATGTTCACCATTGCCCAGCAGCAATGAAATCACCCCCATTGCAGTATCAGTAGAGACCATATGGGAAGCTGAACTTCCACAGACACTGCCCATCAGTAGTGAAGAGTTCCCTCCTCGGGTGTCATCAAAAGCCAAGTGAGGTGTCAGTATTTCACCTCCAATTGGCAGAAATGATGCAGTACACACTTCCCCTTCTCCTGGAGCAGTGGCAGGAAAAGCAGCTAAAACAAAAGGCTTAAATAAGACCCATATCTTATTCTTGCTTCAACAACACAAATAATAAAATTGGAATGATACAGAGATTACTATGGCCACTGCATGAGGATGTCGTGCAAATTCATGATCAATGAAAAAAAGATCAGGATCTCAAAACATAATATTTTAATGACCCAGTTGCAATAAAAAATTATTCATCATACCAAGAACTAAAAATATCTCAAACTAAATGAAAAAAGACAATCAATAGATGCAACTACCACTGAGAGAGATGTTGAAATTTACTGGGAAAAATTTTTAAAGGAGCCATAATTTTTTAATGCTCCAATGAGCTATACAAACATGCTTGAAATAAGTGAAAAAATAGTAAATTTCAACGAAGAGATATAAAGTTTCAAGAAAGAAATAGAAGATATAAAGGAGAATCAAATGGAAATTATAAAACTAAAACATACAACCGTGAGTATAAAAAGCTCATTGAGTAGGCTAACTGTAAGAATGGACGGGAAAGAGGAAAGAATCAGTTATCTGGAAGGTAAAACATTAGACATTGCCCAAATAACAATAGAGAAAATGGATTGAAATAAATGCACACAGCCTCAAGAACCAGTGAGACTGTAACAAAAGATCTACCATTTGTGTATTTGGAACCCTGGAAGGAAACAAGAAAGAAAATGGGGCTAAAAAGTACTCAAAGAAATAATGGATGAAAACTTTCCAAAATTCACAAAAGACAAAAACCTGTAGATTCAAGATGACCAAACAAGTTAAACCGAGAGAAATCCACATCAAGACATATCACATCATGATTAAACTTCTTAAAACTAAAGACAACATCTTGAAAACACCATAGAATAAATGACACCTTACCTATTGAGGAAAAACAGTTCAAATGACAGTTGATTTATCATCAAAAACCACAGTGGCCAATAAGAAATGACATGATATTTTCAAATGCTGAAAGGGAAGAACTATCAACCCAGAATCCTATATCCAACAAAAATATTCTTCAGAGATGAAGGAGAAATCAAGCCATGTTCAGATGAAGGAAAATTAAAATAACTTGTTGCCAGAAAACCTGCTCTAAAAGAATGATTTTTAAAAGCGTTCTTAAAAGGAAGAAAATTATAAAGAATATGCTAAGCAAAAAATGAACAAAAAACCCTCAAGTTTTCTAATTTATGTTTATTAGTTGAAGCACATATTACAACACTGATAAATTTCTAAATGTATGTTGAGGAAATATTTTAAACAATTCTATTATAAGTGGAGAAGGGTAAAGGAATGTAAAAGGAGACATGGTTTCTATATCTCACTCAAGCTGGTAAAATGACAACACCAGCCAATTGTAAAGTTCGTGTATATGTGATGTAATATCTTAAAAAAAACACTTAAAAACAATCAAATAATGCACACACACACATATATACACACACATATATGTAAATGGAAAATCTTTGGTGATAATAATATGTCAGTGTAGATTCATCAGTTGCAAGAAATGTACCACTGTGGTGTTGATAGTGGGGGAATAAAGTCTAGCTACATATGTGTGTGTGTATATATATATATACATGTGTGTGTGTGTGAATTATTAAATTATCAAATTGTACATAAAAAATTGCATCAAATATAAATGGTCTAAATACACTCCCAAAAAAAACCCAGCATATAGGTTTCAAAATATGACCCAACTACACGCTGCCCATAAGAAATTCTCTTAAACTATACTGATATAGGTAAATAGGATATAAAAGGATGTTTAAAAAAAAGATATATCATTTAAACATTAATCAAAGAAAAGCAACATTGGTAATATTGATATGAGATAAAGTAGACTTCAGAGCCAAAAATAGTACCAGAAACAGATAGGGACATTACAGAAAGACAAAAAAAAGTAGTCCACCAAAAAGACATAGTAATCCTAAGTAAGTATGCACCAAACAACAGAGCTACAAAACATATGAAGCAAAAACACATAGAACTGAAAGGAGAAATAGACAAATATACAATTATGTTGAAGTCTTCACTCTTTTCTCAACAGTTGACAGAACAACTAGACAGAAAATATAAAGACTACAGAAGAACACAACACAACATGCCATCAACCAACAGAATCTAATCAATATTTTTAGGGCACTTTTCTCAATAACAGAAGAATACATATTGTTTTTAAGCACTCAGAAAATATATACCAAGATAGGCCATATATCTAGGATCATAAAACAAACCTAAAAATTTTAAAATATTGGAATCATACAAAATGGGTTCAGTGACCACAATGGAATCAAACTGAAAATCAATAACAGAGCACTAAGAGAAAAATATTTGGCGAGGCGCGGTGGCTCACACCTGTAATCCCAGCACTTTGGGAGGCCACGGTGGGCAGATCACTTGAGGTCAGGAGTGCAAACCAGTCTAGCCAACATAGTGAAACCCTGTCTCTACTAAAAATACAAGAATTAGCCGAGGCTGGTGTCACACACCTGTAATCCCAGCTACTTGGGAGGATGAGGCAGGAGAATTGCTTGAACCCAGGAAGCGGAGGTTGCAGTGAGCTGAGATTGCACCACTGCACTCCAGCCTGGACAACAGAGTGAGACTCCATCTCAAAAAAAAAAAAAAAAAGAAAAAGAAAGAAAATATCCAAATACTTGGGAACTGAACAGCACACTTATAATATTTCAGTAAAGAGGAAGGCTCTAAAGAAATAGAAAATATATTGAACTGACAAAAAAACACAACTAAAGCAATACTGAGAGAGGAATTTATAGCACTAAATGTATACATTAAAGGTGGGGGAAAGCCTGAGATAAATAATCCAAATTCTCACCTCAAGAAGCTAGGGAAAAAAAAGAGCAAGATAAATCTAAAGCAAACAGAAGCAAGGAAATAATAAAAATAAGAGTCAAAATCAATGACATTGAAAACAGAAAAACAATAAAGAAAATTAGGCCAGGCTTGGTGGCTAGTGCCTGTAATCCCAACACTTTGGGGAGCCAAGGCAGGAAGATTGCTTGAGCCCAGGAGTTCAAGACCAGCCTGGGCAACATAGCAAGACTCCATCTCTACAAAAAAATCAAAAAAGCCTGGGCATGGTGGCTCATGCCTGTAATCCCAGCATTTTGAGAGGCCAAGGCCTGAGGTCAGGAGTTTGACACCAGCCTGGCCAACATGGTGAAACCCCACTCTACTAAATATACAAAATTAGCCAGGCATGGTGGCATGTCCCTGTAGTCCCAGCTACTTGGGAGGCTGAGGCAAGAGAATTGCTTGAACCCGGGAGGTGGAGGCTGCAGTGAGCTGAGATCACACCACTGCAACTCCAGCCTGGGAGACAGAAAGAGAGACTTTGTCTCAAAAAAAAATTAAAAAATTAAAAAATTAGCCAGGTGTGATGGCTCACACCTGTGGGCTCAGCTACACAGGAGGCTGAGGCAGGAGGATCACTCAAGCCCAGGAAGTTGAGGCTGCAGTGAGCTGTGTTTGTACCACTGCACTCCAGCCTATCTGACAGAGCAAGACCCTGTCCCCCCACAAAAAAAGAAAACTGACAAATCTGTAGCAAGACTGACCAAAGGGAAAAAATATTGCAACAAAGGACTAGTATTAGAATATATAAAGAACTCTCAAAACTTAACAGTAAAAAAAAAAAAAATCCAATTAGAATATGAGCTCAAGACATGACAAGGTATTTCACAGAAGATATACAGACAGCATAAAACCCATGAAAAGATGTTCAATCTTATTAGCCATTAGGAAAATGTGAATTAAAACCACAATTAGATAATCACTACACATGTATCAGGATGGCCAAAACTAAAACTAGTGACAACACTAAATGCTGGTGAAGAAGCAGAAAAACTGGATCACTCAAACATTGTTAGTAGGAATGTTACAGCCAAGCTAAAAACCATTTGCCAATGTCTTTAAAAACTAAATGTGCAGTTACCGTATGACTCAGCAATTCTACCTCTAGTCACTTATCCTAAAGAAAACTGGCCAGGCACAGTGGCTCACACCTGTAAAGCCAGCACTTTGGGATGCCGAGGCGGGCAGATCACCTAAGATCAGGAGTTTGAGACCAGCCTGGCCAACACGGTGAAACTCCATCTCTATTAAAAATACAGAATATTAGCCGGGTGTGGTGTCGCATGCCTGTAATCCCAGCTACTCGGGAGGCTGAGGCAGGAGAATCGCTTGAACCTAGGCGGCAGAGGTTGCAGGCAGTGAGCCAAGATCGCGCCACTGCACTCCAGCCTGGGCGACAGAGCAAGACTCCGTCTAAGAAAAAAAAAAAAAAGGAAAAGAAAACTTACTTTCACGCAAAAACCTATATCAAGTTTAATTTTAAAATATTTAGTTTACTTCTCAAGGGTTCCACAAGTGTGTACAGACAGACACAGGACCAGATCTCTGTCCTGACCTCTGTCCTTCACTACATATCTGTCCATCATGTCTGGAATGGTGTTAAAATTTTATCTTCATCTGATGGATACTGATTGCTCAAAGTTCTGTGCTGAGAAGGTTTCTAAGGCCTTGGGATTCTAAAATTAGCAGGAAAAGCTTTCACAATTGATTACAGGTGTCTGCCATGAATGTAACCGGCAAGAAATGCGATAGACAAGCTTAATATTGGCCAATCCTAAATTGAAATGTACTGCCTCTCCAATTACAGAATATTCAAACCAAAAGAGATATTAGCAATTACCATGTACACAACCCCTTTATTATACTGATGAGGAAAAGCGAAGCAAAGTAAGAGAGATCCAGACCCCAAGTTTACTATCTCACTTGTCCATCCTTGCTTTTAGAGGTAATTGACTAGGTATTTCAAGTCAGTGAGTTTTTTTCTGAAAGGATTTTACTTGTTCAGTTATTTTTTACAAACAGCTTCTTGATGCTAGAGGTTTCCTAGAAAAATGGGAGATGAACATTCTAGAAGAGAAAATATCCAACTTCAATATTTGGAGCAGAAACTCACACACGTCTTCTTGAAAGTCAAGCTAACATTTGCTAAGGATATCTTGTCTTATTTTAAGAAGTACATGTGTTCTCCTCTCATATGGCAGAAAGTGGTAGAGAGACATAATATGGGGTGTTAGGACCCCCAACCCACACTTCCTTGTGGGGACCTCCAAACCCCCACTTCCCTTTGCCTATGCAAATCATTACCCCATTGTGTTAGGAATTCCCAGAGTCTTTTCAGCCTTCCAAAACTAACAGCTTCCATTTTTCCGTTAGTTCGTTTGTCTTGTTAATATCAAAGAGATCCCTAAGAATGAATAAATGGAGTAAAATTAAAATTTCCAGGGGTAATCACACTCCTGAGAGTTTCCCCTATGCATGTTAAAATAAGTTTTGTGTGCCTTTTTCTCCTATTTAAAAAAATGTCAAGTCTGGATACGCTTATGTTTTTAAAAGAGGGAAAGAAGCCAGCTTCTTAAATCCTTCACTCCTAAGAACAAGCTGTGCTCAGAGATGTGAATTCATTACTGGCTACTTTGGTTCTGTGCGCCTTGAGACCTTACTGTCTGAAGCCTTGCTGCCACCTCCCTGAATAACCACGTATCGATGGTTAATGAATATATAAAGATTTGAGGATCTGACTGGTGTAAGCAGGACTGACACTTGATCTTTTGAGTGAAACTTGTGATAACAGCTCACAGAGCCCCCTCTGAAAGCTCTCCATGGCCTTTTCTGCTGCCAGCATCCTGCCTTATCAGCAGGCACCAAAAGCTTCAAATTACAGCAGCTAATTGGATGAAAACGGAAATGCATCCTTCTAATGGAGTGAGATTAATGCCCTGATCTTCTTCCTTCACTTGCTGAGGGAAAACAAAAACACAGACGAAGGTTGTGATACAGAAAAGGAAATTAGCTTGCTTCAGAGCCACAGAGTAGACGTTCCAGCTAAAATCTAAGGTGACTAAAGACACATATCAAAAGGACAGAAAACAACCCAAGATGGCAATTTCCAAATTATTTAAGAGGCAACTTGCCGAATCCCTTGCTCAGTAAAAGTTAACAGGAGGATTTACCTTTGTACACGGATAAGTCACTTGTGCCTAAAGGTAATTTCATTTATGGCTTGATTTTATGACATTTTTATAACTGTGACACCCTACATGGGTCCCAGGAATAAACAGAGCTGAATAATAAGAGAAATCAAAATAAAGATTGAATGTGAAATTGTCTAATGCAACTGAGACGGTGATATAGCCAACAGGGCATATTTTTATGAGCATTCTGTTGCTCCAGTAGATTTCTTATGGACTAAAATTGTTTGCATTAAAAACACATTTGCAGTTGGTTCAGGAGAGAGGACTTGGATGACATCAACCTATTTTATCTCAAGAATTGCAATTAAAAAATGTATGCAGAGTAATTTCATCTTTTTATTAAATTACCCTGAAAAAAAGAGCAATGCTACTATAGGGTGATTCAGACACTAAAATTCAAAAGAGCTCGAGAGTGAGAGACATTGAATTTACACGATTTAAAACACAGGTCTGCCATCAATGCCCTGGGTGATTTTCTTATGACAATTAATCACCACATGTGGTATATTTTACTTTTTTTTTTTTTTTTTTTTGAGTCAGAGTCTCACTCTGTCACCCAGGCTGGAGTGTAATGGCACAATCTCAGCTTATTGCAACCTCCACCTCCCGGGTTCAAGTGATTTTCGTGCCTCAGCCTCCCAAGTGGCAGGGATTATAGGCGCCTGCCACCACGCCCAGCTAATGTTTGTATTTTTAGTAGAGACAGGGTTTCACCATGTTGACCAGGCTGGTTTCAAACTCCTGACGTCAAGTGATCCGCCCACGTAGGCCTCCCAAACTGCTGGGATTATGGCTTTTTAAATATGTTTTTATACTCCATTTGCAAGGGATGAAATGTGTGAGTGCCTTAAGGAGGTACCAGCATGATGGCAGGAGGAACAATGGGGCGTGGAAAGAGGAAAGAAGACAGTAAAGCAGCTACAGAAGTTGGTATTTATTACTTTTTTTTTTTTTTTTGAGATGGAGTTTCGCTCTTGTTGCCCAGGCTGGAGTGCAACGGGGTGATCTTGGCTCACCACGACCTCTGCCTCCTGGGTTCAAGTGATTCTCCTGCCTCAGCCTCCCAAGTAGCTGGGATTACAGGTGCCTGCCACCACGCCCAGCTAATTCTGTATTTTTATTAGAGATGGGGTTTCTCCATGTTGGTCAGGCTGGTCTTGAACGCCCATCTTCAGGTGATCCACCCTCCTCAGCCTCCCAAAGTGCTGGGATTACAGGCGTGAGCCACCGTGCCTGGCCCTACATTTTTAAATTATAGCCACTGAGTGCAGTGGAAAGAAAAAAAAAAAAAAAACTCTGTGAGAGGCATTCAAACTGCCTAATTGTGAGCTAAATTTCCTTAGAATTTAAACCTAACTGCTTTGCATAAACTTCTAGATCAACAGATGTCCATCCTCTTCTATTATCTGAGGGTTTGGTTTACACTGTCAGCCAACAAACCCTTCTCTATTAAGCACCAATTACAGGTTGAGCTTTAGATTACATGCTTCATGAATGACCAGTGTGGAATAAATATAATTATCAGATAACATGAAAAATATACCAGGCCCATAACTAACCACTGCTGCCTCTCCATTTTATGTTGTCAGCAAAAGGACCACTAATTGTTTCCTTTGGAATCATTCTGTTTCTTTTCAGAGCTTATTGCAGAATTATCATAAACTTTGCTCTCAATCTGGACACTACCCCTTGTTTTCTGCATACATTTGGATGTTACTCGATATTCCACATCTGTTTTTCAATCTGCAGAAATCAGAGGTATAATGTTTCCATCTTACAAAGTTGTTTTGAGGCTCAAGTCACATCAGGGCCATAAGTAAAAATGTTTGGAACATATATTGAGCTATAGAGAATGCAAAGAAAGACATGAGCCCCCAGGATAAAATAATCTAGTAGGTGAGATACAATCTGGGCTTATTCTAAGGCATCATATGAACAAACATAATATAAATATAGAGAACAGAGACAGCCCATGTGAATGTCACAGTTATTCAAAGCAAGCAAAGAATCATCATGAGGTAGATTAGTCAGAGAAAACTTCTATGAAGTTTTAGTCCCTGAAGGAAATATAATTTCTCCATAAAATCAAAAATTATAATACACTATTGGCATTTGTTAGGAATATGGATCTCCAAAGTGCCTTTTGAATGCTTTACCCAACTCTCTGACACTTAGCAATACAGCCTATGCTTCAAAATATATCCAGGTGCTCCTTCTCCTGCGCCTGTCACCATCCGCACAAAAACAAGAGAACCGCTCCAGGTTCTTCCAATCCCTAAAAAAAACAAGCATCTCCACCTTGATCCCCGCAATCAACACTCTGAGCTGACACTTAGCTTCCTTTTCTGGAAGTGTTAATGAAAAAAGCCTGCACTGTTTGGTTGTATTTTCTCTGATCATTTATTTTATTCCCTTTTAAAGTACCATAGGTTCTGCAAATACTGTTTGTAGCTATATATTATGTCTACATGTCCACCACCAGCAGTAAGACTTGACAAATTATCTAAATTAATTATCCAGACTTGGCTTTGGTTACTATTTCAAAACACGATGCATTGAATTTGAGGCATTGGCACATGAAAATATTACTCATGCTTGTTGCTAATTTTAAATGAGAAAATGTTTTAAATTCAGACATATATTCAAGTACACTTTATTTACTCATGGGCAGGTTTTTAATTAAGGCAAAACAGGCTACTTAACATAAACCATGAACTGGCAATAGAAGTATAGGCAGAATTCAAAGTCATAAATTCATTCATTGATGGATTCTGCCGGGCACTGAGCTAGGCATTAGGGATGTATAGAGAAAAGGATACCACCTGACCTTCAAGGAACTCAGTCTGCAGGAGACAAATATGTAAACGGATTCTAAAACTTACAATGTAATACATTCTTTTACAGACGATGCAGGATTGATTTTTCCTTCACCTCCTGATGCCAGGTGCATACCAGACTAACATAAGAGAAGACAAAGGAGACAGATGATATTTTAAAAAGACAATGTAGTGGCCAGGTGTGGTGGCTCACACCTGTAATCCCAGCACTTTGGGAGGCCAAGGTGGGTGGATCACTCAAGGTCAGGAGTTCGAGACTAGCCTGGCCAACATGGTGAAACTTGGTCTCTACTAAAAATGCAAAAATTAGCCAGACCTGGTGGTGGGCACCTGTAATCTCAGCCACTCGGGAGGCTGAAGCAGGAGAATTCCTTGAACTCTGGAGGTGGAGGTTGCAGTGAGCCGAGATCTGCTTTCCAACCTCGGTGACAGAGCAAGACTCTGCCTCAAAAAAAAAAAAAAAAAAGGCCATCTACAGAAAATGCCTCTGTTATTGCAGATGAATGCTACATAGTCCAGAACATTGGAGACAAGGAACATACTGTCTCAGAACCAGTGAAGGAAACTGAAGAAAGAAAAACTAATAAAATGTGGCAGAAGAGTCACTCCCAATTGATGATGAGTGAAAATAATGAGTCCACCTCCTCATTAAAACTCTCAAAGAGCCAGAATGTAGAATTTCAACCAAAAAAAAAGTCAGAGTGTTAGGTGTGTCCTTCCTTTTTCCTTGTAGGTGTGTGGATGTGCACACATGAAAGTGTATATGTGTGAGTTAACCGGGTAACTGTTGAGACCATGTAGGGAATGGGTTGTACCACTTCCTCCTTTTCCACATTGGTGTATAACCTGGTAATTACACAGGAGAAATACAAATATGTAATGAAAGAAGAAGAGTAATAGCCTTTGGGGATATTAGGGCAGGCTTTACTGAGAAAATAATTTGAAGTGAGTCCTGAAGAAAAAACAGGAATCATTTATGTCCTGATATTCCTGGCAGAGGAAATAAAACAGAGTCTACAAAGATTTAGAGGTATGAAGGGAGCATGGAGTGTTTAGGGAACAGGCAAGTAGTTTGGTGCAGGCAGAGCACAGGGGCACATGAATGGAGAGAAGGAGGTGAGCCTAGGAATTCAGACAAGGGCTATATCAGAAAGTATTTATCCTAGAAGTGATGAGTGGCTCTTAAAGAATATTGAGCTAGAGAGTGTTTCGTTTATATGAGAAAAAAACCTAAAATAAGCAGCATATAAAGGTTACACCACATAAATACATTGGAAAAAGACTGTATGAACTTCATCTGAGCTGAGAGCCAAAGGATGTGGACTTGACCTCGGAGGAGATCCGTGGAGCCTAATGTATGGAGCGTGCATCTAGAGAAGCCTCATGGAAAGGAGTAGTTCCGTGTCAAGGGTCTTACCCGTTGTATTGGCTACCAGTGCCAGATAGCTGTAGGAGTCAAGCCAGAGGCCACAGACATTTTTCCCCATTCATGAATGTAGCCCTTTTCCTGGGCAAGTAGCCATGCAAGCTCCTCTTCTCCTTGCTTTTTTCACAAGTGCCTTAAAAAAATTTTTTTTGATAGTTTTGGGGGAACAGGTGGCTTTTTGTTACATAGATAAGTTCTTTAGTAGTAATTTCTGAGATTTTGGTGCACCCATCACCTGACCAGCGTACGCTGTACCCAGTGTGTAGTCTTTTATCCTTCACACCCCTCCTACCCTTCGCACTAAGACCCCAAAGTCCATTGTATCATTCTTATGCCTTTGCATCCTCATAGCTTAGCTCTCACTTGTAAGTGAGAACATACGATGTTTGGTTTTCCACTCCTGAGTTACTTCACTTAGGATAATGGTCTCCAACTCCATACAAGCAGCTGCAAATGCCATTATTTGGTTCCTTTTTATGGCTGAGTAGTAGTCCATGGTGTATATGTACCATATTTTCTTTATCCACTCATTGGTCGATGGGCATTTAGGCTAGTTCCATATTTTTGCAATTGTGAATTGTTCTGCCATAAACATGCATGTACAAGTATCTTTTTCATATAATGACGTCTTTTCCTTTGGGCAGATACCCAATAGCGGGATTGCTGGATCAAATGGTAGATCTACTTTCAGTTCTTTAAGGAATCTCCGTGCTGTTTTCCATAGTAGTTGTACTAGTTTACATTCCCACCAGCAGGGTAAAAGTGTTCCTTTTTCACCACACCCCCATTAACATCTAATTTTTTTAATTTTTAAATTATGGTAAAAATTATGGACATTCTTACAGGAGTAAGGTGGTATCTCATTATAGCTTTAATTTGCATTTCCCTGATATTTAGTTATGTTGAGCATTTTTTCATATGTTTGTTGGCCATTTATATATCTTTGTTTGAGAATTGTCTATTCATGTTTTCTGCCCACTTTTTGATGAGTTCCTTGTAGATTCTGGATATTAGTCCTTTGTCAGATACATAGTTTGCAAGTATTTTCTACTATTCTCTGGGTCGTCTGTTTCCTCTGCTGATTATTTCCTTTGCTGTGCAGAAGCTTTTTATTAACAGCTTCTTGCATATTGACTGTGGATCATCTGTAAGAGAGATTCATCTTGGCTGAAGGTATGTTGAGCCCCATCTGAAATGACCCACATCCTTTTCCCAGGCCCTGTCTTCTCCCTGAAACAGAGGGTGGTGTCCTTGACACCCTAAGGGACAAGGATGAGTGGATGTGAAAATCCACGGCCAGCTCCTGAACTTGGTAAGACTAGATTGTGGTGAGTTAGACCCTGCACAAAAATAGTAGCAGAAGGAAGGGACAGATGTGAATATATTAAGGAAGTGGACTATTGAGTGGGATTGATTGACATGGGAAGAGGAGGCAAGAAAGAAATACAGGATGATTCTCAGACATACAATTTTAATGATAGAAAAAGATCCTGATTTCCATTGTTTTAAGGTCAAGGGGCTTGCATGCATCTAAGTCAAGTTTCCCAGTGGAAAATTGATCATATATATATTTGCATCAAGATTAGAAACATGGCTTTGAAGAGAAAAAAATGTTTGGTGTCAGAAAGGAGAGATCAGTGATTGCCTTGGGCCAGGAAAAGGGGAGTATTGACTGCAAAGAGAAACTAAGGGACCTATTGGGGTGGATGAACGTTCTAAATGTTAATTGTGGTGGTATAAATACATTTATATACATTTGAAAAAATTCACTAAATGTGAAATGGGTGCACTGTGTTTTATATAATTATAATGCAACAAAGTTCTTTATTTTTATTTTTATTTTTTGGGACAGAGTCTCACTCTGTTGCCCAGGCTGGAGTGCAGTGGCACGATCTCGGCTCACTGCCCACTGCAACCTGCCTCAGCCTCCCGAGTACCTGGGATTACAGGTGTGCACCGCCACACCCGGCTAGTTTTTGTTTTCTTAGTAGAGACAGGGTTTCACCATGTTGGCCAGGCTGGTCACAAACTCCTGACCTCAGGTGATCCACCCACCTCATCCTCCCAAAAGTGCTGGGGTTACAGGCACGAGCCACTGCACCAGGCCTAAAGCTCATTTTTAAATATGTTTTAAAGTCATAAGTGTACGCTATAGTTTGGATGTTTGATCCCTCCAAACCTTATGTTGAAATTTGGTCCCCAGTGTTGGAGGTGAGGCCTAATGAAAGGGGTTTGGTCATAGGAGCAGATCTCTCATGATAGATTAATGCCCTTCCTGGTGATGGGGAGTCGGCGGGGGGCAGGGGGTGTGAGTGAGTTCTTGCTCTATTATTCTCAAGAGCTGGTTGTTAAAAAAGAGCCCTGCACCTCCTGCCCTAACCTCTTCCTCCCTTGCCATGTGATCTCCACATGCACCAGCACCACTTCCTCTTCCACCAAGAGTGGAAGCAGCCTAAAGCCTTCATTATATGCAGATGCTGGCACCATGCTTCTTGTACAGCCTGAAGAACTGTGAGCCAAATAAACCTCTTACCCAGCCTCCGATATTTCTTTGTAGCAACACAAAAGGACTAAAACAGTAAATTGAAACAGATGAGAGTGGAAAACATAAAACAGGCAAGACAGATGAGAAACATTACAGAGTGAGATAAAAAAAAAGGATAGAGGCTATAACTGTATATAACAGGTAGAAGATAAAAACTAGCAAAGTCATTAGCCAGTGGTTAGCCATGACAGAATTATATCATTTTAAAGCTGTTTGGGAATTTATATGTCATCTAGTTTCACTTCATTCTACATGTGAAGGAGCTGGGGTTCACATTGAGACAAAATCTTTTGCTCAAGGTCATAAAGATTTAATAACAAAGACAAAACTAGATATAAGCCAGGACTCCCAGGCCTGGGATGGCTGTGTGTTGAACGGCTCTGTCAATGGGACCAAGTTGTAAATGACACTTTACACAAAAAGAAACCCCTCTTGTGTCCTGCTGAGGGTGAAGCCACAGTCACTGCTTTCTGTGTCTAGTATTCATCAAATAGCCATGAAATTTCACACGCTTACAAAAAGCCTTAGAAAGCAAAACCACCTTATGAGGAAGAAGAGGTGTTCCTGGCTGTCACTACGTGAGATTTTGGAGTTAGAAACAAAATGTGCACCACTCAGCCGGAGAATGAAGGGGCCACTTTTCTGTTACACAAATACCTTAAACGGGGCTTTATTTCCCCGTGCAATGATGCATTTCTTCACATTGCACAGGCACTTTCTGACAAATCAGATAAATGAATATGTCCACAGGCTAGTGAAAATTAAGAAAGTGTGGAGAAGTTATTTAACAATGTATCAAGCCAAGTATCCCATTTTTATTTTTGATTCTTTTTTTTTAAATGAACCCACATAAGTGTATTTTCACTTATAATGAGAAAGACAAAAAGTTGACTTCATCCGTGAATATCTAACAGATGGAACCAGAGACATCTAGGGGAGAGGAAATAGAGACAAATATGGTTGTCATGGTTTCTTTGAGAGGCAGTAAACAAAGGGACACGAATGGACAATGAAAGCCCCCATTGGGAAAAGCCACATGTCTCTCTTTTCTTTGTTAGATAATTGCCAAGCTCACTTTGAATGTCGGGACTTGGCAGGACATGAGAGAATAGAGATACTGTCATTCACCCATGGCTATCCTCATATCAGATTACCCTGGGACCACCCTATCCTCCTCTACAACAGACATCAAACAATTAATGACCACCTCAGATTAATCAATTATCCCAGTGGGCAGTGCCCTGAGGACATATGGGACACATGTAAACATGAGAGAAGCTGTGCACAGCCTGAGACCAAGTTTTCTGTTTAATTGGGAAGCAGCATGCCCATAAGAGGAGAGCAACATTTCGAAAGCTTTGTAAATCCTGTTGAACACATTCAGGTTTGTAGTCCCCAGTGTCACTTTCCAGCCATCTCCAAATTGATCTAAACTCAACTCCACCATATTCTGGTTAATACATGAATGGTGCAATACTTGATAAATCTTCATTGTTGAATGTTTCCCTGTAATTTGCTTGCAGGGGTGTTAGACAAAGAGGGAATGGAAGCAGACAGGGATCCCTTCCCAACATCTTTTATGAGAGTAAAATTAAAGCCCAGTGCAATGAAGACTGTGCCTACATGATGTCAAACAGGCAAATGTTGGAAACAGTCAGTTTGGCTGAACTCACGCATGTTTTGTCTGGAGATTCTGATCAAGTTGACACAGACTAAAAGTCTTTTCCAAGGTCATCCTAGAGGCTGCCAGCACTGAGATCACTGCAGAAACCCCGGAGTTCTACAGCCATCCCCCTCCTTGCTATTGCCAAAACAGATTCTTTCTCGTCTGCACAAGATTAGAAGTTGTTTTCTCCTTGTTTTTCGTGCCCTTCATGAATGACCCCTTAAGTTTGCTAAAGGATTGTGCAACTTCAACAGAGCCCCTGTGAGGACATGGGGAATGTGGTTGTGTTGAGCAATCACTAGTTTTGGGGTGCTTGGCGGTGAGATCTGGCACCTGAGCCAGCTGCAGTCAGAGGGAGAAAGTGTGGCTTCACCTTGGCTCGGTGACATGCCCTCAGAAGCCAAGAAATCACTGAGCAATTTTTAGGTTGTTAGAATTTATCTCTCTCCTGATTCTGTCCCAAAAGCCCAAAGCTTGCAACATCTTATTTCCTGTTTGGGGATTTCCTGAAATCAAAACTAAGACTTTGGCCTCGGTAAAGAAACCAATAGAAAGCCTCTTTTTCTGGAATTATGCTGTGTGCATCAGCTCCACTGTACAATTCTGCTTCACCAACTTAACACTATTTTTATATCTCCTCAGAAAGTGCATTTTTTACTCTCTTTCTTCATTATCCATACAGCTCTGTTACTTGTTATTGTCATCCCCCTCACCTCCCGCCGACTTTTTGAAAATTTGAAAGCCTCTTATTATAGTAAAATTTGTTTGGTGTGTTGTTGGTGTTTCAAAAGATAGGCAGAATATGAATTTTGGAGAACCACATCATATTTGTCAGGGTTCTTCAGAGAAACAGAACCGATAGGAGATTACATATAGATAAGAAGATTTATTATGGGAATTGGCTCATTCAGTTATGAAGGTCAAGAAGTCCTACCATCTGTTCCACAATCTGGAGAACGAGGAGGGTTGGTGGTGTAATTCCCTGTAAGTCCAAAGGCCCAAGAACCAGAGGAGCTGATGATGTAAGCCCCGGTTTGAGTCTGAGGGCAGTAGGAGGATAATTCCCAATCTGAGACTGAAGGCCCAAGAACCTGGAATAACAATGCATGAAGGCAGAAGATGGATGTTCCAGCTCAAGAATAGAGAGATAATTCGCTCTTCTTGGCCTTTTTGTTCTATCTAACCCCTCTGGATTAAATAATGCCTGTTTTCATTGGCGATCTTTTTTACTCAGTCTACTGAGTCAAATGCTGATCTATTCTGGAAACACTCTCACAGACACACCCAGAAATAATATTTTACCAGCAACCTGAGCATCCCTTAGCCCAGTCAACTTGGCATATAAAATTAACCATCACATGTTATCTTCTATAATTGCAAAAATAAAGGAAATTTTGGATAAGAATCAAATTAAAGAGAATAACAGACTTGACTAATGGCGTCTTTGTTTCTTAGATCTGAGACTTATGTGGGGAGGAGCATAACAAGTAGGGCATGGGGGATGACATCATACGCTATTTTTCTTTGAACTTTATGGTCATTTCCCATAACTATAATCATGGTTTACCATAGCGGCACTTCCGAAATCCCAACAGTACTTTTTTCTGAACTTTCGTTGTTTACACAAATATGTGATCTTTACTTCACAGTCCTTTGTGAGCCTTATTCTGCCAGTACCCACAATGGAGAAATGGAAATACTTTTGGATGCAGAATTACAATGGCACCCTGCAAACAAATCAGGTGAGAGACCACCACACCTAGGCTTTCTTATCAATGGGAGTATCTTTTAAGGCTAACACAGCTGCTGCAGGATTTTCCAAGTGTTTAATACATGCCAACCAGATTATTTATATTCCAATATCAATATTATATCTTCCTTCCTAAAGAAGGGAAAAACAGGCTCACTTATAAGTGCTGACAGAGGCTCCCTTCCACTTGTAAAGAACTCATATTTATATTAAAGGTTATAAGAGTACAACTGGATTTTTCAATATCAATGTGGAAAATGAACAGCTTTTTCAGGAGTATTGCAAAAAAAATTGCAGCAGCCTCCATCGATTGATTTAAATGCTGATCTGTTCTGAAAACTCCCTCACAGACACACCTAAAAATAATGTTTTACCAGCTACCTAGGCATCCCTTAGTCCAGTCAAGATGATATAAAATTAACCATCATGCATTACCATAAACCAACTTGGGTTTGAAATTTGGATCTGCCAATTGTTAGTTATATAAACTGGGATGTTATATTTATATTGATATGTCCTGCTTCATCATCTCAGACAATAACAACACATTTATTTTTTTTTTGGTTTTATTATTATTATACTTTAAGTTTTAGGGTACATGTGCACAATGTGCAGGTTAGTTACATATGTATACATGTGCCATGCTGGTGTGCTGCACCCATTAACTCGTCATTTAGCATTAGGTATATCTCCTAATGCTATCCCTCGCCCCTCCCCCAACGCCACAACAGTCCCCAGAGTGTGATGTTCCCCTTTCTGTGTCCATGTGTTCTCATTGTTCAATTCCCACCTATGAGTAAGAATATGTGGTGTTTGGATTTTTGTTCTTGCGATAGTTTACTGAGAATGATGATTTCCAATTTCATCCATGTCCCTATAAAGGACATGAACTCATCATTTTTTATGGCTGCATAGTATTCCATGGTGTATATGTGCCACATTTTCTTAATCCAGTCTATCATTGTTGGACATTTGGGTTGGTTCCAAGTCTTTGCTATTGTGAATAGAGCCGCAATAAACATACGTGTGCATGTGTCTTTATAGCAGCATGATCTATAGTCATTTGGGTATATACCCAGTAATGGGATGGCTGGGTCAAATGGTATTTCTAGTTCTAGATCCCTGAGGAATCGCCACACTCACTTCCACAATGGTTGAACTAGTTTACAGTCCCACCAACAGTGTAAAAGTGTTCCTATTTCTCCACATCCTCTCCAGCACCTGTTGTTTCCTAACTTTTTAATGATTGCCATTCTAACTGGTGTGAGATGGTATCTCATTGTGGTTTTGATTTGCACTTCTCTGATGGCCAGTGATGGTGAGCATTTTTTCATGTGTTTTTTGGCTGCATAAATGTCTTCTTTTGAGAAGTGTCTGTTCATGTCCTTTGCCCACTTTTTGATGGGGTTGTTTTTTTTTTCTTGTAAATTTGTTGGAGTTCATTGTAGATTCTGGATATTAGCCCTCTGTCAGATGAGTAGGTTGCGAAAATTTTCTCCCATTTTGTAGGTTGCCTGTTCACTCTGATGGTAGTTTATTTTGCTGTGCAGAAGCTCTTTAGTTTAATTAGATCCCATTTGTCAATTTTGGCTTTTGTTGCCATTGCTTTTGGTGTTTTAGACATGAAGTCCTTGCCCATGCCTATGTCCTGAATGGTAATGCGTAGGTTTTCTTCTAGGGTTTTTATGGTTTTAGGTCTAACATTTAAGTCTTTAATCCATCTTGAATTAATTTTTGTATAAGGTGTAAGGAAGGGATCCAGTTTCAGCTTTCTCCATATGGCTAGCCAGTTTTCCCAGCACCATTTATTAAATAGGGAATCCTTTCCCCATTGCTTGTTTTTCTCAGGTTTGTCAAAGATCAGATAGTTGTAGATATGCAGTGTTATTTCTGAGGGCTCTGTTCTGTTCCATTGATCTATATCTCTGTTTTGGTACCAGTACCATGCTGTTTTGGTTACTGTAGCCTTATAGTATAGTTTGACGTCAGGTAGCATGATGCCTCCAGCTTTGTTCTTTTGGCTTAGGATTGACTTGGTGATGCAGGCTCTTTTTTGGTTCCATACGAACTTTAAAGTAGTTTTTTCCAATTCTGTGAAGAAAGTCATTGGTAGCTTGATGGGGATGGCACTGAATCTATAAATTACCTTGGGCAGTATGGTCATTTTCACAATATTGATTCTTCCTACCCACATTTATTTTAATATGAGTGTCTATCTTTCCTATCTCCAAAAGGTTTTGATCTTCTTTTCTAACTATTCTAATAAATCTAAGAATTTTAGGGGCCTATTAGCCCAAGGAGTTGTTCTTGGTTACAGAGAGAAAACTAAAAAAATTAATTGGTACATTAGAAGACCCCATTCTCTACCACCATTATCCTCTTGCAAATATATATATATATATGTATGTGTGTGTGTGTATACATATATGTGTGTATATATATATACATATATATGTGTATATATCTATATTTCTCTCTGTATATACCTCTTAAGTTTTCTTTTGTTTTCCCCTATTCCTTTTCCTCCTATTTTTCTCCTTCTCTTAATTCTCTCAATCCCAAAAATTTGTTGTGCATGCACATACACGTGCACATACACATGCAGAACTACATAAAAAACTGTCCTGTAGACCTAGGTGTTAAAGCCTGAGTCACCACCCCAGACTCTGTTTTCCCAAATAATCTCCACTCATACGCAGCTGGTCTCCTCTCCAACAGGCAGCCTCCATAAGTGTCTCTTTAGTCCATTAGAGATGTTCTAATACTGTTGAACCTCAGAAAAGAAGGGGGTCCATGAACCTAATCATGAGAAGGCAATCAGATAAATCTACATTATGGAATATTCTACAAGACAAGGCTGGGCACAGTGGCTCACACCTGTAATCCCAACACATTGGGAGGCCAAGGCGGGCAGATCACTTGAGTCCAGGAGCTCAAGACCAGCCTAGGCAACATGGCAAAACCTCATCTCTCTATATAAAAAATACAAAAAAATTAGCCAGGTGTTGTGGTGTGTTTCTGTAGTCCCAGCTACCTGGGAGGCTGAGGTGAGAGAATCACCTGAGCCCAGGAGGTCTAGGCTGCAGTGAGCCAGGATGGTGCCATTGCACTCCAGCCTGGGCAACAGAGCAAAACCCTGTCTCAAAAATAAATAATAAATAAATTTTAAAAAGGGATATTCTGTAAGATAAATGTTTTTGACTCTTCAGAAATGTCAGTGTCATAAAAGACCAAAACCACAGTGACACAAAGTAAAACAGGAGAACTGGTCTAGATTAACAGAGGGATGTGTAAAAAATACGTGCAATTCTCAATTGGAAAGAAAAAAGAAATATAGCAAATCATCATGGGGCAATTAGAAAACTGTAAATATGGACTGTGTATTAAATAATAGTATTGTATCAGTGTTCAATTTATTAGGTGCAATAATGCTCTTGTGATTCCTTAGAAGAATGTTACTATGGTCAGAATGTTTGTTGCCCTCCAAAATTCATGTTGAAATTCTAACCTGCAAGATGATGGTATTAGGAGGTGTGGCCTCTAGGAGGTGATTAAGTCATGAGGATGGAGCTCTCATGAATGGGATTAGTGATTAGTGTCCTTATAAAAGAGACCCAGAGTGCTGGGCTCGGTCTGTAATCCCAGGACTTTGGAAGGCTGAAGCAGGAAGATTGCCTGAGCTCAGAAGTTTGAAACCAGCCTGGGCGACATGGCAACACCCCATCTCTTAAAAAAAAAAGAGAAGGAGACCCCAGAGAAACTCTCACTCATTTTGCAATATGAGGTTATAGCAAAAAGAGGGTTGTTTATGAACCAGGAAGCAGTCCCACACCAGACACCAAATCAGCTGGCACCTTGATTTTGGACTTCCCAGCCTCTAGAACTATGGAAAATAAGTTTCTTTTCTTTATAAGCCACCCAGTATATGACATTTTGTTATAGCAGCCTGAATGAACTAAGACAAATCACAGAAG
Organism: Homo sapiens; assembly: GCF_000001405.40. Classification (NCBI taxonomy): domain Eukaryota; kingdom Metazoa; phylum Chordata; class Mammalia; order Primates; family Hominidae; genus Homo; species Homo sapiens. The sequence goes on from NC_000008.11 coordinate 33,359,084, forward strand.
ATGGAGGGGTGAATTGTTACAATGGCTGCAACTTACTTTCAAACAGCAAAAAAATAAAGAGAAATTAAAAGCAATGATGCAAATGTGGCAAGATATTATCAATTGGTGAATCTAACTGAAGAACATTCAAGTGTTATTTATAGTATTCTTACATCTTTTTTGTACTTCTTAAACTTCTTCAAAAAAAGATGTTGTGGGAAAATGGGTTTTGTAAGGTGAGGAAGAAGGATCTCTAAGCCTCAATAATTTGCTTTCCAAGAGTTTATGGCATCTATTCTCAAATTGCCACTTCTTCCTATAATTGACTTTTAACTTTTCCATAACTAAGATGTTTGGTGAAGGCACTATCTTTTCCAAACACAGAAAATTACTCCCACCCTATAGAACAAAGGGAGCCTCAGTGCCTTAAATCACCATATGTAAAGGGCTTGCACAAGAGGTTCCAGCTAGAGTTCAGATCATCTCCACCAAGAGGCTTTGGATGTACTCTACCACCACAAAAAGAAACTATTGGCAAATCTTAACTATTGACTTCTCACAATGAAAAGAAGTTTAAAATTTCACCCCACCATAGCTATATTATTTTAGTTTTATTTTGTTTAGTATTATAAAAGCAAGAAAATAAAAAACTATCTACCTCAGCCAGGCACAGTGGCTTACACCTATAATCCCAGCACTTTGGGAGGCCGAGGTGGGCAGATCACCTGAGGTCAGGAGTTTGAGACCAGCCTGGCCAACATGGTGAAACCCCATCTCTACTAAAAATACAAAAATTAGCCAGGCTTGATGGCACACACCTGTAATCCCAGTTCCTCAGGAGGCTGAGACAAGAGAATTGCTTACACCCGGGAGGCGGAGGTTGCAGTGAGCTGAGATCACGCCACTGGACTCCAGCCTGGGCAAAAGAGCAAGACTCCATCTCAAAAAAAACCAAACCAAACAAACAAACAAAACAACAACAAAAAACAAAACAAACTATCTACCTCAAATGGTAATTGTGTCCGATAAGTGCCATTATATATGACAGAATCCAGCAAAGTACCTGGCACACAGGGGACCCTTAATAAATATCAGTAACCGGCCAGATGTGGTGGCTCACACCTGTAATCCCACCACTTTGGGAGGCCGAGGCAGGCGGATCGTGAGGTCAGGAGATCGAGACCATTCTGGCTAACATGGTGAAACCCCATCTCTGCTAAAAATACAAAAATAATTAGCCGGGCGTGGTGGCGGGTGCCTGTAGTTCCAGCTACTTGGGAGGCTAAGGCAGGAGAATCACTTGAACCCAGGAGGCGGAGCTTGCAGTGAGCCGAGATGGTGCCACCGCGCTCCAGCCTGGGCAATAGAGTGAGACTCCATCTCAAAAAATATAAATAAAAATAAAAATAAAATAAATAAATAAATATCAGGAAACTTTTTTCTTATCCAAGGATCCCATCACCAGAGAATGTTTCTGAACATAGTGGTACTGAAACACCTTTTCCTCCCCTACACCCCCTATAGCTCAAGTGACCACACATCCCAGTTTATGCCTATTATTCTGGCTTAACCAATAGCGCCTCTTCCACTCTCAGAGTGCCCCAACTTGGATGATAAATTATAAGGTCCCTCTACCTACTGTTTTATTCTTTCCAGAAAACGTATCCTGCTAAAAGGCACAGAGAGCTGCATGGTCTTTCTGAATAAAGGCTACAAAAATGTGTCTTCAATGGCAGCCCTAGAGTCACTGCAAAAATAAACACACAAGCAAACAAATGGGGAGGGGGTGCCCCAGCAGACACGTTTTAATTTTATTGCGGAAGTGATGGAAGTGGTTCATCACTTACAGGTTAACTACACATTTGAGGTGAATTTTAGACCACAGAAACAGGAAGTAGTAAACATCTGTGATGAAACTTTGATACTTCAAGATGCTTGTCTTAGGGACCAACATTCTCTCAGACTAGCAGATTATTTCCATGGTGAATGAGTCTTCTTATTAATGGTGTGTGAACTATATACATGATGACTGAAAGCAGCTCATAAGATAAAATTCATCACCTTTTCTGAGGCACTGAGGCTGAGTAAATATTGACTCACCCCAGCCTCTCTACTTAAGGTGAACAGATGTGGATTGGCTGGAGCAGAACTGTTTGCCCCTGTGGACTCACCATAGTTATTTTCATCCCCCAAGTCAGTTCTTAAATCGCCCAGTGTTGACAGAAAAAAATGCCTCCTCTCCCGGGGAACAGGAATAAACACTGGTATAAAAATTAAAAGGACTTATTCTGGACTTGCCAGCTCACTTCAAATGTGAACTTTTAGTACTTTTAACACATCTCATTAATAATATAGCCCATTTAATATACTCTATAAATACAATCCACTTGTATCACATTTCATGTTTCAAATAGAGTGACAGAGATTCACGAGGTAAATTCTATCATATGAGGCGTCCACAAAACAGAGAAATAAAAGCTTCCTTGAAGTGGTTTACATTTTGCTAAAGCATTTCTGTTATAATTCCACACTAGAATTAGAATGTAAGCCCTGTGGTGGCAGCAATTTTGTGACTTCCATTCATTGCTATATCCCATTTGCCCAAAATAATTCCTGGCACATAGTAAATGCTCAATAAAAATATATAGAATACGTTAACAAATTTCAGGCAGTTTAATATTCTGAGTAATGCAAAATAATCATAATTTCCTTGATAGGTTTTTAAGGCATTTTTCATGTTCCTGAATACATTTTTTTCCGTGTTTCCCAATTGAAAAACCAAGACTTCTTTTCACTCATTGATCGATAGCTGTGGTTATCTTTTATCTTATTCCAATTTTCAAATTTAAAAAAAAATGATTTTTAAAATCTTCACTTAAGAGCAGTCCCAAGACACGTAATTGTCAGATTCACCAAACTTGAAATGAAGGAAAAAGTGTTAAGGGCAGCTAGAGAGAAAGGTTGAGTTATGCACAAAGGGAAGCCCATCAGACTAACAGCAGATCTATCGGCAGAAACCCTACAAGCCAGAAGAGAGTATGGGCCAATATTCAACATTCTTAAAGAAAAGAATTTTCAACCCAGAATTTCATATCCAGCCAAACTAAGCTTCATAAGTGAAGGATAAATAAAGTCCTTTACAGACAAGCAAATGCTGAGAGATTTTGTCACCACCAGGCCTGCCTTACAAGAGCGCCTGAAGGAAGCACTAAACATGGAAAGAAACAACCCGTACAAGCCACGGGAAAAAAAAGGCCAAATTGTAAAGACCACCAATGCTATGAAGAAACTGTATCAATTAACAGGCAAAATAACCAGCGAACATCATAATGACAAGATCAAATTTAAACATAACAATATTAACCTTAAATATAAATGGGCTAAATGCCCCCATTAAAAGACACAGACTGGCAAATTGGATAGAGTCAAGACCCATCAGTGTGCTGTATTCAGGAGACCCGTCTCACGTGCAAAGATGCACATGGACTCAAAATAAAGGGATGGAAGAAGATCTATCAAGCAAATGGAAAGCAAAAAAAAAAACCAGGGGTTGCAATCCTAGTCTCTGATAAAACAGACTTTAAACCAACAGAGATCAAAAGAGACAAAAAAGGCCATTACATAATGGTAAAGGGATCAATTCAACAAGAAGAGCTGACTATCCTAAATATATATGCACCCCATACAGGAGCACCCAGATTCATAAAGCAAGTCCTTAGAGACCTACGAAGAGACTTAGACTCCCACACAATAATAATGGGAGAGTGTAACACCCCACTCTCAATATTAGACAGATCAATGAGACAGAAGGTTAACAAGGATATCCAGGACTTGAATTCAGCTCTGCACCAAGCAGACCTAATAGACATCAACAGAAATCTCCACCCCAAATCAACAGAATATACATTCTTCTCAGCACCACATCATGCTTATTCTAAAACTGACCACATAATTGGAAGTAAAGCTCCTCAGCAAATGTAAAAGAACAGAAATCACAACAAACTGTCTCTCAGACCACAGTGCAATCAAATTAGAACTCAGGATTAAGAAACTCACTCAAAACCGCACAACTACATGGAAACTGAACAATCTGCTCCTGAATGACTACTGGTTAAATAACAAAATGAAGGGAGACATAAAGATGTTCTTGGAAACCAATGAGAACAAAGACACAACGTACCAGAATCTCTGGGACACATTTAAAGCAGTGTGTAGAGGGAAATTTATATCACTAAATGCCCACTAGAGAAAGCAGGAAAGATCTAAAATCGACACCCTAACATCACAATTAAAACAACTAGAGAAGCAAGAGCAAACAAATTCAAAAACTAGCAGAAGGCAAGAAACAACTAAGATCAGAGCAGAACTGAAGAAGATAGAGACACAAAAAACCCTTCAAAAAATCAATGAATTCAGAAGCCGGTTTTTTGAAAAGATCAACAAAATTGATAGACTGCTAGCAAGACTAATAAAGAAGAAAAGAGAGAAGAATCAAATAGACGCAATAAAAAATGATAAAGGGGATATCACCACCGATCCCACAGAAATACCAACTACCATCAGAGAATACTATAAACACCTCTATGCAAATAAACTAGAAAATCTAGAAGAAATGGATAAATTCCTGGACACATACACCCTCCCAAGACTAAACCAGGAAGAAGCTGAATCTCTGAATAGACCATTAACAGACTCTGAAATTGAGGCAATAATTAATAGCTTACCAACCAAAAAAAGTCCAGGACCAGATGGATTCACAGCCGAATTCTACCAGAGGTACAAGGAGGAGCTAGTACCATTCCTTCTGAAACTATTCCAATCAATAGAAAAAGAGGGAATCCTCCCTAACTCATTTTATGAGGCTAACATCATCCTGATACCAAAGCCTGGCAGAGACACAACAAAAAAAGAAAATTTTGGACCAATATCCCTGATGAACACTGATGCGAAAATCCTCAATAAAACACTGGCAAACCGAATCCAGCAGCATATCAAAAAGCTTATCCACCATGATCAAGTTGGCTTCATCCCTGGGATGCTAGGCTGGTTCAACATACACAAATCAATAAACATAATCCATCACATAAATAGAACCAACGACAAAAAACCACATGATTATTGCAATAGATGCAGAAAAGGCCTTTGACAAAATTCAACAGCCCTTCATGCTAAAAACTCTCAATAAACTAGGTATTGATGGAATGTATCTCAAAATAATAAGAGCTATTTATAACAAACCCACAGCCAATATCATACTGAATGGGCAAAAACTGGAAGCATTCCCTTTGAAAATGGGCACAAGACAAGGATGCCCTCTCTCACCATTCCTATTCAATATACTGTTGGAAGTTCTGGCCAGGGCAATCGGGCAAGAGAAAGAAATAAAGGGTATTCAATTAGGAAATGAGGAAGTCAAATTTTCCCTGTTTGCAGATGACATGATTGTATATTTAGAAAACCCTATCGTCTCAGCCCAAAATCTCCTTAAGCTCATAAGCAACTTCAGCAAAGTCTCAGGATACAAAATCAATGTGCAAAAATCACAAGCATTCCTACACACCATTAACAGACAGACAAATCATGAGTGAACTCCCATTCACAATTGCTACAAAGAGACTAAAATACCTAGGAATCCAACTTAAAAGGGATGTGAAGGACCTCTTCAAGGAGAACTACAAACCACTGCTCAATGAAATAAAAGAGGACACAAACGAATGGAAGAATATTCCATGCTCATGGATAGGAAGAATCAATAGCGTGAAAATGGCCACCCAAAGTAATTTATAGATTCAATGCCATCCCCATCAAGCTACCAATGACTTTCTTCACAGAATTGGAAAAACCGACTTTAAATTTCATATGGAACCAAAAAAGAGCCCACATTGCCAAGACAATCTTAAGCCAAAAGAACAAAGCTGGAGGCATCATGCTACCTGACTTCAAACTATACTACAAGGCTATAGTAACCAAACAGCATGGTACTGGTACCAAAACAGATATATAGACCAATGGAACAGAACAGAGGCCTCAGAAATAACACCACACATCTACAATCACCTGATCTTTGACAAACCTGACAAAAACAAGAAATGGGGAAAGGATTTCCTATTTAATAAATGGTGCTGGGAAAACTGGCTAGCTATATGTAGAAAGCTGAAACTGGATCCCTTCCTTACACCTTATACAAAAATTAATTCAAGATGGATTGAAGACTTAAATGTTAGACCTAAAACCATAAAAACCCTAGAAAAAAACCTAGGCAATACCATTCAGGACATACGCATGGGCAAGGACTTCATGACTAAAACGCTAAAAGCAATGGCAACAAAAGCCAAAATAGACAAATGGAATCTAATTAAACTAAAGAGCTTCTGCATGGCAAAAGAAACTACCATTAGAGTGAACAGGCAACCTACAGAATGGGAGAAAATTTTTGCAATCTACCCTTCTGACAAAGGGCGAATATCCAGAATCTATAAAGAACTCAAACAAATTTACAAGAAAAAAACAACCCCATCAAAAAGTGGACAAAGGATATGAACAGACACTTCTCAAAAGAAGACATCTATGCAGCCAACAGACACATGAAAAAATGCTCATCATCACTGGTCATCAGAGAAATGCAAATCAAAACCACAATGAGATACCATCTCATGCCAGTTAGAATGGCGATCATTAAAAAGTCAGGAAACAACAGATGCTGAAGAGGATGTGGAGAAATAGGAATGCTTTTACACTGTTGGTGGGAGTGTAAATTAGTTCAACCATTGTGGAAGACAGTGTGGCAATTCCTCAAGGATCCAGAACTAGAATTGCCATTTGACCCAGCCATCCCATTACTGGGTATACACCCAAAGGATTATAAATCATGCTGCTATAAAGACACAGGCACATGTATGTTTATTGTGGCACTATTCACAATAGCAAAGACTTGGAACCAACCCAAATGTCCATCAATGATAGACTGGATTAAGAAACTGTGGCACCGTATACACCATGGAATACTATGCAGCCATAAAAAAGGATGAGTTCATGTCCTTTGCAGGGACATGGACAAAGCTGGAAACCATCGTTCTCAGCAAACTATCACAAGGACAGAAAACCAAACACTGCATGTTCTCACCCATAGGTGGGAATTGAACAATGAGATCACTTAGACATAGGGCAGGGAACATCACACACCAGGGCCTGTCGGGGATGGGAGGCTGTGGGAGGGATAGCATTAGGAGAAATATCTAGTGTAAATGATGAGTTGATGCGTGCAGCAAACCAACATGGCACATGTATACCTATGTATCAAACCTGCACGTTGTGTACATGTACCCTAGAACTCAAAGTATATTAAAGAAACTTCACTTGTAGAACTTTTCAACTAAAAAAAAAAAGTATTTAACTTGTAAAAATTGCTGTCTCCAGTACTTAACACTTCCTTCTTTAGAATTATAAAAACAAATGATAAACAAACTAAAAACATTATTCCATGTCATTATTTCTGCATTTATTCAGTGTCAACAGTAACATTTGTTAATATTACCACCAATCTCCTCAGGAAAGTCTTTTAAGTATTGCAAAGTTGTCAAGCTCAATGTGGTGGATATTCGTTTTCCAAAATTTCACTTTTCGCTTGAAAGCTGAGATTTTTATCATTGGCAACAAATTCTGTCTCTTAAAGTGACAGGCTCACTTTGTTTTCACAAAAATTGTTGACAAAAACACAAGACAGAGTAAGCATAGTTTGTCAGATTTTTTTAAGTAAAAATAGTATTCCATGGAAAAAGCAGCAAGTTCAGCTCACAACTCAATCACACAAGCACTGTGAGACTCCTGTTATACTATGATGTGTAGCACAGGTATTTTACTCTTATTTTTGTCACACAGAATATTAAAAAGACATGCACTGGCCGAACATGGTGGCTCATGCCTGTAATCCTAGTACTTTGGGAGGCCAAGGTGGGTGGATCACCTGAGGTCAGGAGGTCGAGACCAGCCTGGCCAACAAGGAGAAGCCCTGTCTCTACCAAAAAATAAAAATAAATAAATAAATGTTGGGAACAAGTCCCCCAAAATCTGGACATAAACTGGCCGCAAAACTGGCCATAAACAAAATCTCTGCAGCACTGTGACATGTTCATGATGGCCATAACGCCCACGCTGGAAGGTGGTGGGCTTACCGGAATGATGGCAAGGAACACCTGGTCCGCCCAGGGCAGAAAACCGCTTAAAGGCATTCTTAAGCCACAAACAATAGCATGAGCGATCTGTGCCTTAAGGACATGCTCCTGCTGCAGTTAACTACCCCAACCTATTCCTTTAATTCGGCCCATCCCTTCGTTTCCCGTAAGGAATACTTTTAGTTAATTTAATATCTATAGAAACAATGCTAATGACTGGCTTGCTGTTAATAAATACGTGGGTAAATCTCTGTTTGGGGCTCTCAGCTCTGAAGGCTGTGAGACCCCTGATTTCCCCACTTCACACCTCTATATTTCTGTGTGTGTGTCTTTAATTCCTCTAGTGCTGCTGGGTTAGGGTCTCCCCAAACAAGCTGGTCTTGGCAAATAAATAAATAAATAAAAGACATGCACTTAAAGGTCAAGATTTAATAAAATTCATCATTTTTATTGCTTCACTAAGGGCATTCTTATGTAAAACTGGCTTTTTTTTTTCCCCATGAGTGGACTCATCAGATGAATTTACTCCATTTATATAAGAAGCAACTTACGTTACATTCATTCCAAAAGTTCTTGGGATAATATCCTGACCCAAAAGCATTAATATTACCCCCTACATACAGTAATGGTTTTTAAATATAATTACTTTCATAATCAGTTTTTTTTAATTTAGAAGCTTAAATTTTCAAATATTCATAATGGCCTATTTGGGCTAGTTGAATCATCTTCTCTGGTAAGCTGGGTTGGATGATGTGGTTATGGTTTGCATGGGAAATAAAATAAACAATAAATTTTTGACCTAATGCTCAAAATGCCCTTGGAGGCATTAATCAATTCCAGTTCTGACTCATTTCAGAGGCTTAGAGACAGTAATTTAACTGCTCATGTCACTGTTCCAGGAGGATACAAAGGGGCAAGGGTATATAGCAGAGAAGAAGCCTCAGGAAGATAAAAGAAGGTATCTGCTGGTCATGACTGGTCATATCCTCTTTGGGATACAGCCACACCTCTGACTGACCAGAGGCTTGGCTGTTAAGTCCAATGACTCGAGAGGACAATAATCCTAAAGAGTCACTTCTCCTCAAACACCTCTATCCCTTGCCGATCTCCTTAATTGGGCCTACTACCAGCACCAATGGTGTTGCTAAATTAATTGGTTTAATCCCAGGATATAGATGAGGCCACATTTTACTAGTGAAAAAGGTTAATATGACTTAAAAGTAAGCTCCCATGCATTGTACTCCATATTCTTGCATCCATATCACATGGACAGCAAGAGAGGGCTTGTCTCCTAGGAGAAAGGCTGCTCAGGCTCCTCTTCTTCTCCTTCTTCAGTTGATCTTCAGTATGAGCAAGCAGGGTCAAGACCTACAGATCTAGGCATTTTTCTCTCCTCTTTCTTATTGCAAGCACATTGAATAGACTAGTCCCAAGATTCAGAATTGGGAAATGGAAAGGCAGTAAAAGATCCTCTCCTAGTTACACTTCAAATCTAAATAATATGCTCAGATCCAGCTTATACAATCAATCAGTGTACTGCATTTATGTGGTTTGCAAAGCTACTATAAAGAGGCTGTTTGAGTCTGATTATCCTATTGAGAGCTTTGTGCAAGACTCCACCAGAAATCCCATGGAGGGTGGGAAGAGTCAGAGAATAATTTAAGCATTCCTCAGTCCTTGGTTTTAATACCATCATAATATCAAAAAGCCCTACTCAAAACCCTTCACACCTCTCTCTCCTGTGTCTTATTCCTATCAGCAATGGCGCCTAGTACAATGCCTATTTTGTAACACAATAAATGTGTACCACCCCAGGTACTATCATCAACGATTCCCTTTTTCTGGACAAATCTCAGTCAAGCTCTTCAAACACAAAGGGTAATGACCACAGATAGCTGTAACCACTACAACAAGCATCTATTGAGCAAAGTGAACACTAGCTCATCACAATAACCTCACAAGGAGGTTGGATATTATAACATCCATTTTACAGATGAGCAAGCTGAATCTTAGAAAGGCCATATAACTTGACCAAGATAATAAAGACAGTATGTTGCAGAGTAGCAACTAAAACTAGATTATTTCTTAGAGTCATCATTCTATATCCCCTTTGAGTTTTTCAAGCATTTTTATGTCTGTAATCAAAGACAACAAGATATATGCTGATATTAGAATTACACAGTAAAGATATTACCATTAACAATAAAAATTAAAAGAAAGAAATTTCCTAAAGAAAATTTCCATAATTTATATTTTGCTCCAGAACTGTGAGCAATAAACTTCTGTTTCTTATAAGCCACCCAGTCTATCGTATTCTGTTACAGCAGCCTGAGGTCCTAATGAATTGCCATCTTTAGCAGGACTTATGTCCTATTAATGACTTTTTTAATGCACATTTTACTGGGCATTTTACTGGGCAGGTCGGCACTGTGCTTGAATTCATACAGTCTTTTATAGATATTGAGCAGGTTCTTCTATGTGTAATATACAATGTGTGGCTGAAGGAATGATGTTCATTTTTGCTTATGTCTCTTATTTCTGAGTAATGCATAGAACACTATATGTTTCCAATCTATTACTAACAATGATAATGACCCCAACTGATATTCTGGTTACTAGAATCTAGTCCTTAACAGCAACAAAGAAGCCATTCAGCATTCAGGTTCCAAAATATATTTGCTATATGATCAAGGGTAAAAGTTGCATTCATTTTTAGGCGAAGACTATTAACTAGCATTAGTGATCATTTTCTCCAACATTTCTGAAAAGGCTTCTGACCACTTTGTAATATTGCTTTTAAAAATTAGTCATTGAATGGCCAGGCGCAGTGGCTCAGGCCTATAATCCCAGCACTTTAGGAGGCCGAGGTGGGTGGGTCACTTAAGGGCAGGAATTCAAGACCAGCCTGGCCAATATGCTGAAACCCCATCTTTACTAAAAAAAAAAAAAAAAAAAAAAAAAAAAAAAAAAAATTGTCCAGGCCTGGTGGCAGGTGCCTGTAATCCCAGCTACTTGGGAGGCTGAGGCAGAAGAATCGCTTGAACCCAGGAGGTGGAGGTTGCAGTGAGCTGAGATCGCACCACTGCACTCCAGCCTAGGTGATAGAGCAAGACTTCTTCTCAAAAAAAATAAAGTTCTTGAAAACAATCCAAGTAAAATGTACTGAAGGGCTAAGCAAAATGTTGCATTGTACAAACTCCTTCACAGCCATGAGGCATTCCTCAAAACAGTCCTGTGAGGGACGTTGCTTTCTTAAAATATTTCACAAAAGGAGACAGTGAGGTAAAGTGAAAGGTATGGCAAAATGGGATCAACACAGATTAATGATTTTATTTCACTAAATTTGTTCAGGGATACATACTTCAGAAACGCTTAGAGAGGATTTTATCTATGGACTTGATGAAGAACTAAGATGGAATGAGATTTCATGAAAGTTAAGGTTTAAGACATACACACAGCACATAAGCACTGGGTATTTGCTGAAGGCATTTATGGAGAAGAACTGAAGTTATCATGATAATACCTTGCCAGAGGCATAAATCACCTCTCAGGCTTTCTTTTGAGGGTTCAAAAAAACACAACTCACTTCATTTTATATGCAATTTAAAATCTGACCTTTAACAAGGAATCCCCCTTTCCAGTCTTTATTTCTTTAATATTATCAAATAAAATGGCAGAGAGAGAAATTCCCTTTCATCCTCAATACTACCCATTAAGTATGCTCCTTCCTCCAAACAGCGTGCTTCCCTTGAATAACATACAGCAGTTCCAAAATAGTTTGTTACCCTCTTTAGTAAAAACATCTACAAAATTAAATTTCTTAAATGTTGATGAACAATGAAGAATGTTACACAGGGGAAAAAAAAGAAAAAAACCTTCCAAGACCAGCCCAATCACTTCTTTTTGGATGCAAAAACTAAGGCCGATGGAGGTTAAGAGATATGTCCAAGATCATATTTAGTTAATGAAAGAGCTGGGATTGGGAAGAACCCAGTTATAGACACCTTCTCTCATCCAATGTGATCCTTCTGGCTTCTATAAGGAGGTATTGGTTTTGGTTCTCCTTTCTCACACGCTGGCTGACAAAGCCCAGCCAGAGCTACCTAATGAAGACGCTGCTCACTGCTAAGCACACCAAGGGCACAGCCTTCAATACAATGAGAGCTGATGCTAAGCAAGCACTCGTCAATTCCCCCTCATGCCATGACACAGACATGAGCATCACAGACTCTTCCTGTCCTCTGGCTGCCTTCTGAGGCTTGTGGCTTTCCATGATGAAGAATGGAAATCATGACACAACAGTGGCAACAGGCTTTTAGTATCATCTAGAAACCTCCCCTCCCTCACATGGAAAGAAAACATGAGCCAGTGTTTTCCTCCTTGTCTTCTGAGGTGCTCCAGTAGATGCCCCAGACAGGAGAGCTGAACCTTCCCTATAGCAGGATCCGAAATGACAGGAAATGCCCACAAACTGAATGCCTGTGGCTGCCACTGTGACAGGCTGCACATCATCCTACGAACAGACAAATCAGCTTCAGCACAATTGGAGTTCCTGGGGGTATTCACTTCTACTCTCGCGCTGCTCAAAATGTCCAGGCTGTCCAGCCTGAATCATAAGCATAGCAATTCTTAATATTATTCTGCGCAGCAGAAGGGGTAAGTGGTAACATCTCACTAATCAAAACACACAGGAGTTACTGTGTCTTTACAAGACATTCTACTTTGAAGGGAAAATGGGAGGCGATAGGGCAAGGCACAACTAAAGAAAGTGAGAGAGGTGGCTCAGGGTATGGAGAAGAAGGTAGACACACATAAGTTCTTTTCACTTGAAGAGTGGATAGTGGATAAACTTGAAACAGCTTTTATTACTCACTTACATCCCTGGAAACCAACAGATGGGATCTCTCATTGCCAAGTTCTAATGTATTTCATGTTCATGCTCGGCTGCAGGATACCAGGTTTGCCAAATACCAATAAGCTGTTGAGAGTGAGGTGAGTATCAAGAATCTATAGCTAGATCGTCTCCCTCCATTGCACAAGGAAAGTACTCACTCTAGGTGAATTTCCACAAAAGGCAGTAAGTATGTGGGTCCACAGACACGGACATGGAAGATAACCAGTGTCCATAAGAAATATTTCCTTTTTTAGTATAAAAAATATAGTGGCTACCCCTAAGGGTAATTTACATCTATTCCTTGAAAGGGCTCATTATGAGTACTGCAGCAACTAATTATTATCCTGATGGATAGTCAACAGAATAGCTATTATGTTCAAATATTAAGGCAACCTAGAAAATAAACCTCAAGAAGGCTCTAGTCTGTTTCATTCTGATCATTTTTGAAATCAGTCCTTGAATACTAGGCCCCAAAACTCTTGAGATGAAAAGTTTTGATTCCTATCAACCAGCCACCTTAGTGCCTGGGCTTCTTTCTTGGATTGTTCAAAGCTGGAAATCCACATCTCTCGCAAAGAGCTCAAAGGTGGAGTCCGGAGTGGTGAGAAAGCAAACACTGTGGGCTCTGGGCAACTCAGGTGGGTATCTTCTGCCTCCCATCTTTTGGGTGGTAAGCCCTGCAGGAAGAGAAAAGAGAAATGAATTAAAAACATATGATAATGAAGCACAATTCCCTTAAAGCAACAGACTTTCCTTAAAACAACAGCTTTACTCCATGGAGCTAAAGGGGAAAGAAAGCATCTCACATATTGCCTCACTTAATTCTTATGGTAAGCATATTGAATAGGTGCTACTACCCCATTTTACAGGAGTGGAAACTAAACCACAAAAAAGTTACATAAATTGCCCCAAACAGTATATACTTAAGATCGAATATAGTTCTCTTTAGATTCTAAAGCCTTCCCCTCCCTCTGGTTATTTATCTGTTGATTTGTTTATTCCTTTTCCCCCTATTATCCCACCCCTATCCTCCTCCCCATAGGCAAATATTTTAAGATGTTTAACACAGTTCTTTGTATTTGCATGTAAGCGTATTCGAATACTCATTGCAAAATGTGTTCTCAATCTCTGGGCATTTATTTTTAATATACTTATATGTTATTGTATGTCTCATTTGTTTGCTACTTTTCACCAAGCACTGTTTTTACATCTATCTATGTTGTCACATATTACAACTAATCCCTGTTTTTAATATATTTCCACTGCACTCAACTGTCCCCAGTACTAAGATGTTTCCACCCAACAATAATGGTACCTGACATTGGCATAATACCTCCCAGCTTCAAAATGCTGCAATGAGCTTGGTCCACGCTCAGTCTTGGCTTATTTCCATGGTCTCCTAACTAACCCCTTGATTCCACTTCTGATCCTCTGCAGGCTACACTCGGCAGCCCTTCTCATTCCAAGTTCAAGTCCAAGTCCTTAAAATGGCCTACATGTTCAGGATTTGACCTTCCAATAATTTAGAAGGGAGAAAGGGAGAAAAGAAAAAGAAAAGTAAAAGAGAAAGAGGAGAGACAGAAAAACTCCAGGATAACAGAGTGAACACACATATCCAATTTCATTTCCTCCAGAAACACCATTAAAATGAGAGTAAAAGGACTGTTCTTGAAAGGCATTAACCTGTAAGAATTGGGAGAATGGAAGAGGGCAGAAGAGTAACAAAACATAGAAGAATAGGAAAATTAGCAACTTCACAGTGGGAAAACCTAGCACATACCACCTGAACCAAGCAATCAAAGTTAACATTACCAGTTATACGTTATGTTGGTATAATGCATCCCCTGATACAGGGGTCCTCAACTCCCGGGTCATGAACCAGTACTGTTCCCTGGCCTGTTAGGAACCGGGCTGCAGAGCAGGAGGTGAGCAGCATGCATGTGAGCATTGCCGTCTGAGCTCTGCCTCCTGTCAGATCATCAGCAACATTAGATTCTCCTAAGAGGGTGAACCTTATTGTGAACTGCACATGTGAGGAATCCAGCTTGCTCACTCCTTATAAACATCTAATCCCCCACCCACCTACCGGTCTGTGGAAAAATTGTCTCCCACAAAATAGGTCTCTGGTGCCAAAAAGGTTAGGAACAGCTGCCCTAATAGGATGCAATGAGAACACGTTTACCTCTGTGGTATTATTCCCCATAATCCATAACCCAAGTGTTAACATGAGAAGACATTAGACAAACCGTATGAAGGGACATTCTACAAAATACTGACCAGTACTCTTCAAAAGTTATTAAAAATAAGAAAAAGCTTGAGCAACTGTCCAGACTGGAGGAGACTAATGAAACGTGATGGTTTAATTACAGCCTGGTATCCCGAATTTGATCCTAGCGCAGACAGAGGATGTTACAGAAATATGGCCAAATATGACTAAAGAGAAATATGACTAGACTCTGCAGTTTAGCAAGCAGTAATGTGCCAATATGAATTTCTTATTGGTGACAAATGTACCACAGTTACATAAAATGATAGCATGAGGGGAAGCCAGGGAAAAGGCATACAGAACTCTGAACTATCTTTAAAATATTCTGTAAAAAAAATTAAAAGTGTTTTTAGTAAAAGACAATGGCAAAATACCTTCAAAATTCTGAGAAAAATGAATGTCCATTTTAGTGGTTTACAGTCAGCTAACCTATTGCTTAAATTTAGGGTAGAATGAAGACATTTTCTTTTTTTTCTTTTCTTTTCTTTTTTTTTTTTTGAGACAGAATCTCGCTTTGTCTCCCAGGCTGGAGTGCAGTGGCATGATCTCAGCTCACTGCAACCTGCAACCTCCACCTCCTGGGTTCCAGTGATTCTCCTGCCTCAGCCTCCCAAGTAGCTGAGATTACAGGTGCCTGCCACTATGTCCAGCTAATTTTTTTTATTTTTTTTTATTTTTAGTAGAGACGGGGTTTCACCATGTTGTCCAGGTTGGTCTTGAAATCCTGACCTCAGGTGATCCACCTGCCTCAGCCTCCCAAAGTGCTGGGAGTACAGGCACGAGCCACCGTGCTCAGCTGAAATGAAGACATTTTCACACATTCTTGCATGTACCTCTTCTCAGGAAGCGACTGGAGAGTATGATCAACCAAAACAAGAGAATAAACTAAGAAAACAGGAGACATAGCATGCAGGAAACAGATGTCAACAGAAGAGAAAAAAAGAAAAGAAAGAAAATTCCCAAAATGCTGGGGAAGTGACATCTCAGGCTGCTGCTCCACACTAAGGTAGAGGACAATGAGCACAGATAGGAGTGGGTCAGAGGCTCCGGGAGAGATCCCTTCCATAAGATCAAGAGAGCTGGATGCCTGCCATATCTCAACATCTTCAGAGGAGAGTTAAACAATCAACAAAGACTGAATGACTGACAGGTACATGGAAAAATAATCAAATAAAGATGCAATTATTACCTGGGAAAGAAACAAAAAACTGTATATGTAAGGGGGAAAATGATAGTGTACTACATGGTTTATTTTTTAATAACAGTCACACAGTTATATTCAAACACTGAATATAAAAAGAATACTATGTAAATGTGTTACTTAGAAACATAGAGTAAATAGGCCAGGTGTGGTGGCTCATTCCTGTAATCCCAGCACTTTCGGAGGCCAAGGCAGGTGGATCACCTGAGGTCAGGAGTTAGAGACCAGCCTGGCCAACATGGTGAAACCCTGTCTTTACCAAAAATACAAAAATGAGCCGGGTGTGGTGGCGCGTGCCTGTAATCCCAGCTACTCAGGAGGATGAGGCAGGAGAATCGCTTGAACCCAGGAGACAGAGGTTACAGTGAGCCAAGATCATGCCACTGCACACCAGCCTGGGTGAGAGAGTGAGACTCCATCTCAAAAAGAAAAAAAAAAAACAACAGGAAAAGAAACAGAAACATTGGGTAAATACCAAAATAGTTAAATAATTAGCTAAATATTGTGGTTGCTTCTGGGAAGGACAGAAAAGGGAAAAGAAGTGGAAGACTGCTGTTTTTGTTAATTAACTTTGTAGAAATATTTGATTCTTCAACCTATATGCATGTATATATTTTTCTTAAAAAAAAAACTGTCTTAATGGGAAGACAATCCATTATGTGTCAGGTTTATAATGATTAGAATCTTCATCCATTCCAAATTTAGAAAGCATAGCAGAAAAACCAGTTGGAAATATAAAAATGTGGGTGCTACTTATGATTGGCTCAACATATTTTCTTTTCTTTAAAACTCCCATAGGAAATATATGAGGAGATACTAGGAGTATTTAGTGTGAAGAGGTGATGACTTTGAGTGAACAGAGTTTGTCTTCAAGCAAAGAAGTCCCTTCAAGTGAAGGGACTATATAAGTGGAAGTGTGAATTAACTTGTTTGGTAAAATGTGAAGGATAGAGATGGCCAAGTCCTCCTTTCTCTTGGGAACCACTGATGGATTATCATGAAGTCTGACTTCCAAGGGCCTAGAACTTGAGCAGGAATTCTTTACCAAGCACAGAGAAGCAGAGTGCAAATTGAAATTGCAAACCATTAGGAATGCTAAGACAAAATCTGGGAAATCTATGAATATCAAGTTCAAAGGACCAAAGGTAGGCTCAAAATTGTGATTACATTAGCCAGAGTTCATGGTTGGATAGAGACTGGATTTGAAGCAAGAACAGAACAAAATCACGTAAGGAGATGCAAAACAACTTTCAACTTTTGAGAGGCCACTGTTCACCTCTATTGGCTGGTAGGTACAGATGCCAGACTGTATCCTGCCAAACTGAGGAATCAGAGCAGGTAGCTAAGAATTGACTATAAAGGCCGGGCACATTGGCTCACACCTGTAATCTCAGCAATTAGGCTGAGGCGGGTGGATCACGAGGTCAAGAGTTCGAGACCAGCCTGGCCAACATAGTGAAACCCCATCTCTACTAAAAATGTAACAAATTAGCTGGGCATGGTGGCATATGCCTGTAATCCCAGCTACTCAGGAGGCTGAGGCAGGAGAATCACTTGAAGCTGGGAGGCGGAGGTTGCAGTAAGCTGAGATCGCACCATTGCACTCCAGCCCAGGCAACAGTGCAAGACTCTGTCTCAAAAAAAAAAAAAAGAATTGACTATAAAAGGGGAAGTTTCAGTTCAATACAAAGAACCAAATGTTCTGTTTATCTTTTGTCAAAACAAACAAAAGATAAAATAAGCTACCTTTAAAAATAATGAAATCACCAACACTGAAAATGCCCCAGCACAAATTAATGGATGGCTTGCTCATGATACTCGAGTCACCAGTCAGCTGGTAATTGTACAGATCACATAACCTTCCAAGGTCTTCCCAACCCTGACCTTGCATAACGGTTTATATGAGAAAGTCAGTAATATTACCCTATTTCCTTGCCTTCCCACTCAGGAGAGGAGCCCATCAAGTGTAGGATAAAGTTCCAACTCAAGGTGACATCACAGAGAAAAGAATCTTATGAAATGAACTCTTTCCACTCTAACATTCTGCCAGAAATATTTCACAGTATGACCCAAAGGAAGTGTGTCTGATGAAGTAGTTATGACAGTTTTAGAAGTAACTTAAGTTTCAGTATCCCTTTCCAGCTGAGGTCTTGTGCGGAAAAACCAGCTGTTTCTAAAGTATGATTTTAAAAGATTTTGTTTCCAAAGAGAACGTGGTTCCTAGCAATGAGAAAAATACAGATAATCCTTGAATTCATAACTTCTTGAGCCCATCAGGGAACTGAATTCCAGAGGGTGACAAAGCCCCTTTGAGGAAAGATGGATAATCTGTTTCACCTTTGGCAGAACACAGGAGAGAGAGGTGATCACCATACAAACAGGTAACAAGAAATCAGTTAAAATTTTAATAAATTCTTAGAAGTGGAGTAACCATATCAGCTGGAATAGCTGGGATGCCCAGATACAAAAATGAGAGTTCAAACTCATCAAAAGCTCTTTTCTATGGACCTCCATCAAATGCTCAAAAGGAAGATTGGGGGCAGCACAGGATTGGAAAGAGTCTCCCTCCTTGGCACAGCGTGGTGGATGATCTTCCTCTGCTAGGGGAATTCAGGAAGCCTCTCCACCCTCCCCAGACCTTTTCCTCATACATGTAAAGGCCTTAAGCCACTGCGGGAGCAGTAGCAAACGCTTCTGCTCCCAGATCCAAGGGAAAAATCTATTACTTCTTGGGGAGAGGGAGAAGCAAAACTCCTCTTTCTCATGGTTGGGTGCAGGATGGAAACCATTTTGGGCCTAGAATCCTATCATGATACCAGAAGTTACACCACTGGGGAGGGGCATAAACTCTCCCTCCAACTAACCACAGATACAAGGCAGAGCTTGGCTGCCAAGAGAAGAAGAGGCAAGGACACTGGAAAAGCTTCACCCCTGAGACCCAGGAATCCAGAACCTGCCTGAGGCTGTGAAGACAACAAAGAACCTGCCGTACTCCCAACATAAGTTTACTGCTAAGGAATGAATAACAGGAGTTTGCTGGTGGGGAGAAGCAAGAATATTAAAATAGACCTCATCTGTGGCATAGCAATGCAGGAATTGCTAAAAGCTGAGGGTGGAGGAGAAATACTGAGAAAAACTCTTTAACACCCCAGGCCCCACTTTAAACATAGGCAATAGCAGTGCTTAGTCACTGGATAATTATTATTACTGGAAATGTTTGAAACCTGAGGAGCACAAAAGGTAACAATAGCAACACAAAATCCAACTCTAGCTCAACTCTTGACTAACCTGACTCTACCTCCCTAATATGGTTTGGCTTTGTGTCCCCACCCAAATGTCATCTTGAATTGTAATCCCCGTGTGTCAAGGGAGGGAACTGGTGGGAAGTGATTGGATCATGGGGGTGATCTCCCCCATGCTGTTGTCATGATAGTGAGTTCTCACGAGATCTGATGGTTTAAATGTGTGGCATTTCCTCTCTCTCTCCCTCTCTCCCTCCCTCCCCTCCTGCTTTGTCGTGGTAAGATGTGTTTGTTTCCCCACTTTGCTTTTCGCCATGATTGTAAGTTTCCCAAGACCTCCCTCGCCATGCAGAACTGTGAGTCAATTAAACCTCTCTCCTTATAAATACCCAGTCTTGGTTGGTTCTTTATAAGCAGTGGGAAAATGGAGTAATACACATCCCTCCTCCCCAACCCACGCACATTAACAGCCTTGACAGAAAAGAGGCATGTCCATTGCCATACATAAACATTGATCTTGGTCTCTATGCTTTTGTACATAATGTCCAGGAATCAAAAAAAAAAAAATCATGAAACACATAAAAAGAGAAAAAACAAAAAAACAAACACTATCAAGAGCTAAAGCCATCAACAGAACCAGACTCACAAATGACTCAGATGTTGGAACTATCAGGCAGGAACTTTAAACTACCATTAGTATGTTAAAGAATATAGTAAAAGGCTGGGCGCAGTGGCTCACGCCTGTAATCTCAGCACTTTGGGAGGCTGAGGCAGGTGGATCACGAGGTCAGGAGTTCTAGGCCAGCCTGGCCAACATGGCGAAACCCTGTCTCTACTAAAAATACAAAAATTTGCCAGGTGTGGTGGCATGAACCTGTAGTCCCAGCTAGTCAGGATGCTGAGGCAGGATAATTGCTGGACTCCAAAAGGCAGAGGTTGCAGTGGGCTGAGATCATACCACTGCACTCCAGCCTGGGCAACAGAGCAAGACTCTGTCTAAAAAAAAAAAAATATATATATATATATATAATATATATATACTATATATATAACATACATATACACTATATATATGCTATATATATACACTATATATACACTATATATACCCTATATATACTATATATACACTATATATACACTCTATATATATAGTATATATATATACTATATATATAGTATATATATATACTATATATATACGATATATATACACTATATATATACACTATATATATACACTATATATACTATATATATACACTATATATATACTATATATATACACTATATATATATACTATATATATACACTATATATATATACTATATATATATACTATATATATATACTATATATATATACTATATATATATACTATATATATATATACTATATATATATATATACTATATATATATAGTAGAAAAGGGAGACAATATGCATGAACATAAGGGTAATTTCAGCAGGGAGATGTAATATAAAACAGGAGTCAAATGGAAATACTAGGTTTCTGCAGCTAAAGAGATGCTGAATTAGGTGATTCCTAAGCTACTTTCAATTCTGACATTGTATGATTCTAAGACCACCACTTCAAGAAGGTAAAAGAAGATAAATGATAAGAAAATGGATGGTTTATATGTAGAAAACATGAGACAACTAATAATCTCCCACTTGGAATTGTTCCTTCTCATCTTCAATTTGAAATACAAAAAGTGACCAGGTACAGTGGCTCATGCCTATAATCCCAGCACTTTGGGAGGCCAAGGTGGGAGGATTGCTTGAGGTCAGAAGTTTAAAACCAGCCTGGGCAACATAGCAAGACCCTGTCTCTACAAAAATAAAAGTTAAAAAATTAGGTATGGTGGCACATGCTGTAGTCCCGGCTACTCAGGAGGCTGAGGCAGGAGGAATGCTTGAGTCCAGCAGTTCAAGACTGCAGTGAGCTATGATTGCACCACTGCACTCCAGCCTGGGTGATAGAATGAGACCCTGTCTCAAAAAAAAAAAAAAATGCCAGGCACTGTGGCTCACACCTGTAATCCCAGCACTTTGGAGGGCCAAAGCAGGAGAATGGCTTGACCCCAGGAGTTTGAGACCAGCATGGACAACATAGTGAGACTCCAACTTTACAGAAAAACTTTAAAAAATTAACCAGGCATGGTGACATGCACCTGTAATCTTAGCTACTCAGGAGGCTGAGATGGAAGGATCACTTGAGCCCAGGAAGTGGAAGCTATAGTGAACCATGACCACACCACTGCACTTCAGCCTGGGCAACAGAGGAAGACCCTGTCTCAATCAATCAAATTTATATATGTGTATATATAAAATATATAAAGCAATGGAAAATTACTTCAGGCAACTCCAGTTAAAAAGTAAATTCTATTAACCTTAAGACAGATTGTCTGTTTTGTTCAGCTTAAATACAGATAGGAAATCACCAAATTATCTTGTCTTTTAGTCTTTCGTACTAAATCCTTTTTTCCTAGAAGCCTTCCCCCATTTTTATACTTTATCATTCTAACTTAAAAAGAAATCCAAACTATTTAAAACATCACATTTAATCTGTAGGAAGAAAAATTTTGACCTAAGGTACATCTGTCTTTGAACAACTGACATCATGATACAGGAAGTATAAGATCTTACCCTTCATAGATAGTAGATAAAAGTTTGTTCAAAGAAAGGACATGTAAGGTAGTTCATGCTCTCCTGGTAAGTGCCCATTTGATGACTTAGGGTTATTACTTCTGGTGGTGATTTAGTACCAAAGGATGTCTTATGCTAGAAAGCGTTAAAATGAAGAGAGTGCACTTAAATGCAGCATTTGTTACGAGTTCATCATCTTAGCGTGGTAGTTAATGGAATCTCTGTAACAGCTGTATTCTGATACTGTGGCGGTAGTACTAACAGCTGGCTGCCAGTGATTAAGATGGCCTTTTGGAAGACTCTTGTAGAAGCTTTACCAAAAGCATCCAGATCTCTCATTTTAGAGAATTTTTCCTTCACAGTGCACAAAGCTTATTCCTTTAATAATGTCTAATCTAAACTGTAAGCCCTATGACAAGGGACCATGTCTTTTCTTGCTTACCATTATCTAGCACAATAATGCCCGAATCAGAGCGCACCTTCAATACAATTTTTTTCAACTAGTTTGTTTAATAAAGAAAATAGGCTGGGCATAGTGGCTAACACACGCAATCCTAGCACTTTGGGAGGCTGAGATGGGCACATTGCTTGAGCTAAGGACTTCGAGACCAGCCTGGGAAACATGGCAAAACTCCATCTGTACAAAAATTACAAAAATTTGCCAGGCATGGTGGCTGCGCCTACAGTCCCAGCTACTCGGGAGTCTGAGGTGGGAGGACCACTCAAGCCTCGGAGCTGGAGGTTGCAGTGAGCCGAGATCACACCACTGTACTCCAGCCTGGGTGATAGAGACCCTGTCTCAATCAATCAATCAATCAAATGGAGATTTCCAAATAAAAATGGTTGACTAGACACACACTTTTAATTTCATTCCCTCCTGAAATCCCATAAAATGACAGCAAGGTGGTTTTTTTTTTTATGGCATAGATTCCTGAAGAAAAACAAAATGATAAGGAAAACAAAAAATTTCGGAAGTTGCAAAGTTAACAGATGGGTGGCAAATGACTTAGTTGATGTGAGAAAGCTGAGTTCTAAGAAGCAGCGGGAAAGCAGAAAAGCAACTCAACGTTCACTGCAGCTTGCACAAGATGCTGCAGAATTTGGTGGCGCACAGAACTCTGGCAGTGGGTGTAAAGAAGGGGCTGAAAGGGAAGTGGTTGCCAGTTTTGTAGGAGGCAACTGAAGACCCAAATCATCACTGTGCACAAGCAAGAAACTGACGTTCTCCTACCCCAGCAGCAGCTGAGTATTGTCCAAAGAAACTTAACAGTAGATCATTAGACTAGGGGAGAGCAGGCATGAACGAGGGTAAGAGTACCGCCCTCTAGCAGATTCCTGAACTTCTCAACTTCATCTATCCCTTGCCCCACCTGCACAGGGCTCTGACCAACAGTACACCTCACCTCCTTCCATGTGACTTCCTGCTCTAGAATTTAACTGTTGGAGTCACTGTGGAACTCTTCTCAGCACCCATATCACACACGTGCAACCCAAAAGGTAGAGCAAGTTAGGACCAGTGGGACAAATTTTGGACTACGGAGAAAGCAGGGCCCATGGATCAATTTTCTCCCCTTCCTTACCTGGAAGGAATGATTCCGAGTGCAGTATGTGCTTCTCAGGGGCAGGGTCCTGAGGATGAACCAATCACTCCCACTTAACACTCAGCTCAGTAACATCATCGCATTGCCCTCCTTCCTTCCCTGGTTCACTCCCCTACTCCTCCCTCCAACCCTCTAGGACTGCACTCCCTAACAGAATCACAGCACAGATGCCTCTGTTTCCATTTCTGTTTTCTGTGGAAGCCAGGTTAAGATCGTTGGTACCAGGAGTGGCGCTAAAGAGCATTATTCACCTGATGGCAATAAAAGCCCCATTGCTGGTGGTAAATCCCCATTAAAATTAATATCACCTGCTTTATCACCAGCACTCAACACCTAAGTGAGAAACAGAGGCCCTACTCTGAGAAGAAATAGCTTATATACCAAGAGAAGCAGCAAAGGCTAGGGTGTACTGTCAAGAACTGGGTAAGTGGCCAGGCACGGTGGCTCATACCTGTAATCTCAGCACTTTGGGAGGCTGAGGTTGGAGGATCACTTGAAGTCAGGAGTTCAAGACCAGCCTGGCCAACATGTTGAAACCCCGTCTCTACTAAATATACAAAAATTAGCTGGGCGTGGTGGTGCACACCTGTAATCCCAGCTACTCAGGAGGCTGAGGCAGGCGAATTGCTTGAATCCAAGAGGCAGAGGTTGCAGTGAGCCGAAATTGCACCACTGCACTCCAGCCTGGGTGACAGAGTGAGACTGTCTCAAAAAACAACTGCCCCCTCAGACAGGATAGTAAGTCTGAAGCAACACCATCATCTTGGAAAAACTGTAGAGATCAATGCCCCATAAGACCAAGGAGTTTTCCCCATCATAATCCCCACCACCACCATTTAATTCACCGTTCTGACCCCTGAAAAAAAAAAAAACAGATAAATCATGGTAGATGGTAGGGGACTACCAGGAACTTAACCTGACAGTAGTTCCAACTGCAGCTGCCTTGCTGAAACTGGTATCTACACAGGATCAACATGGCTCCAATCAGTATCTGATATTGATGCACACCAATAAGCAGCCACTGAGAGAAAGCTCACAACAAGCAGGTAGGTATTATGAGTTATTGGATTTCAGCCAGCCTGTCCCTTTGTTACCCCAATACTGGTTCCACTGACCCATGAACAGGACATTGTAGGAATGATGGAGGCTATGCATGAACAGAAGAGCTTTGGTTCTCACTCACAGGCAGAATTCATCACTGCCACTGTTGAAGACCTGATCTACCAGCAACAATGATCAATGCTAAAGCTTCTGATAAGGCACAATTCCTTGAGGAGAATATCTAGTCTCTAGTCTCCCAGTGACAGGCTAAAATCCTTTTACTCGAGAAGGAATAGCAATTAGTCCTTGCTGAAATTGACACCTACCTTAGATATACTCATGGGGAACTTCCTTGTCCCCCATACCTCTGCCTACTCTATCACTCAGGGGTTACAGAATGCCTTCTTCAGGCCGGGCGTGGTGGCTCACATCTGTAATCCCAGCACTATGGGAGGCCGAGGTGGGTGGACCACCTGAGGTCAGGTGTTCAAGACCAGCCTGACCAACATGGTGAAACCCCGTCTCTACTAAAAATATAAAAAATTAGCCAGGCATGGTGGTGAGCGCCTGTAATCCTAACTACTCAGGAGGCTAAGGTAGGAGAATCATTTGAACCCGGGAGGCAGAGGTTGCAGTAAGCCAAGTTCGTGCCACCACACTCCAGCCTGGGTGACAAAGTGAGAATCTGTCTAAAAAAAACAAAAAAGAATACCTTCTTCAGCAACATGGTATTTTGTACAACACTAACTCAGACTCAGGGACCCATTGCATGGTGAGAGAGGTACCAAAATGGACACATGACACTGTGACAACAATGTGACAGTGGGCACAGCAGTCACTGGTTTTACCAGGTACTCCATCACTCAGAAGAAGCCAGCCTCAAAGAACGATGGAATAGCCTATAAATAGCTCAGCTCAAGGACAATACTCTCTGGGTTTAAGAAACCAGTAGTCCATACATGGGACTGTGCTCCAAATACCTAGACTAGATACAGGAACCAACCCATTGAAGTAG
This sequence comes from Homo sapiens, assembly GCF_000001405.40. Classification (NCBI taxonomy): domain Eukaryota; kingdom Metazoa; phylum Chordata; class Mammalia; order Primates; family Hominidae; genus Homo; species Homo sapiens. The sequence goes on from NC_000008.11 coordinate 33,385,144, forward strand.
AACTGACTAATCTCACCCTCATTCCCAGTGACCCGCTTGCTTATTTTGTGGTTCTCATCCCTGCAACCCTAGGCTTTCCAGGTTCCTGGTTCCCGGGTGGTGGGGGAAGGGGCATTCTTTTCCATTAGGGGCACAGGAAGGTTCCCACTGAACTTGAATCTACAGAACTGTAACTGCTACCCAGTCACTTTGAATTCATTGTGCAAGCAGGAAAATGAAGAAATTATTGTACTGGTCGTGGTAATGGACTCATGAGGAGATGACATTCCCACTACACGGTAGAAGCAAACAGGGTCTGTCGAGGACGGGGCCATGATGAATGGGGGAAAGTGTAACTGCCATGAACACAGTCTCAGAGGGGCAAGGCAACCACAGGCTCCTAAGGGAAGAGGGTCTGGGTCACCCTATCAGGCAAGCAGCCAAGAATAGTCAAATCACTGGCCAAGAGTGAAGGAAGGCAGGGCGCAGTGGCTCACACCTGTAATCCTGGCACTTTGGGAGGCCAAGGCAGGTGGATTACTTGAGGTCAGGAGTTCGAGATCAGCCTGGCCAACATGGTGAAACCCCATCTGTACTAAAAATACAAAAAAATTAGCTGGGCATGGTGGCAGGTGCCTGTAATCCCAGCTTCTTAGGAGGCTGAGGCAGGAGAATCACTTTGGCTGAAAGAGGAAAATAAAAAATGAAACATACTTAAGTAGCTTACTTTACGTTGTGCCATATAGAACGAATCCTGTAAAATAAGTGCAAATGAAAACTGGTGGCTGGGCGCAGTGGCTGATGCCTGTAATCCCAGAGCTTTGGGAGGCCGAGGCCGGTGGATCACCTGAGGTCAGGAGTTCGAGATCAGCCTGGTCAACATGGCGGAAACTCTGTCTCTACTAAAAATACAAAAATTAGCCGGGTGTGGTGGCATGCGCTTGTAATCCCAGCTGCTCGGGAGGCTGAGGCACGAGAATCGCTTGAGCCTAGGAGGCAGAGGTTGCAGTGAGCCGAGATCACGCCACTACACTCCAGCCTGGACAACACAGCAAGGCTCCATCTCAAAAAAAAAAAAAAAAAAAAAAAAAAGTGGTCTAATACCTTTTCATTTACTTTCATAGAATGTTTTATTCTGCTTTTCAATAATAAGCACATTAGCATTTTGGAATTGGAACTACTTCATTAAAATGCAAGCAAAGCCTCCTAATCATCTTCGCTGACCACCTCTCTGGGAGGAATCAGAGCAGGCTGGAGAAAAGCCTACTCTCATTTTCCTCAATGAGTCCAGAGAGAAGGACATCCAATCATACTACCTTTGGGCATTCTGAAATGCCACATTCAGTTAGCTGTTTCTGTTAGAACTGCAGGAATGATCTCCTACATCTTTTCTAAAGCTATTTACCCGCTGGGCGCTGTGGCTCATGCCTGTAATCTCAGCACTTTGTGAGGCTGAGGCGGGAGGATCACGAGGTTGGGAGATCAAAACCATCCTGGCTAACACGATGAAACCCCGTCTCTACTAAAAATACAAAAAATTAGCCAGGCGTGGTGGCGGGTGCCTGTAGTCCCAGCTACTCGGGAGGCTGAAGCAGGAGAATGGCGTGAACCCGGGAGGTGGAGCTTGCAGTGAGCCGAGATCACGCCACCGCACTCCAGCCAGAGAGACAGAGGGAGATTCCGTCTCAAAAAAGAAAGCTATTTACCAACGCCAGCATACCCTCTCTTCCAGTTCGCAATAATTATCTCAATAGGGTTTTTGTGAGGTACAGAAGCAGTTAGGGTTTTTATATTTCAGTTTTCTGTGAATATAATCTTGAAGCCTTGAAATGGTCTTGAAACCTAGCCCAAGCAAATCATCACCCTCAGAAATTCTGTTTTCTACCTTGATATATTTTGAGAATAAATAATTGGTATAGCATGGGCAATTAATGTGGTCTCTACTCTCTCATGTTTTCACATGGGTGGGTGTGTGTGTGTTTGTGTGTGTGTGTGTGTATTTAATTTTTTGCTTATGGCCCTATAAATTAGATCATACAGGAAGCCATCAGAAATCAGGAAGCATTCTCTGAGAAGAATGATGTAATATTTAGTGTTCATGTTGTGGACCAAGACAGTCAGCATAAAATAAATGATTTTATGAGTTGAACAGTTATACAAAACAAGAAAGAAGAATTTAAATTTTAATAATTCTTAAAATCTTAAAAAATACATTTCAAATATTTTAAATTTGTCTACCATATACATAGTATCTGAGAGCCCCATATGGTATACATACAATACCTAAAGATAATTTCACACACTGTTTAGGTTTATGTTTGACCTAAAATTCATATAATAACCAAAGTAAACATGTAAATATTTAAGAAAAGTTGTTGGCCTTCGGAAAATTTAGATAAGGCCAGATGTGGTGGCTCACACCTGTAATCCCAGCACTTTGGGAGGCTGAGACAGGCAGATCACCTGAGGTCAGGAGTTCGAGACCAGCCTGGCCAACATGGTGAAACCCCGTCTCTACTAAAAATACAAAAATTAGTCAGGTGTGGTGACTTATGCCTGTAGTCCCAGCTACTCAGGATGCTGAGGCACAAGAATTGCTTGAACCTGGGAGGTGGAGGTTGCAGTGAGCTGAGATGGTGCCACTGCACTCCAGCCTGGGCAACAGAGTGAGACTCGGTCTCAAAAAAAAAGAAGAACAAGAAAATATTTAGATAAAACCTTACACATCTATGAGAGTCTGGCACAGCAATGATGGGTGATAGGCAAGTGCTATGAGTGGGCCACCTCATTGTGTAAAAATTTCAGGAGAAGTTGAAAGTAATCTTTTTCTTTCAACAAATTTCCTTTGAACAAATTAAGTTACACATAAAGTAGGTTCATTCCCATTATAAACAAATAAAGTAAGCAAACAAACACCAAGCACCATCTAGAAATTTGAAGACATTACTAAGAAGTTCATAACAATTTAAGAAAGTTTTTATAAGGATTATCCCCACCATTATTTCAGTAGTTTCTCTCTATATTAATAAGCACATGTTTGCCAGAAAGAGAAAGAGTAAATATTAGAGCAGCAAGCAAAATGAAAATGAGTTTGAAAGTGGAGGCTGTGGAGTGTCAGTGTGAGAGGTCTGGCAGAAATTATCATACTCCTTCGCCACGGCATTGATGGAGAGGCTAAAGGATTGACCATGTGGATAAGCAGAACTCTTTTTTTTTTTTTTTTTTTTTTTTTGAGACAGAGTCTCGCTCTGTCGCCCAGGCTGTAGTATTGTGGCATGATCTCGGCTCACTGCAACCTCTGCATCCTGGATTCCAGCAATTCTCCCACTTCAGCCTCTCGAGTAGCTGGGATTACAAGTGCATGTCACCATGCCGGGCTAATTTTTATATTTTTAGTAGAGATGGGGTTTTGCCATGTTGCCCAGGCTGGTCTCGAACCCCTGGGCTCAAGTGATCCACCCACCTCAACCTCCCAAAGTGCTCCAATTACAGGCGTGAGCCATCATGTGTGGCAAGAACTCTTAATTTTTTATGTTAGGGACTCTTCCCCTTTTCTGCAGTTTTCTGTGTCACTGCCCAGCACCTGCAGCACGGGATCCCCCAGAAGAAACAATAAAGGAGAATGAAGGCTTTCAGGAATGAAGGCCTGTCCAGGGCTTGTAAACTTTACGACAGTCCCAAAAGGTAGTAATGGAATATTCAACCTTCCTGCAAAGCCCGGTCTTTCTGATAGGAATGAAGAACACTGATGAGGTGGCAACAACAGAAGGAAATGCAGGAGAGCAGAGAACATCAAGATGGCCAGCCTGCTGGCTCTATGCCCACCTTTGATTTGCTTACCTTTTCCTGAAGCCTGATATTAGCCCACACCTTGGTGCACACCATACACTCAAATGCATCGATGTAATTGTCCTGGTTGACGTCTTGCACTCCCCATTTCCGTTCCCTGAGAGCTGTCAGAAGTCGCTGGTTAGAGATCTCACCCTTCAGCTTCCATTCTACATAGGCCTCATACAATCTGTCATCAGAATCCAGTCGTCTGATGTAACTTGCCAGTTCCCTGGGGTGAGAAAATTCTGATACAAGAATAGCACTTTTGTTACTTGGAAGCCAGTCTGTGATGCTGGGGGATCCGTAATATACAGGGACTACCCCCAGTTTCAGTGGCCTCCAGAACTTCTCAGTGATGTAGTCATCACAAACTGCATTCTCAAAAGCTAGGATAAACTTATACTGTGCAATGATCCTATAAAAGCCATCGGCATCCATAGAGGCTGGATTTTTCAGCTGCTGAGGGAGGTCTTTGTTTCGTAAACATTCACCATAGGAATCGACCTCGATGTAAGTCATCAGCTCGCGAACATAGCTGTCCCTGTCTGATGGTGGGTCACAGTCTGACTGTACATACACCAGCGGAGCAAGTCTTTTTCTAAGCTTGTTTTTGGACTGCAAAGGAACTAGGTATCGGAGTGACTTCAGGACTTCAATGCTCTCCAAGTATTGGGTAGTTAGTGGCAAGTGGGAATGCCTGCTGAACGTGGCAGTGTAGTTGAACAAGGTGATCACTGGTTTATGAAAGAGCTTATAATTGTTTTTCGGGGACTCTTCATGAAAAACAGCCCAGTCATGATGGGCTTTCCGAGGCAGAGGTAAGCTATCTATGTTAAAGTCAGTACCTAGGAGAAGAAAATGAGATATTAATTAGTATTTCCAAAAGATGTTGCTAAGTTTGGGTCTACCTGGTAAGATTAGAATACAGAGGAGTCTGAGGCTATGAATAAGAAGCATGTGGCCGGGCACGGTGGCTCACGCCTGTAATCCCAGCACTTTGGGAGGCCAAGGCAGGTGGATCACTTGAGGTCAGGAGTTCGAGACCAGCCTGGCCAACATGGTGAAACCCTGTCTCTGCTAAAAATACAAAAATTAGCTGGGCATGGTGGCACATTGCCTGTAATCCCAGCTACCTGGGAAGCTGAGGCAGGAGAATCACTTGAACCCGGGAGGTGAAGATTGAGCCACTGCACTCCAGCCTGGGTGACAGAGCAAGACTCTGTCTCAAAATATATGTGTGTGTGTGTGTCATACACACACACACACACACACATGAAGCATGTTACAGTGTCACTGCAAAGTGCCTGGCAGTCAGTCACAAAGCTTTCACCCCAGAAACTACTGAGGGAGAGGATCACCAAAGAGGGGGACTATCATTTCTCATTTTACGAAAAAGGAAACAGGAGTCGTGTCTGGCCAGGTTCTAAAGGAGAATTTATTCCACTGCCTCTTGCAATGGGCTTTTCTTCCTGAAAAGTGTTACCTACAAGTAAATAGGAGAAATAAAGAGATAAAGACAGTTCTTTAAAAAGAAAAGAGCAAGAGAAAGGAAGCCAAAAAAGGAAAGCAACCAGGTCAGCAGGTTGATTAACTGCAAAAAAAAAAAAAAAAAAAAGTGAAACCATGCAAAAGTAGCCAGAAGAAATGTAGAAGATAGATTTTTTTAATCCAAAATGATTGATTTCAGCAAAGTGCAGTTAATCAATCTTAGTCAAAATGGTAGACAAGAGGCTTTTAAAGACGAAAGAGCTGATAATAGCACTATGTTACAGACCACTGCAGGATGGACAGGAATTAACAAGCTCATGGAGAAATAAAGAAGGCCTAACAGGATTACAATTATGAGTGACCCTAGCATCCACGGGATTAATTGAAAAACCTCTGAAACATGATGATGTGCAGACAGAAGTGATGGATGTGGTAAGCGATTGTTTCCTGGCTGCATGGGTGGAGATCCAATCAGGGAGAACTTATTTCAATAACTGAGAAAGAAGAACTAAGACAATAACACAATAGGTAATATACAATTTCTGAAGTATTCTTGACATGGATAATTTTGTAGACCCTTGAGTTTTTTTAAAATAAATATAAGGAAACGGGAAAAAATTCATCTTCCAATACCCACTGGAAAAGAAAATACCGAATATATATTTATGCCAAAATAAAACTTTATCAACATTTTCTGGCAGAGCTCATAAAAATTAATTATTTAATGCCAGTGTACACTCCCACAAATAAAGATAAACTCTTCAGTGCCAACACTACATCAATGAGAAATCAATTAATCAAGAAAGGCTTTTAAACAAAGATCAGATAAGGTTATGTCACAGGACATATACTAAGCACAGAGAAATTGCTGAAGAAAGTGCCTCTGTTTTGATAGCAGGCTTTTATTCTCAATCTTTGGCAATGACGTACTAACGTAAAAATGGGCTTGTCCTTGTTTATTGGCATTTGCTATATTTGACCTTAGGCTTAAAAAAGAACACTCACCCATATACCTGAAATCTAATGGCATATAAAGTTGGATGGCTGGCAAAGGTTAATAATCATTAAGATAGAGAAACATGAGGATATGAAAGAGAATGTGAGAAGAAAGGCAAATGACTGCATTGAAGTACAACAGCTGCTGCTCAAAAAGGGTCTAAGCTGGCTGAGAGGCCAATGATAGGAACCAGAACCTATATAATTGAGTTAGAACACAAAGTTGCCACCTAAGGCATACAGAGAATCAAGGCCATTTGCCTGGGAGAGAAAGTACTAGAGTCCAGTCCACAGGAATCAGAAGCAGGGATTCAAGGTGTGAGATGAGAGATTAAAGAGGATATGATTAAAACAAAAGTGGGTCCAGAATTAACTGGGGGGATCAGGCACAGGGGATTTGAGTGAGTGACCCAAACACCAGTCACTGTCTGCTGCTACCTGCTAGGTGGCACATGGAAGATTCTTAACCTAGCTCAGCATGGGTGCACCTCAGCAAAGATACCAGATGCAGAGCTGGGAAGCAGAAAGACACAAAGCCTGCCTCAGGTGCATTCAGATGAATGCTCTCCTGCATTCATCTGAATTATGTTTAGTCTGCAGGGGTGCAGCTGCCTTTAATAGTGGGAGATGCTTATTAATAGAGAGGAAAGTTAAAGGGACCTAGCCTTCCAGAAATATTTCCCATGTTTGCTATCTATAAAAGCATTTCCTGGTAACTTCCCTGAGATACATCCACACAAAACACAACCACACATGCGTGCGCATGTGTGCAATCACGCTAATATAGGTTTTCTGTAAGATTGTCAGATGCTTTCAAACTAAACTTCTCTGGAGAAGATTGAAAATAGGTCATTTTGGCATGGCACAATGGCTCACACCTATAATCCCAGCACTTTGGGAGGCCGAGGCAGGCAGATTACTTGAGGTCAGGAGTTCGAGACCAGCCTGGCCAACATGGTGAAACCCCATCTCTACTAAAAATACAAAAATTAGCCAGGCATGGTGGCACATGGTAGTAGTAATCCCAGCTACTCGGGAGGCTGAGGCAGAAGAATTGCATGAACTGGGGACGCAGAGGTTGCAGTGAGCCAAGATCACATCACGATACTTCAGCCTGGGTGACAGAGCGAGACTCTGTCTCAAAAAGTAAAAATAAATAAAATAAATAAAAACACGTCATTTTGCCCTGCAAGCATCTCTCCTAAGCCTAGAGCTTCAGACGGTAAGTGCTGAAGAATACTGAAATTAGAACCATGACCAACCTGGCCAGGCATGGTGGCTCACACCTGTAATCCCAGCACGTTGTGGGGCTGAGGTGGGTGGATCACCTGAGGTCAGGAGTTCAAGACCAGCCTGGCCAACATGGTGAAACCCCGTTTCTACTAAAAATTCAAAAATTAGCTGGGCATGGTGGTGCATGCCTATAATCCCAGCTACTCAATGCTGAGAAGGAGAATCGCTTGAACCTGGGAGGCAGAGGTTTCAGTGACCCAAGATTGCACCACTGCATTCCCTCCTGGGCGACAGAGTGAGACTCTGTCTCAAAAACAAAACAAAACAAAACAAAAAAAGAACCATGACCAACCTAAACTACTTCACTGGGGATATCATGGCCTAGAACATAAGTGTCAATATTGAACAATTTCTAAAAGGTATTGGATGTGGCTCAGAAAAAAACTGAGTTATTTAGCTCTCCCCAACTCCATCGCAATGCCTACTGTAACAAGAGTTGGAACTGGAGTCTATAGAGGAATGAAAATCAATTAACCTATGGTATATCCATAAAAATGTGACTAACGTATGTGCAATTGGCTCACTAGTTTTCTAGTCATGTTCACTGCTCTTACATTTAACAATTTCAGATTCAAACTTTCATTCCTCTGGGTTATTTTGTGTTTACTGAATTCTGACAAACGTATTCGTTCCTTTAAACAACAGCTAAATAGATCTTTGGCACTAATGTGCACTGTAAAGGGAATTGCAACTTGGAATACAAATGGAATAAAACGAATGCTGGCAAAGGGTGGCAGATTGCTGACTATGGAGACTAGATCTGAAACAGCAGAGGAGCCTGAGAGTGACATACTTTATGGGACATGTTTATATGCCCCTCTCCTTCTGCAGGAGCATGGCCTCTTCTTTCATTACTCCCATACAAACTGGTGAAAACAGAAGGCAACATACATTATTAACCTCACTTTACTAATGCAGTGTGAATCACTCATCTAGAGCTGAAAATCCCGGGTGGGGACAAGAACGTCTGACCAGCAAATAGGAAAGGACCAGAGGGACGACAGGCCCTGCTGCAATGTTGATTCCATGGAATGACATTCTTGGTACTTGCAATTACACCCACAGAAATGTTAGCCAGCTTTAGCACACGAATGATGTGGAAAGCCCAGCCTGCCTTAATTTGGAAAAGAGAAGTGCTTCTGCAGAATGCTCTCCAAAGGTAATCTGTTTTAAAAAATAATCTCTACCATAAAACTGTTGTGTCCTTTTGGGAGACTGAGGCAGGAGGATTGCTTGAGCCCAGGAGTTCAAGGCCAACCTGGGCAACATAGTGAGACCCTGTCCACAAGAAATGTTTTTAAAAAATTAGCTGGATGTGATGGTGCACACCTATAGTCCCAGATATTCAGGAGGCTGAGGTAGGAGGATCGCTTGAGCCCAAGAGGTTGAGGCTGCAGTGCACCGTGATCACGCCACTGCACTCCAGCCTGGGTGACAGAGTGAGATCTTGTCTCAAAAAAATATAAATAAAATAAAATAAAAATTACCATCATTTTCTGCCAAAGGTGGTGATTCTTCTTGGGACCTGGCATGAGGTAAAAAGGGGGAAAGAGATGACTCTCCCTTGCTTGCTAACTGACCCTCACCTAATCCCTCAAACCTTCCCATCCATCCACTCAGGACCCCCACAAGTGAACCACTCATTTCCTCTTCTTCTTTGGAGTGAGGGTGGAAGTTCACTCAAATCCTGTTCGAAGTCTTACCCCTCTTTACCCACAATGTCCAGACTGACTCCAGATCACATAAGGACCTGCCACTTAGCAACACTGCCCCAGATCTGAGTAGCCCCTTAATCTTTCACATGCTGAACCAACACTGTAAGCCAGTGATAAAGTTGTTTTTCACATTTATATTTTTCGTGGAATGATTTCAAATATACCAATGCCAATTTCCTATAAGAAACAAAACATGATATACATGAAAGGTTTTGCTCTTAAAAATTAAAAAAAAAAAAAACATCTCCACCTTAATGGGTCAATGTGCCAATGCTCATATAAATCCATCTCTAAAGCACAGAATTTAAAGCAGAGACTTCCTTTCTGGTGGAGAAAAATTTCTTCCAGATACACCAATGTCCCCCAACACACCTGCCTTTCGGATTTAAAACACTAGCCTTATTAGTACAACAGTCTTTAGCCCAAGATTACAGTACTCTCAGCCAAACCCAGGTTCATAAAGAGCACAGAGTCAGCTTAGTACTTTTTTTCTAAGAGGAGGCTGCATGAGTCATTGGCTTGTCAGTTGCTCAGCTCCATGTCCAACCTTCTATGCTATGCTCCTTATTGTATGGGGCTGAAACTCTGCAAACTTCATTCCTCAGGCTCCCTGGACAACTGGCTTGCAATTAGGTTTTACAACTAGGAGCACTGTAAGAAGACTGAAGGTGGGAATGATACAGACAGGAGGCAGGGAAATACTGGGTAGAAGAGGGTGGGGTCCCTGGCAAGGGTTCTACCCTCAAGCCTGGACCCTCGGCCCTAAATGAGAAATTTACATCCCCACTTTCCTGCCCAAATGTTGCCTTTTGGCCTGCCCCACCACCTATCCTGTGCCCATAAAAACCCCAAGCTCCACTGGCAGAGGAGCAGAGCGGTGTGGCAGAAAAGCAGAAGAGAAGGAGCATCTGAACATGGAGAGGAGAAGAGGCAGCTGGACATCAGAGATTATAGTCAGAGAGGAGTTCGGCCAGGGACGATTGGAGAGGAGTTTGGCCAGGGACAGTTAGAGAGGAGTTTGGCCATCCCCGGCCAAACTCCAGGGGAAGATCATCTTTCCGCTCTATCCCCTTTCCAGCTCCCCATCCCACTGAGAGCCACTTCCACCACTCAATAAAATCTCCACATTCACCATCCTTCAAGTCAGTTTGACCTCATTCCTCTTGGGCACTGGATAAGGACCTGAGCGTAGGTTCAAGAGGCTGTCAAACTGACTCTCCACTGAGCTGTTTAACACTTAGCCATCCACGGACGACAAGTGCTAAAAGAGCACTGATTGTAACACATGCCCTCTGGGGCTTCAGAGGTCACAGGCAACCCCTAGACACTGCCGTGGGCTGGTATGCGGTTTGTTCCTGCTGGCGCCCAAAAGCACTTGCCCAGGCTCCTGCACCCACTCACCTGCGTGCTCCCCTTCCTGCAAGGGGTTTGAGCATGGAGGCCAAGTAAACAAGTAAACAAGTCATCCCTGTCGCAAGGCCCACAAGGAAGTCACGGGAACTATCCTGTCTCAGAAGGAAGAGAGAAGGAAACTCTTCCAATTCTCATGTAGCAGAGCAAGCATTAGCACTCCTGACTGTGATAAGATCAGCTGTAGCATCAAGGAGTAGTGGCAGTGGTGACATGAGCTAAGCAGACAGTGGTGATAGCGATAGTAGCAGTGACAATAACCTGGGAGTGCTGGCTAGAGAGTTCTTGCCCGGTTAACTCACCCCCAACAGTAGAGCCTCAGAGACCCACTGGCCCTCACTCTGGGCAATGCTACCCTTCCTGTGCCTCTCCAGTCGAAGCGTAGCAGGGATTTCCTGCAGTTATTCATTCTGTATAACCTTCTCTTTCTGTATTTTGCTCCACCAGCCCTTCAGCCCCTTTGTAACCAATTCTTGTAATACATTCCCACTGTTTGAAATACCTAGAATAATTTGTTTTCCTATCAGAATATGATTAATACAGAGGTCCATTTCAAAAGCTTGGAACTTCCATCCGATCAACTGATTATTCCAAGTTCTGTTGCAAGTTTTCTCTTGCTGTCTTGCTCCTTGATTTTTCTAAAAATACTATGTTTCTTGGTTCTAACCCCTTGTTATCACCATCCTAGGCTTCTATTTTCCCTTCTCTTCATCCATCTGGTGATAATGTAAAAGAAAAATGCAAGCCTTTTATTTAAGAAGGAAAAATTGAAAATCAGAAGATGAGACTCCTTTTAAGAAAGAAACCATCAAAATACTTGAAACCAAAAACACACTCCCCATTCAGGTACTGTGCTGTAAATTCCTTCTCTGAGCTAAGAATTAAAATATACAGAATACTGAGACCCAGGTAACCACAAAGAATAATCAGGTTGGGGTGAAGGTCTCCAGTTACGTTGTTTGACTACATTCTAATTTTATCACAAATGACAAATCCTCTCCACTGTGTTCTTGACACTTAATTAAACAGAGATAAAGACTTTCTTTTTGCTAAAAGATTTTACTACAGAGCCTTTTACCCATCTGAAGGGAAAACTAAGGCCAAAAAAATGTTAAAGCTCATGAAACAATTGGCAAAATATGACTATTGTAGGAATAGCAATAGTTCATAAATTACAACTATTGTTAATCACCTCAGCTGTAACTAAACTTGCAGTGACCTGAGTTTTTTCTCATTTTCTGCTTTGGATTAAATCGTTTGTTTCACAAAACTCAAACAACTTCTAGTGTTTGAGATAACTATGAATAGTGCTACTTCCCTATTAGAACTCCCCAGAATAAGCTTAAAGCAAATTAAAGTACTTCTGACAACTTCAATATCCAAGCACGAAACAAAATTCAGTTTCTTTCAATAATAAGAAAAAGTGAGAATTAGGTGTTGGGAAGAGGAGAGGTTTTGGGAAGAGCATTGTCCAGAGTGTGGGTCCGTGGGTCTCTGAGGCTCCGCTCTTGGGGGTGAGTTAACCGGGCAAGAACTCTCTAGCCAGCACTCCCAGGTTATTGTCATTGCCACTATCGCTGTCACCACTGTCTGCCCAGCTCATGTCACCACTGCTGCTACTCCTTGATGCTACAGCTGATCTTATCACTGAAAACAGAGGAGGAGCAACAGTTTAAGGCACTGCCCTTCACTCAGGGAAACAGGGGCTGAGACGGCCTTAAGGGGTTGGCAAAGTCAGTTCGGAGTCCCAGAATGTTCTGCAGAACTCTGACATGAAACTTTCATGATGAGGCTATATAACTCTGTAGAGGGTTTGTTGCTACCTCTTATTCTTAGTTATTAAAGACCACATACAGATGTATCACACTCTGGTTAGTTGGTTAGTTACTAAAACTGGATTGACTGATTGATTGATTGGGACACGTTCCTCACTATGTTCCCCAGGGTGCTCTCAACCTCCTGAGCTCAAGTGATGCCTCCCACCTTAACCTCCTAAAGTGCTTTCTATTGCAGTCAACATATCTGGAGACAGAAGACATTACTAACTCAGAGAAGCATAGGCATTTCTAAAAAGCAAGGTTTTACTGAGTCCTATTATTTGAAAAGCATTAAGCTGAGAATTCTGGGACTTCAAAGATAAACAAAATAAGCCCCAAGGGATATTATGATTATGAATGTAAATGTTAAACCATTAGCCAATATTCAATCTAGACTAACAAAAATGCAAATGGCCATGGTGGGAGAAAGGAGTAATTATTTCTGACTGGTCAAAGAGTTTGGGGCTGAATTACTGATAAGTACACAGAAAACCCAGCAATTAAGAAAATTAAGACACAATTACCCAATTATTATTTTTTTGTTTTGTTTTTCAATTTTTAATCATCAACATTGTCAAGCTTAGAGAAAAGTTAACTGTACAGTACAATTAACATGGAACACCCACCGTTCAGATTCAAAAATTATTAAAACTGTCGTATTTTCATGTAGCATGTTAACACTGTTTTTAAACACAGATGACTAGTCAAATCCCCCACCTCCTGCTGGGATCCACACTGAATCGTTTGTGTATTTCCAGTGATAGGAAACTCATTATCTCCTAATACATCAAAACAAATAATAATCACATTTTCTCTTACACTGAGCGAAAATCTGCCTTTCTTGCATTTCTAGCCATTTATTCTATTTCTGCTTTTTGGAAATACATGGTCAAGATCTTTTCCTCTTCCCAGGGAGAAGAGCAGAAAAAATAACTATTGAGTACTGGGCTTAGTACCTGAGTGACAAAATAATCTGTACAACAACCCCCTGTGACACAAATTTACCTATATAACAAACCTGCACATGTACCCCGGAACCTAAAATAAAAGTTAAAATAAAAAGATCTTTTCCTCCTTCCCTAAGCTCCCTTTCATAACACTGAAGACGATCTCAGATATAGATCTCATCTGTATTTTCTTCTCTTGTAAATTGAGTACAAAGGAAAAGATAAGGATGATGTGAGGAGGTAGGGTAGGGCTATGGGCCTTCTTATGGGCCGGCATTTTTTTCCACAAATTTTGATTTGTAATATTTTCATTTTCATTCAGTTTGAGGTTTCTCAAATTTCAGTTTTGCTATCTTTAAACCATGGGATGTTGTGAAGTATGTCTAATTTTCCAAAAGAAGGGCTTTTTCTAGTTTTGTTGTTGTTGTTGTTGTTTCTATCTTATTTGCATTGTAGTTGGAGAACATAATCTGTATATTGCAAATCTTTGAAATTTATTTAGATTTACTTTAATGCCAGCATATAGCCATTTTCTTTTAATGTTCCCTCAATACTTAAAAAGGCTATGTATTCTGTACTGTGCTCTATACATGTCAATTAGTTCAAAGGTTTTAATCACATTTTCTATTCATTTCTGAAAACAAGTACTTATTCTTTCAATTACTAGGAGAAGTGTGTTAAAATCTTACTGCACAATTATCCAATTATTAACTCAGGGCAAAAAAGAAAAGTAATCCTTGTGCTCTCTGGTTCACCTATGAATATTATTTACATAGTCATAATAATGTAAAGAGGGAATATTGATCCATCAAACATGATAATATAACTGTAAGTGGACGGGGGATATAGGAAGGATGAGTGTGTATGTGTTGAACAGGAGAGGGTAAAAGAGTGATTCCTCATCTTCCAAGACAGGGAGTCAATGATAATGCTTAATAGCAAAAAATCATGAAATACTAATATCAGCATGTTATTCAGAGATCTGATGATAACAACCAAGAGTCAGAAAAAACTATTGAAAGTAGTCATCTTTTATTTATTTGTTTTTTTTTTGAGATGGAGTCTCACTGTATTGCCCAGGCTGGAATGCAGAGGCACAATCTCAGCTCACTGCAACCTCCCCTACTGGGTTCAAGCACTCCTCCCACCTCAGCCTCCCCAGTAACTGGGACTACAGACGTGCACCACCACGCCCGGCTAATTTTTGTATTTTTTGTAGAGACGGGGTTTCACCATGTTCGTCAGGCTGGTCTCGAACTCCTGACCTCAGGCGATCCGCCCATCTCGGCCTCCCAAAGTGCTGGGATTACAGGCGTGAGCCACTGAGCCCAGCCTAAAAGTAGTAATCTGAGAAGATACCCATTTGCTATTGAAATGTGGAGCATATATAGCTTTGATAAAAATAAAAGTAAAGTGAACAAAAGATTATATGGGAAAAGTAAGTCTTCTTCCCCACACCCCAGCCATCTAGGTCCCTTCCCTTTATTAAAGTTCCCTTTGTTAAGTTCATTAAAAAAAAAAAAAAAAAAGATGGTGGGGGGGTGGGGAGGGGCCAGGCGTGGTGGCTCACGCCTGTAATCCCAGCACTTTGGGATACTGAGGCAGGCAGATCACCTGAGGCCAGGAATTCGAGACCAGCCTGGCCAAGATGGTGAAACTCTGTCTCTACTAAAAACAGAAAAACTTCATTTCGTGTAGTGGTACACACCTGTAATCCCAGCTACTCGGGAAGCTGAGGCACAAGAATCACTTGAACCCGGAAGGCAGAGGTTGCAGTGAGGCAAGATCGCTCCACTGCACTCCAGCCTGGGTGACAAAGTGAAAATCTGTCTTCAAAAAATAAATAAATAAATAAAAATAAAATATAAAATAAATGGAGGGGTGGATAGACGGATGAAGGAAGGAATGCGGGATAAAGGAAGAAAGGAAGGGAGGGAGGGAAAGTATATCCAATTAAACTATGATACAAGGCTTTCTTATACCTAGACTTTGTATTTATAGTTAGTGAAAGAGCTCTTTTAAATTTACTTATAGATTTTTATTATTTATCACTCTTGTGAATACTTAGAAAAAAATATAAGTTAAATTGGTTTAAGTATCAAAACTTCTTCAGAGTCTCTTTTGAATCACTTTTTGATCTTTGATGTCTGTGTATTTCTGTACAATATTTTGCTTGTTAACATTAAGACCGTAAGCAACACAGCATTGCTTAAAAGAGTGCTCTACTATGACCTCTGAGATTTGCCTCCAAGCTACTGACATCGCCACGTTTTAATGTTGATGCTTTCTTAATATTACCAAAGTTGCCAAAGAAAGTTTTCAGACACCAACTAGACTCATATTCTTTTTGTTCTGTTTTTTTGTTTTGTTTTGTTTTTTGAGTTGGAATCTCACTTTGTCGCCCAAGCTGGAGTACAGTGGCATGATCTCAGCTCACTGCAAAACCTCTGCCTCCTGGGTTCAAGTGATTCTCCTGCCTCAGCCACTCGAGTAGCTGGGATTACAGGTGCATGCCACCATGCCCGGCTAATTTTTGTATTTTTACTAGAGACAGGGTTTCACTTTGTTGTCCAGGCGGCTGGTCTCAAACTCCTGACCTCAGGTGATCCGCCCACCTCAGCCTCCCAAAGTGCTGGGATCACAGGCATGAGCCACTGTGCCTGGCCTAGACTCATATTCTCTTGTCAAATGGTCATTAAATGGTGTGTTGATGGAAGCATCAAAGGGCTGTAGTTGCCCCATCATTCCAGGTAGAAGAGCAACCCAGTTCATGTCCATGCAGGCATTCATACTACACCACTGCCGCTGCCCAGCTGACACAGACAGGCAGGAGGCTATCAATTGCAAAATACATGTCGATTTCAGAGACATTCAAATTTAAAAAGAAAATAAATATTTTTATAATTAAGGAAAATCTTTTCACATACGTGAAAACATATATACCGTTAGAAACCTGGTATTATCCATGTAACTACCATGGAAATACTTCAGTATTGGTACATATAAAGCTACCCTATTTTCAAGAATGATCACATGGTATTATTTCATTGTGTATATGCAGTCAGTCCAATATTCTCCCAATTATTCCACTTTGTGGTGCAAAATGCAAATTATGAAAAGTGGGTTAAGGCCAGGCACGGTGGCTCACCTGTAATCCACACACTTTGGGAGGCTGAGGCGGGTGAATCACTTGAGGTCAGGAGTTTGAGACCAGCCTGGCCAACATGGCGAAACGCTGTCTCTACTAAAAATACAAAAATAAGCCGGGTGTGGTGGCACACGTCTGTAGTCCCAGCTACTCAGAGGCTGAGACACAAGAATTGCTTGAACCCAAGAGGCAGAGGTTCAGTGAGCCGAGATCACGCCACCGCACTCCAGCCTGGGTGACAGAACGAGATCCTGTCTCCAAAAAAAAAAGAAAAAGAAAAGTGGGTTAAGAAGCAGCTATTTTTCTAAGTTAGGTGCATTATATCCTAAGGCACTCAGTAATTGCTGATATCTTCAAAAGCAACTAGAATTTCAGAGCATATTGTCCATGTGTCTGCCCCAGACCCTTGGCTGGAGGGACATTTTACAGAAGTCAATAGTGAATATAGCAATCAATCTCCAAATTAATTAAATCAAAGGCTTATTCTCTGAAACTAATGATCAAGATACCAACCGAATGCTTTTTTTGAAAGCAAGTCTATCTACCAGGTAGATATGGAAACTGCCAAATCATTTTACTCCACTTAGCCTTTGTGATACATTTGACCTCAGTTAGAAGCTATGACCTGGAGAAATAAACTCTTTATTCTCAAAACCTGCAGTGTTCCACTCCATTTAATCTTCTTAGAGTCTCTCTCTACCCAAGAGGGAAACAGCACAGAACAAAGCACTGTCCTCCAAAGTTAACCATGTCTAGGATACCCCTACCTTGATTTTCTAATATACATGTCTCATCACTGAAACAGCAAAAAACTTGGTCCAGGATTTTTGGTCCACATTAAGAATCCCGAGTAATACAATGTATAAATTGTATTTTATATGCCCAGGTCTAATACTGTAAACAAATAAGATGCAACTCTCCGATGGCAGTAAAAAAAGAATGAGACAGTAAAAGCATAAAGCAAAGGACATAAATATTTTCCAATAATTTTTCTTTTATTTAAATTATTGGCCAGATTCGGTGGCTCATGCCTGTAATCCTAGCACTTTGGGAGGTTAAGGCAGGAAGGTCACTTAAGCCCAGGAGTTTGAGATCAGCCTGGGCAACATAGGGAGACCTGTCTCTATAAACAATTTTTTAAAAATCAGCCAGGTGCGGTGGTGTGTACCTATAGTCCCAGCTACTCAGGAGGCTGTGGTGGAAGAATCACTTAAGCCCAGGAGGCAGAGGTTACAGTGAGCCGAGATCGCACCCCTGCACTCCAGCCCGGGTGACAAAGTGAAACCGTGTCTCAAAAAAAAAAAATTGTTTTCATCAAATTTTTACTAATAATATATACTCAATAACGAGAAATTCTATTGAGCTCAAATACATAAAAGAAGGAAAGGGGGTAGAAAGAAAGAGGAAAAAAGAGGAGAAGAATCATCACCCGTATTCCCAAAGAAAAGCAATGCTCATCATCAGGATTTTTTTCCATATGTGTGCATGTTTGTATGGTGTGTGCGTGTGTGTGTGTGTGTGTATGAGAGACAGTGTGTGGACTGTGTGTGTATGGGACTGAGTAAGAAAATACTGATTTCAGCTCACTACTGATGAGTAGTGAAGTCTCTCATTACTGATTAGTAGTGAAGTCACTACTGATATGTCTTGAGAAAAAGAAGTTATTGGCTGGCTGTAGTGGCTCACACCTGTAATCCCAGTACTTTGGGAGGCCGAGGCAGGAGAATCATTTGAGGCCAGAAGTTCAAGACCAGCCTGGGCAACAGAGTGAGACCCTGTCTCTACAAAAAAATTTTTGAAGTTAGCCAGGTGTGGCAGTGCATGCCTGTAGACCCAGCTACTAGGGAGAGAGTGTGAGGTGGGATGATGGCTTGAGCCCAAGAGTTCAAGGCTGCAGTGAGCAATGACTATACCACCGCATCCCAGCCTGCGTGGGAGAGTGAGAGCCTGTCTTTTAAAAAATTTTTTAAATAAAAAATAAATTTATAATGGGTTAATTTTATATTATTTATATCTAAAGTAAGACGAACTCTGTCCCAAAACACCCTATCCTGTAGAGACTGGGGTTCAAAGAAGGAACAGAATGGACCCCAAAATAAGAGGTGAAAATCCCCACGTACACTCCAGTCATGCCAAGGGCAGCCTGACAGGCAAGGCTTCTTGCTTCCTGTCTCAACTTATCCCTGTCCTGCAAAGCTGTGGCAGGACACATCTGCAGCTCAGCACAGCAGACAGGCACAGGAGCACAGGAACAAAAACACAACATGGGTAAGAAAATGAAGGTTCCAGGCCGGGCGCGGTAGCTCACACCTGTAATCCTAGCACTTTGGGAGGCCAAGGCAGGCAGATCACCCAAGGTCAGGAGTTTGAGACCAGTCTGGCCAACATGGCAAAACCCCGTCTTGACTAAAAATACAAAAATTACTCAGGTGTGGTGGTGCATGCCTGTAATCCCAGTTACTTGGGAGGCTGAGGCACAAGAATCACTTGAACCCGGGAAGCGGAGGCTGCAGTGAGCCAAGATCACACCACTGCACTCCAGCCTGGGTGACAGAGTAAGGCTCTGTCTCAAAAAAAAAAAAAAAGAAAAAGAAAAAGAAAATTCGGGTTCTCAGAGAGGAGTCTCATTATACAAAGTTTGGGAGTGTGGGATGTGCTTGGATAGGTGAGTTCACAAAGCTTTCAGCTGCTACGGGCTTCATACCACAACGTGGAAAGACTTCCCCACCATGTGGAGAAATGGCAGAGTAAAAGGACATCTTCAGTAACAAGTTGAACTGCTGAACAAAACAGGTCTGCCTGCCCCAGATTTCTGACTAATTTAATAAATAAATGCCTTTATTGCTAAGCCACTTTGGGTCAAGTTCTTGATGGATGCAGCCTAATGCATTTAAATGACAATGGCAGGTCTCATCACATTTGGAAAGTCTGCATACTGGTGTTAAAAAAAAAAAGAAAAGAAAAGAAAACTATTCCATTTAATAGCATCAAATATGAGAAAGTACCAAATGGGTACAATGTATGTTATTAAGGCGATGGAAAACCTAAAGCCCTGACTTGTATGTAACAAAACTACACTTGCGCCCCATAAATTTATACAAATAAAATTTAAAGTTTCATCACAACAACAACAAAAAAAGAAGCAGAGTTGTAGATGAGACCTTTCCTGCTCTTTTTTCTATACATGATAATTTGCTACTGCCAACAGGACTCTGGAAAGTGAATACTTTTGCAGGAAGAACTTTCCAAATTGCTCAAGTCTTCATGTTGCTCCCTATCCAGTGATCTCGTGGCTTTTTGTATGGATCTGAACTATAATATTGATCATACTCAACTGTAGTTATGTGTGCACCTGTTTAGCTCCCCACCAGACCAGAAGCCCTCCTATCATCCATGTCTCTTTCATCTTGGCCCACAAAATTCTCCTTGGCAGGAGAATCACTTGAACCCGGGAGGCAGAGGTTGCAGTGAGCCGAGATTGTGCCACTGCACTCCAGCCTGGACAACAGAGCAAGACTCCGTCTCAAAAAAAAAAGGAAAAATAGGTGAAGCAAATTGATCACAAAACCACTACATCGTCTTAAGAACTTTCTCCTGCCTCATTTACTCAGACAAGTATGGCAGTTTTAATTACTTACGATGGTAGACTAGTAAGTGGCACTACCACCTCATTAAAAAATGATGAAGCTTAGCAACACTTTGGCATTCAGTTATTCTTTACAAAAAAAAAAATAGTCGATGATTCAAGAAATTAGTGAGTTGTAAAAATGGGAATGAAATATTAAGGAAATACTAAAGAACTCAACTTTTAACCTGACCTTTGGTATGAAAGAGATCTTTTAGTTGCAGGTAATTTCTTGATTATTCCAAGCTGATCACATTTTAATTAGTGTTTATTATATAGAAACATCTTATCAGTCAGTCATGGGGAAACACTCAGATTCATTCTAACTCAGAGCTCGTGTGAAGTCTATTAAATTATAACTGCCAAATAAATCAACAAGCCAAGTGTCCTAAGCTTTTCTGAGAAGTTTTATACCAATCAAATGTATAAGTAAATAATAAATAAAATTTTGTTAAAAGCAGAGCAAAGTCCCAGTTTGTGATTTGAGCTTACAAAATTTAATTAACTATGTTTACTTTGTTTCCAATTTTTCCCATTAAAAAAGTTCAAACTTGGAGGGAAAACTGGTATAGCTTTTTCAGAGACCAAGTTAGTAGTACGTAGTAAATTTTTAATTTAATTCACCCATTAACACAGCAACTCAAATTTCTAGATATTAGATAGAGAAATAATCGCACATATGAGGAGAGACAGATAAATATGTTCATAGTAACACAACAAAAAACAGAAGTAGCCTTAAAAAACTATTGACAGCAGAATGGTTAAATAATTTTAGTTATAGCCATACTATAGAATCAACATAGCTTTAAAAATAATGAAGTCAATAGATATATTCTAACATGAAAAAAAAAATCTTCAAAATCCACTTAAATGGAAAAACAAATATATATCTATGGTATGATTCAGTTAAAAAAATACATAAAATTACAGGCTGAATTCAATTGTACATAAAAATTCTGGAAGGATAGCCCTTAATCTGACTGGCATAGGGCTTGACATGGTAAAGACTGATTTTCATTTACCATGAAGTATACCATTTACTAGTATACTTCTTTTTTATTTTTTGAGACAGGGTCTCACTCCACCCAGGCTGGAGTGCAGTGGCAAGATCACGGCTCACTGCAGCCTTGACCTCCCAGGCTCAAGCAATCCTCCTGCCTCAGCCTCCAGAGTTGGGACCACAGGTGCACTATCACGCCTGGCTAATTTTTAATTTTTTTTTTAGAGAAGGGTGTGTCACCATGTTGCCCAGGCTGGTTTTGAACTCCTGCGCTCAAACAATCCTGCCTCAGCCTCCCAAGTACCTGGAACTGCAGGTATGCACCACCACATCCAGCTAATTTTTATTTTTTGTAGAGACAGAGGTCTTGCCATGTTACCCAGGCTGAGGGCAAACTCCTGGGTTCAAGCAATCCTCCCATCTCAGCTCGCCAAAGTGATTACAGGCATGAGCCACTGTCCCTGGCCCCTAGTAGACTTCTTTTTGTTTAAATTTTGACATAGTGATACGTTCATTCATTCTGCATGTAATTTTTAAAAATCAAAAAACTAACAAGAAGAACAAAGGCATTTCTTTGAAGTCAAGCATAAAAAGGCCTCACAAACCTTGTATAATATGTAAAAGTTCACAGATAAACTTCAAAACCATCACATCATCCCCCATGATACTTAGGAAATACTGCCCTTGGAATCCTACCTGCTTATAAGAGGATGATATTTCAAAATTTATATGGAAAATTATGTGGCACAGTAAAATGCCAGAGATTTCATCTACCCCAAAAGGAAAGCTGGCAGATATTTTATCTGAACATCAACAGAAGAACGTGTTCTGCTAACATCCAGCTAATGAATTATTTCAGCTATAAATGGGAGATTAGGACACATCGTCTGAGAGGCCCTGATAGAACAATGCCTTCTAATTCAGCTGAAAAACTGGCTGGATTTGAAAAATTAAACTGACTTCAAAGTAATCAAGCTGGAGTCCATCAAATCAAGCAACTCGAAATCATAATAATTATTAATTTGTTAATCTTAGTGCTTTCAAATACATACTTCACAATCTTCATTACATTTAAGAGCATTAAATGCTGGTGATGTTAAATCTCTTAAAGTAATATTTTGGAAGGTAGAAAAGTAATAAAACATAATATGGCCTTAATAAAATAGAAAACCAAATTATAGAGAATGTTAAAAAAAATTTTTTATCTCAGTTGAAATCAGGTAAGTAATGCAAGCCTTCAGCAAACCCTCCAGCTGGATTTAGTTTCCACAGGGACTCTCCCAAAGTTGGGTCCTTTGTAGCTGAGAGCCTTAAGTTAAAGAAACATAAGGCAGGTGCAGTGGCTCACGCCTGTAATCCCAGCACTTTGGGAGGCCGAGGCAGGCAGATCACCTGAGGTCAGGAGTTTGAGACCAGCCTGGGCAACATGGTGAAACCCTGTCTCTACTAAAAATACAAAAATTAGCCAGGCATGGTGGCACACATCTGTAGTCACAGCTACTCGGGATCGGCCTGAACCTAGGAGGTGGAGGTTGCAGGGAGCCGAGATGGCACCACTGCACTCCATCCTGGGCAACAGAGCGAGACTCCATCTCAAAAAAAAAAAAAAAAAAGAAAAGAAAAGAAAGAAAGAAAAAAACATAAAATCCGGCAGGGAACAATGGCTCACACCTCTAATCCCAGTACTTTGGGAGGCTAAGGTGGGAGGATCACTTGAGGTCAGGAGTTTGAGACCACCCTGGGCAATATAGCAAGACTCTATCTCTACAAAAAAAATGTAAAAATTATTTGGGGGTGGTGGTGCATGCCTGTAGTCCCAGCTACTTGGAGGCTGAAGCAGGGGATCACTTGAGCAAAGGAATTCAAGGTTGCAGTGAGCTATGATCACACCAACGCACTCCAGAGAGACTCTGTCTCTTAAAAAAAAAAAAAAAAGTTTCTACCCTGGTGTCTAATGTTCTTTATGGTACTTCCTAGAGGAGGACAGGTAACCAATCTGTCTCAATTTGCCTGGGACCTGTCAAGTTTACCACTGAAAAATCTCATATCAAGGAAATTCCCTGAATCCTAGGCAACTCAGGACAGTTAGTCATTTCCTGGGCACACTCCTATCAAAGAAGAAAAATGTTCAGGACCTTCAATTGCCTCAGCATGGGCACAAGAAGCATGCAATGATGCTCAGCCTGGTCTTATTCCATGTCATATAAGTGTGCAACAAAGGCTGGAAATCTCTTGATTTTAGTCTCCTGATTGGAAAATAGAGGAACCTCAGAAACATGCTGTGAAAAAGATGCCAGACAAAAAAGAGAACATAGTGTGCAATTCAATTTATATGACTTCTCTAAACTGGCAAAACTAACCTGCAGTGACAGAAATCAGGTCAGTGTTTTTTGGGGGTGGAGAGTTGGGGGTAAACTTACAGAGGGGAACCAGGGAACTTTCTGGAGTAAAGGAAAGGTTCTATATCTTAATTGGGATGGTGATTACATGATACACTTGTCAGAACTCACCAACTGCACACTTAAAATGTGTGCATTTTAAGTAAACTTAACCTTTAAAGTGTTGGTTTTAAAAAGAGATGTGAGATCCTCCATCACAAAAAAAGATTCAGGACAGATTAAGCAATATCTTTTAGGGATGTCGTTGGTGGGATTTCTGAGTTAGATATAGGCTAGAGGCATATCAAAGATCTATGGTCATTTTCTTTATTTTTATTTATTTATTTTTGAGACAGAGTTTTGCTTTTATTGCCCAGGCTGGTGTGTAGTGTCACAATCTCGGCTCACTGCAACCTCTGACTCCCGGATTCAAGCAATTCTCCTGCCTCAGCCTCCCAAGTAGCTGGGATTACAGGCATGCACCACCATGCCCATCTAGTTTTTGTATTTTTAGTGGAGACGGGGTTTCGCCATGTTGGCCAGGCTTGTCTCGAACCCCTGACCTCACGTGATCCACCCGCCTTGGCCTCCCAAAGTGCTAGGATTACAGGCATGAGCCACTGCACCCGGCCTGATCTGTGGTCATTTTCAACTCTCATTTATAGGATTCTAAAAGGGCACTACATTACTCCACTCCCTTATCTAAAATAAATTTAAAATTCATCGGAATTTGTCCAGTCCTCCATCACTGGAAAATGTACAGATTCCTTCTCTGGAAATATCTAAAGAAAAGTACAGCTAATGTTCCCCCATTTCGTGTTGTTTTGTTGCTGCTTTAACTATGAACTCATCTGGCCGGGCGCAGTGACTCACGCCTATAATCCCAGCACTTTGGGAAGCCAAGGTAGGTAGATCACGAGGTCAAGAGACTGAGACCATCCTGGCTAACACGGTGAAACCCCGTCTCTACTAAAAATACAAAAAATTAGCCGGGCGTGGTGGTACACACCTGTAATCCCAGCTACTCAGGAGGCTGAGGCAGGAGAATGGCGTGAACCCATGAGGCGGAGCTTGCAGTGAGCGGAGATTGCGCCACTGCGCTGCAGCCTGGGCGACAAAGCAAGACTCTGCCTCAAAAAATAAAAAAAAAACTATCAACTAATCAAAGATTAGAAGACAAGACACACAGTAGAAAAGGAGGTGGCACAGATGTCAGTGCCTTTGAATAATGCAATAGAGCAGCCCAACATCAATAGCTTCTAGCACAGAGATAATCCCAGCTGTGGGAACTTAATCTAATAAAGATGTGTGAAGTGGCTTTGGGTCAGGAGGTGGACTCCATTCTGATCTGGAGGTCTTATTTACTTATTTCAAGGAAGTGTCCGAGAGTTGACTAGATCCTAGGGAATAGGCTCCCAGGATGGAAAGGTGCAAGTACCAGGGAGGGGACCAGAGGACCCAAAGAGATGTCCTTTGATGCATCCAGTGACCCTTCCAAGGGATGCAGTCCTTGCATCTTTGATTGTTAGAGTGTTAGCTTGCCCTGATCCAAGGAAATGATCACTTTTCAGTTCCTCACATCTTCTGTGATTCTAATGCTGCCCAGTAGATTGGTATGCACTGCAAATAGCTGGCATCTGGGCTTGTGTCGCCGGGCAGCCCCGAGATAGGAGTGTAGCACCCACAGGGGAGGAGGAGCTGCCTACTGGTGGTGACTGTGAGACAGGAAAGCAGCTCAACCCTTAAACAGCCCATACAGACGTTTGCACTGAACATTTCTCAAGTGAAAAGCCAGAAGTCTCCCACTCAATACACATTTGGCAAGGTATGAGACTCATAGGCCTTTGGGTGTGTGCGTGTGTGTATGTCACCACGTGCCAAATGTCTGCTGGTTCCTATTAGCCAGTAACACAGCCCTTTGCATTGCACCGATAGAGCCAAACATCTTCCCAGAATTATTTCCCGGTTGGGAAATGGAAAGTTATTGGGTTGACTCTTCCATCTGATGGTTTGTAATGAAGTCAAGTGCAGAGCTGAGTTCCTGGCCCAGTAAAACAGCAGAGCCACTTCTCTCCTCTGCAACCTGAAAGCAGAACTGGTACACGGGGGCCCCAACACAGTGCCGTCTGCCCAGGCCAGACCCTCCAGGCAGGCTGCCTGTTCCTGATCACCACCCCTAACAGCCACTCACTCGGGTTTCCTATCATACCATCAAGTCCCCTCTGTCTAATAATGAGCTGGAGAAAGCCACTGGGTGTTATGGTCTGGGCCATTCAGATGCCAAACCTTGAAAATAAATCCTCCCCCAGTAACTTGGAGCTAGTGATCAGGAAAAATAATGGCACCACAGAGATATTGTTGAGTTTGCATGAAAGGAATTAGAGGATTAGAATTGGTGAATGACGTTATGAGAAAAATAGCAAATTCACTGATCCAAGGTACATATGAATATTAAGATCAAATAACACAAAATCAGGATGGAGGGGTGAGACAGGGCAACGCTGAAGTCGTTTTAATCCACAGCACAGCTGGAACGAGCCCAAAATGAACCAGGGAGTCTTAGTTTTATTTTCCATTAATCTGCTCCCTAGCAGACCTGCTGAAAAGGATGTGCTGGTTTCAACTTTATTGAATGCCTCTATCTCAAAAGGAAAAATACATGGCACCATTAGTTCCTAAGAAAATAGATTCTGAATTTTTTTTAAAATCTTCATTTGGATTTAAAATGACAATATGGGCCGGGCGCCATGGCTCATGCCTGTAATCCCAGCACTTTGGGAGGCCGAGGTGGGCAATCGCCTGAGGTCAGGAGTTCGAGACCAGCCTGGCCAACGTGGTGAAACCCCATCTTTACTAAAAATACAAAAATTAGCCAGGTGTGGGTGACACATGCCTGTAATCCCAGCTACTTGGTGGCTGAGGCACGAGAATCACTTGAACCCGGGAGGTGGAGGTTGCAGTGAGCCGAGATGGTGCCATTGCACCCCGGCCTGGGCAAAAAGAGTGAAACTCCATCTCAAAAAAAAATAAAAATAAAAATAATAATGATAATCTGCCAAACCTAGAGGGATTCATCTACAACACGGTCTTAGGACCAGCTCCAAATCAAGTACCTGGGAATTTCACTGGGCAGCGCCAGAGAACTCTGACACTCAAAGTCTCTTCACTGTACTTGCCCAGGGGTTCACCATTCACAGCTCAGAACAGGCATTTGACAGTTCCTGAGTTTTCATTCACAGGTTGCACACTGAGAGTTTCCTCATGCACATCACACAAGCAATGCAAACCACTTGACAGAATTAACATACGAACACTGATTAAATAACAAGGCTGTGTATTTACGGAACACACATTTTCATCTTCTTTAGTCTAAAGAACTGGGACGGAAAATCCTCAATGTAAGTAAAACCCACGGGCTTTGAAATCAACATGATCAAGTTAGTTGTTTTAATAAGGCCTCACATATCTTCAAAGACATTAAATACAGGGTGAAGGAAACCAAAAGTGAAGCATTGGGAATTAATAGTAAGTCAAAGCAAAAGCAGAAAAAGGCCTCCAAGACAAGACTCAGCAATGACAATACAGCTAGAATTGGAACTTGATCCATTCAACTCATTCTTCAACTACTGCGCCACCAAGGAGGCAAGATCTAAAATGACTGGGCTCCTTCACCAGTCATCAGCCTAGCTGCAGGTACAGCACAGGGAAATGCTGAGGCCTGGGCTGTGATTTTTGCCCTGTGTCTGAGTAGATCCACTGGTATGAAGCCTGTCCAGCTAACTACTAGGAAGTACTCTTTATTCAAGCGAAAAGCTCTCATATCACTCATTGCATCTCTGCTTTGCCATCTTTGGTTGTTGTCATTATTGTTGTTTGAGACAGAGTCTCACTCTGTTGCCCAGGCTGGAGTGCAGTGGCACAATCTTGGCTCACTGCAACCTCTGCCTCCTGGGTTCAAATGATTCTCCTGCCTCACCCTCCCGAGCAGCTGGGATTACAGGCGTGCACCATCATACCCAGCTAATTTTTGTATTTTTAGTAGAAACGAGGTTTTGCCATTTTGGCCAGGCTGGTCTCAAACTCCTAGCCTCAAGTGATCTGCCCACCTTGGCCTCCCCAAGTGCTGGGATTACAGGCATGAGCCACTGCACCTGGACTGCTTTGCCATCTTAAGAGACCCTGGGCACCAAGGCATTGCAGTAATGGGTCCATGCATAAGAAAATGAAAAAGCACACACACACAAACACACAAAACTTCACTTTCTAGGTATACGAGACCGTGATAGTTGTGTTCATTTCATTTTTTTATTTATTCACTTCTTTTTCTTCCTACCTGTTCCTTTCACATATATTTATTTTCAAAAACAAAAACAAGTGCTAGCACTTTGCAAAAGACTAAATGTTTGTGTCCCCTAAAAATTCACAATCTATAGCCCTAATGTCTTTGTACTGAGAGGGAGAGTCTTTGGGAGGTAATTAGGTTTCGATGAGGTCATGACACTGGAGCCCTTATGATAGGATTAGTGCTCTTCTAACAAGAGGAAGAGACTAGAGCTCTCTCGGGCGCTCACTTGCTTGCTCACTCACTCTCTTTCTCTCTCTCTCTCTCTCCCCCTCTGTCTTGCTCACTCTGCCATGTAAGGACACAGCAAGAAGGTGGCTGTCTGCAAACCAAGAAGCCAGCCCTACCAGACATGAGATTTGCAGACACCTTGACTGGACTATCCCTACCTCCAAAACTGAGAAATTAGTGTGTCTTTAAGCCACCCATCTGGAGTAACTTGTTATAGCAGCCCAAACGGACAAAGACACACTCATATCTTGGAAACATTATTCAACAACTCTCTTCTCCTCCTCTGCCATCTCTGTCCTTCTCTAGTCACTCTAGCAAATGTCCTTATTGCACCAACTAAGTGGGAATTTAAGTGAGCAGTGTGCCAAGGATGCTGGATGAAGCTATCACAGTGCCTTCTGCCATAATAGCCCATCAAAATAATATATATAATGAATAACTGCAATACATACAATAAAGATACATATACCATAAGTGCATTTCACCCTCCAAAATGAGCTAACTAGAATAATTGGATATAAAGATGAACCCAATTTTGACTTATTATCTGTAAGTATCTCTCCTTTGCTGGGGCTCAGAAAATGATACCCAAAGGTTGGGCACTCTGGTATGCTGAACACTTCAAACTAAAATAGGAAGGCCTTAGAAGCTACCTCAGAACCAAAGACTCTAATCTTCTCTGTCCCCCCTTCACCTCCACCCTCAGTGCAGGGAAGGGCTTCTTATCTGACTAAGGAAACTTATTTCCAAAAGAAATACAATTGTCTTAAGATTCCCCTCTGTAGGAATATCATTGAATAACCAGGAAAGATTAACCACCAAGAGGCGATTAAAAGTCCATTACCAAGCCCAAATAGGTTTTGTAATCTATTTTTCTGAGAGCAACTCCGAGATTGCCTGGGAGACTTTATCTGCATAATAAAACAAACTTTGTTTACAGTGAACTTCTGTCCCTCACCTTTCCACCACCTCCCCCAGAGCTCAGAGGAACTCTGTCCCAGGCCACTGTTCTTTCAGTTCATTCATTCCTCCTAAATATCATTTACTACCCCTCTAAAAACTTACCTACAGCCCCCTCACCCTTCTCTGCCCTATGAAGAGAGTATTTAAGCTTCAACCATCTGGCCTTTCTTTGAGTCTCATATCTATTATAGCAGCCCAAACTGACAAAGACACACTCATATCTTGGAAACATTATCTATGGGACTCCCTTGTCTATATACATGTTAATAAATTTACCATGGCTTTTTCCCCCTATTAATCTGTCTGTTGTCCATCATTCAACAAACCCTCAGTGAGCAGAGAGAATGCTTTTCCGTCTCCCCTACACCTTCAAATAGCATAAAGTTCTGTGGTTATTAGCTCAAATTTAACAATCTAATCTCCCTTAATTTTGTGATAATCTTCCTTCTTTTATTTCCAAACAACACACTGCCTTATTTCCTTCTCTGTTTATTGAAAAACTCCCAAGAGTTGACTTGGACACCTAAACTCACAGGCAGGGTAAGGAGGGCACTAAGCTCAGTGCCTGGCTCATTATGTTAATCATTCTTCAATATGCGAGCTAAATGCTAGTTCATCTCTTCCCCCATCACCAAACCCCACTAAATGAACCATAAAGAAAAAAAAAAAAAAAGGCCAGGCGCGGTGGCTCACGTCTGTAATCCCAGCACTTTGGGAGGCCGAGGCAAGCAGATCACCTGAGTCCAGGAGTTCGAGACCAGCCTGGCCAACATGGTGAAACCCCGTCTCTACAAAAAATACAAAAACTAGCTGGCTGTGGTGGCATGTGCCTGTAGGCCCAGTTACTCAGGAGGCTGAGGCAGAAGAATCACTTGAACCCAGGAGGCGGAGCTTGGAATGAGCCAAGATCACGTCACTACACTCCAGCCTGTGCAACACAGTGAGACTCTGCCTCAAAAAAATAAATAAATAAATAAATAAACAAATCTACAAGGACAAATAATTAGAGAAAAGTCTGAATCAGATGAGGGACTTAAATTCCTTTTTGAAAGATGTGGAGCTGGTGGACCCAGTGGAGAAGCTGCTTTGGAGGAGAAGGGAGCCAAGAGAACCCAGGGGACACTTGGAAAGTGCAGGACCAGACACTGACAGGGACTATGAAGGAGGGGTAGAGGTGAAAATATCGGGATTTAATGGAAAATCTAATTACAGAGCAGTCAAGTACCAGGTCCCCACCCTCATACATGTAGCCTGTGATCAATACACTCCCAGCCAGGTGACAGATTTATTCTCCCCATAGTTTTGAGATAAAAATCTTCAGACTTGGTTTCATCCAGCATAATAAAGGGTAGAGAGAGATCCTGAACTATAAATAGGAGGATAGAGGGAAAATAGGATTAAAGTCCCAGGACCTATCCCCATCAGCTCCCAGAGTATTAACAGTCAGGCTTATGTTACTCAAACACTTCCCTTCAGAAACTGAGCAGCCCACAGAAATGACCCGCATTAACTGTACTAATATTTAATGGTCCCCCAAGGGAAAAAAGCGGGTTTAATCAGCCTCCCGCTAGAAGCCACATGTCTATAAGCTTCTCTCCCTCAGAACTCCCAAACAGTTTTTTTAGTGCCTTACTCTAAAATAAAAACAATCAAAAATCATTAGTCAATGTAAGGTAAACCTACAACACAAATTACAAAGAATAAACAAAAGTGGAACTATTAAAAAGCAGGATTTAAGTATTAAAATTTATTTAATCAAAGAAATGTTGCATTATTGCATCCAGAAAACAAAAACAATCAAAGAAACAAAATTAAGAGCAATATAACAAAATGTTTAAGTGTAACAGAAGAAACAGAAATAAAATGGAAACCTGGAAAGCAGAATAAAATGGCAAAGTATGGAAAATATTTATAATAATTAATGCAGAGAATTAATCCAGGAAAGTGGATATCCACGTAGTAGTCATTTTAAGAATAAAATCACACAGGTGGACATGATTCAGAAAATAGTATGGGCCAGGTGCAGTGGCTCACATCTGTAATCCCAGCACTTTGGGAGGCCGAGGCAGGCAGATCACTTGAGGCCAGGAGTTCAAGACCAGCCTGGCCAAAATACAAAAATTAGCCAGATATGGTGGCGCACACCTGTAATCCCAGCGCTCTGGGAGGCCAAGGCGGGAGGATCACTTGAGGCCAGGAGTTCAAGACCAGCCTGGCCAACATGGATAAACCCCATCTCTACTAAAAATACAAAATTTGCCAGGTGTGGGGGTGCATGATTGTGATCCCAGCACTTTGAGAGGCCAAAGCAGGAGGATCACTTGAGGTCAGGAGTTCAAGACCAACCTGGCCAACGTGGTGAAACCCAGTCTCTACTAAAAATACAAAAATTAGCTGGGTGTGGTGCCGCATGCCTGTAATCCCAGCTACTCTGGAGGCTGAGGCAGGAGAATCGCTTGAACCCAGGAGGCAGAGGTTGCAGTGAGCTGAGATCGCACCACTGCACTCCAGCCTGGGCGACGACAAAAAAAAAAAAAAAAAAAAGAAAGAAAGAAAAGAAAAAAATAGTTCTGACAGAAGAGGATGTTTGGCCTCAAATTCTAATCTTCCTTTATTACTCTACTTGGGAAACAGTTAGAACAGGGGTCCCCAACCCCAAGGCCATAGGCCGGTATCCATCCGTAGCCTGTTAGGAACCCAGACAGACAATAGGAGGTGAGTGGCGGGAGTGAGAGAAACATCATCTGTATTTACAGCCACTCCCCAGCGCTGGCATTACCGTCTGAGCTCCGCCTCCTGTCAGATCAGCAGCAGCATTAGATTCTCACAGAAGCATGAACCCTACTGTGAACTGCGCATGCAAGGGATCCAGGTTGCACGCTCCTTATGAGAACCTGACGCCTGATGAACTGTCACTGTCTCCCATCACCCCCAGATGGGACCGTCTAGTTGCAGGAAAACAAACTCAGGGTTCCACTGATTCTACATTATGGTGAGTTGTATCATTATTTCATTATATATTACAATGTAATAATAACAGATATAAAGTGCACAATACATTTAATGCCCTTGAATCATCCCGAAACCATCTTCCCCTCCCCGCCCCACAGTCTGTGGAAAAATTGTTGTTGGTGAAACCAGTCCCTAGTGCCAAAAAGGTTGGGCACTGCTGAATTAGAAGATGAGCTACAGCCACTCAGCGGAGCAAATCAAGAGAAAGGAAAATGTGGGAACTGGGAAACAGGGACTCCATCGTAAAGCAGCAAAAAATAAAATAAAATAAATCCTTAGGATATCTGAAGCTCCACGATGGGAATATTCAGCAGGGTTAGGGAACAACAAGTCCAGCTTAAAGGAGGAGGGGTGGGGGCTTCAAGAAGGCTGAATAAGAAGCATCTGGTACTCGCCTCCTCCACCAAGAGCCAAAATAGCAAGTAGATAATCACACTTCAAATAGATCATCTAGGAAAGAACAGAGAAGTGACAGGAAACGTCTAAGGCAAGAAAGGAGAAGGAAGGCAGGCAGCCTGCTCAGCCAGGATCAGCCGGAAGCCCAGAGAGGCTCCCCAGTGCAAGGAAGGAGTTGCGGAGAGAACCCCAGGGGTCCACATTCCCACTCTGAACTCCCGCAATCCTAGCCATGCGACAGCACCTCACCCTCACGTGCCCTGATACTAACACTGGGAGCTGTCTGGAGACTGTATGACCACACTGTTTCAGAGAGGGAGCTCACACCGGGGTCCAACCCACGCCCAAACCTAAGCGGCTACAGCAACGCACCATTTTGAGCCCCCAGCCCCCAGCAGACTGCATCCTACACTGGAATCCAACAGCCCCTGCAGTTCCATATTTGTGGCACCCCAGTGATATCCCCCTTGCTGGCTGCTGCCCTGGGGCCAAAGCATGAGCCACAGACAATGATCCCACTGGCCCCACAACCACCACCGCTGAACCATAGCACAGCCTCCACGCACTTTCACCCAACTGGAGGACAAAATGCAAATCAAAACCACAATGTGTATCATCTTATGCCAGTTACAACAGCTAAGATTAAAGAGACAAAAAATAACAGATGCTGGTGATGATGTGGGAAAAAAGGGAACTCTTTTTTTTTTTTTTTTTTTGAGATGGGATTATAGGCACGCACCACCACGCCCAGCTAATTTTTGTATTTTTAGTAGAGACAGGGTTTCACCACGTTGGCTGGGCTGGTCTCGAACTCCTGGCCTCAGGTGATCTGCCCACCTCGGCCTCTCAAAGTGCTGAGATTACAGGCGTGAGTCACCAAGCCCAGCTGAAAAGGGAACTCTTATACACTGTTGGTGGAAATGTGAGTACAGCCACTATCAAAAACAATATGGAGATTTCTTCAAAAACTAAAAACAGAGCTACCATGTGATCCAGCAATCCCACTGCTGGGTATCTTTCCAGAAGAAGGGGACTCAGTATGTCAAAGCAACACCTGCACCCCCGTCTTTACTGCAGCACTATTCATAATAGCCAAGATACGGAATCAATCTAAGTGTCCAATGGATGACCAGATAAAGCAAATATGACACATATACACAATATAATACTATTCGGCCATTAAAAAGGATGAAATCCTGTCATTTGCAGCAACATGGATGGAACTGGAGGTTATTAGGTTAAGTGAAATAAGCCAGGCACAGAAAGACAAATATTACACGTTCTCACTTATATGTGGGAACTAAAAGAATTGATCTCATGGAGGTAGAGAGTAGAATGGTAGCTACCAGAGGCTGGGAAGGTTGGGGGTGGGGTGGATAAAGAGAGGCTGTTTAATTGGTACAAACACAGAATGAGGTAGAAAGAATAAATTCTAGTGTTTGATAGCAGAGTAGGGTGACTACAGTTAGCAACAAATTATTGTATATTTTGAAATAGCTAGACTAGAAGACTTGAAATGTACCTAACACATAGAATAGTAGAGGTGATAGATACCTTAAATCAGCAGTCTCCAACCCTTTTGGCACCAGGGACTGGTTTCATGGAAGACAATTTTTCCACAGACTGGGGTGGTGGGGGATTGGTTTTAAGATAAAACTGTTCCACCTTAGATCATCAGGCATTAGATAGATACTCACAAGGAGCAAGTAATCTAAATCCTTTGCATGTGCATGACAATAGGGTTCATGCTCCTATGAGAATCTAATGCTGCTGCTGAGCTGACTGGAGGCAGAGCTCAGGTGGTAATGCTGGCTCACCCGCCACTCGCCTCCTGCTGTGCAGCCTGGTTCCTAACAGGCCACGGACAGGCCCTGACGTTGGGAACCCGTCCCTTAAATGCCATGACTCCCTGACTTGATCATTATACATTCTATGCATGTAACAAAATATTACAGGTTCCTCATAAATGGGTACAAATATTATGTATCGATAAAAAGAAAAGAAGGAGGATGGGGACTGCAGAACAATGTTTTCTGGGGGAAAAATAAAGTTGATACATTATGTAATATGTTAGGTCATTTATTTAAACTTCATTTATTTATTTAAACTTCATTTATTTATTTAAAGTTTATGGCCAGGCATGGTGGCTCAGCCTGTAATCCCAGCACTTTGGGAGGCCAAGGCAGACAGATCCCTTGAGACTAGGAGTTCAAAGCCAGCCTGGTCAACATGGTGAAACCCTGTCTCTACAAAAGATACAAAAATTAGCCAGGTGTGGTGGCACACTCCTGCAATCCCAGCCTCTCTCGAGGCTGAGGTGGGAGGATCACCTGAACCCATGGAGGTCAAGGCTGCAGTGAGCCATGATCACGCCACTGTACTCTAGCCTGGGAAACAAACTGAGACCCTGTCTCAAAAAATAAATAAATAAATAAAATGTATGTACTTATTTATTACATATATGTGTGTGTCTCATATATCTAATGGAACACTGTTAAAATAAAATTAATGATAAGTAATTAATAAAAACTAACAAAAATTTAAGAGAGAATTATTAGTTTTAGACAAATAAAATATACAAAAAAATGTAATTGCTGGTTCTATGTTGAGCAGTATTTTCAAAGTCTTAGTAATATGAACAATGCTGGTGAAATGACAAGGTTTAAAATTTGTTTAAAATAATTGAGAGGAGGAAGAGACAGTGTGGGAATAATTAAACACGAATGAGAAGACTGATGGTTGTTGAAGCTAGATGAAGACTAAATGGGCATTCTTTATATCATTCTGTCTGTTTTGTTTGCATAAGAAAATTGCCAAAATGAAAAGTTTCAATTATAACATCTCATTGTAAACAATGATTTCTGATGTAATAAAATTGGACTACATTAGATAGATTTGGGGGGAGCAGAAAAATGTATCTGGGGAAATTCATTAAAAACAAACCAAATAATCACTTGCCTCAAGAAATATAAGTATGACAATTACAGCTAGATAGAAGGAATAAGTTCTCATGTTCTAAACCACTCTAAGATGACTATAGTTAACAATAATATATTATACAGTTTCAAATAGCCAGAAGGATATTGAACATTCCCAATACAAAAAAAAAAGATAGATGTTTGAGATGATAGATTTGCTAACTACCCTGGTCACATTATATGTATCAAAACATCACTACGTATCCCATGAATATGTAAAATTATTTGTCAATTTAAAAAGAGAAAATTAAATTTAAAAAAAGAAAAAATATATATATGTTCATATTAAATAGAAATACAAATGTAAATTCAGAAGACACTATAGGAAAGACAGGTGGGAAGAAGAAGGGACAAGAACTTCCTTTTTGTGAAAGAAATGTTAATACTATTTAATTTTTAAAATTTTTATCAAATTATTACTTTGATAAATATTAACAAAATTCTTCATCCTCAAGATATTTTTTATGATGACATATAATTTGAATATATTTTCCCTTTATCTATGGAATGAAATGAAAAGACTTCAGAGCTGACATTTGAATTTTAAAAAGCATTAATTGGAAATGGGAATTCAGTCTTGTTCCATTGCAAGGTTTTGCTATATGCACTGCCCTCTAGTGTCACTTTGTGGGACAAGCATCTTGAATTTCATAAACTAGAAATTTAACTAAATCTTCAAATGCCATATTCTCTCTTCTTGGATCTTCCATCTCCTCCATGTGGTCATATCCTATTAGGATATGACCTACGACCCAGAATTCAGGGCAAGGCTACTAGTTTTATAGGATGGTTCGTTATGGATTCAAAAGGTTTTAATGGGAGGGCCTTGGAACCTGATCTTGATTAATGGGGAAATGTGTCTGAGTTCTAAACAAATGTTTATTCGCTTGAGGGAAAGAACCCATCTGTTTGTCTTTGACTCCTTGAGAGTACTGTACATGCCTCGAATCAAATGCAGTGCTGGACAGAAGTCTGATATGCGGTGGATGCTCAAAGGAACATTAAGTGAGTCTGGCAATGACTGTTCAGAACTCGTTTTGTTATTTGGAGGCAGTCTGAAGTATTCTTTTAAGCATGAAATGCCATAAAGGAGAGTGATCATTGTCATCATTAATAACTGCCCAAGCCAAATCTCTAATGAATATGGACAAATCAACACAGATTATAGAATCTAAATCATTTCTGGAGGGGAAAATGGAGAGATTAATGGGTGAAAGGCCCACCTTGATGCCTTCCATCACCTCCTAAAAGGAAAAAAGAACAAACTTTTTAGGCCAACTTCCCTAGATCAAATGGTTTTTGTCTAAAAAAAAAACAACCACACAGAAAACAAAAACAAAAACAAAAACAAAAACAAAAAAAAACCCTGCTTTTCCCTCACAGTCTTTTCTTTGCAATGAGAAGAATGTATTTTCTTCCTCAGCATTATTTACTTTTTGATAAAATCACATATTTCTCCCTGCCAAAATTCTGACACATGTTCAGTTCCAAGATGTTCTTCCTTTGCTACTAGATAACAGAGGAAGTGCGCCTTGTTTCCCCTTGACTTCAACAGTTTTCGGTTTCCAGGCCTGGCGCGGTGGTTCCCGCCTGTAATCCCAGCACTTTGGGAGGCCAAGATGGGTGGATCACCTGAGATCAGGAGTTCAAGACCAGCCTAGCCAACATGGTAAAACTCCGTCTCTACTAAAAATACAAAATTAGCCGGGTGTGGTGGTGGGGGGTGCCTATAATCCCAGTTACTTGGGAGGCTGAGGCAAGAGAATTGCTTGAACCCAGGAGGCAGAGGTTGCAGTGAGCTGAGATCGTGCCATTGCACTCCAGCCTGGGCAACAAGAGCGAAACTCTGTCTCAAAAAAAAAAAAAAAAAAAAAAAAAAACCACAGTTTTCAGTTTCCACAAAGTTGTTGCCCCTCCACCCCAAAGCCCCAGGCTCTGAGACCTTGATCTTATACTCAATTTGCTAATCAGGAAGATTAACTTTTGCTAAAGACTGGCTTGGCATGGAGTGTTCAAGTCATGCTACAGTCAATACCTACAATAGGGTGGATTTGTTTTCTATTGAGAAATCCTCTCTTAGAGGATTTCACAAGAATGTTTCTTCTCTGATAGTTATATTCCAGGTCAGAAATCCATTTTTTTTAGACAAGGTGTTGCTCTGTTGCCCAAGATGGAGTGGCACGATCTCGGCTCACTTCAACCTCCGCCTCCCAGGCAGCCTCAAGCAATGCTCCCACCTCAGCCCCCCGAGTAGCTGGAACTACAGGCATGCACCACCATGCCTGGATAATTCTTTGTATTTTTTGTAAAGACGGGGTCTTGCCAAGTTGCCCAGGCTGGTCTTGAACTCCTGGACTCAAGTAGTCCACCTACCTTGGCCTCCCAAAGTGCCGGGATTACAAGTGTGACCCACGATTCAGAAATTCTTTAACTCACTTTATGGCGCTTCTCATTTTAGCTTATGATCCAGGAGCAGAGATCCTATTCCCTACACTGGTATTCACTTGATTAACACTTTGACCAAAAACCCTCCCCATAAGTTTGTATCCTTGATATTAAATCAAGATGACAATTCTTACAATTTTTTTTTTTTTGATAAAGGGTCTCACTCTGTCACCCAAGCCATGGTACAGTGGCACAGTCATAGCTCACTGCAGCCTTGACCTCCTGGGCTCAAGTGATCCTCCTTCCTCAGCCTCCTGAGTAGATAGGACTACAGGTTCATGCCACTATGCCCAGCTAATATTTCAAATTTATTGTAGAAATAGGGTCTCACTATGTTGCCCAGGCTAGTCTTGAACTCCTGGGCTTAAGTGATCCTCCTTCCTCCATCTCCCAAAGTGCTGGGATTACAGGTGTGAGCCACCATTTCCAGACCAATTCTTGCAGTTTTTGACCCTCACAGGCATGCCATATAGAACTTGGACATTTCAAATTCTGAGTTATTGTTGACAATCAGAGATTATATGCTGTTAGCC
Organism: Homo sapiens; assembly: GCF_000001405.40. NCBI lineage: Eukaryota > Metazoa > Chordata > Mammalia > Primates > Hominidae > Homo > Homo sapiens. Next base: position 33,423,671 of record NC_000008.11, read on the forward strand.
TAAAATGCAACATTTTATATTTACATTAATAAATTTCTCACAGGCCAACAAATCTAAAAATAGGGATAACAGTTTCTAGTATAGATTTTGAATCTACCAATATGGTCCATAACTGAGAAGGGTCTATTTCTCTTTAGGCACACCAAGTAAAAAAAAAAAAAAAAAAAAAAAAAAAGAGCCATTACTGGGCGGGGGCGGTGGCTCACGCCTGTAATCCTAGCACTATTGGAGGCCAAAGCGGGTGGATCATTTCAGGTTAGGAGTTTGAGACCAGCCTGGCCAACATGGTGAAACCCTATCTCTACTAAAAATACAAAAATTAGCTGGGCATGGTGGTACATGCCTGTAATCCCAGCTACTCAGGAGACTGAGGCAGGAGACTTGCTTGAACCCAGGAGGCGGAGGTTGCAGTGAGCCAAGATCGCACCACTGCACTACAGCCTGGGTGACAGAGAAAGACTCCATTTCAAAAAAAAAAAAATATGAGAAAGAACATGGGTTTTTAAGCCATGGGAATTAGGGTTAAAAACTGAGTTTAGCCACAATATGATTTGGGCAAATTACTGTAACTCTCTCAGCCATGACCCTCATGTTTCAAATAAGGAAAATACTGGCCATATTGGACTCCTTTGTGCCTGTAACACAGAAGCTACTTAGGAAATGTTAGTTTCCATCCCTCCCTACTTCTTCCCTGTGTCCCGCAGCCCAATCTCATGGTCCTATGTCCTGTGCAATGGATAGGAGCACTACACACCTGCCATGCAGAAGCTTCCAAAATGAAGCTGCTACCAGCAAGAAGTAATTGTTCTCTCCTCTTCCTATACCACATCTGTCTGCATCGTTAGGGCCTTCAGGTATACTGGGACAGGATGCTTTCCAACCCTCGAAAGGCCTAGAGAGAAGCAGGATGCCCGGCCACGGACTGTGTACCACTCACAGCTGAGATCCCTTTCCAGCTAACTCCCTTTCACTCCATTTTTCTTCTGGATAATCCCTGTACTTTTGCTTCTTGGATTCCCCTTCGACATTCCACCCTCTCCTCCACTCCTGATTAAACAGCCTGACAAACTGGATTTGCTAACCCAAAAGATAAACTAGAGGCCTCTACTCTGGTAGCTCTCTGCTGCCCCCTCTTGTCGCCAAATGGAACAGGCCACTGCTCTTGCCGCAAAAATCTCATTTCAGGTTTCAGGAACGCACAGCACTTACTGAGGTCAGTGCCAGGCACTGTGCTAGGTATTACAGATTCAACAGTGAGCAAAGTGAGCAAAATCAGAAAATGCCTTGTTCTCATGGAACTTACAGTACAGTGAAAAAGGCAGGCATTAAATAATCTTATTAGTAAGTATAATACCAGAACTCAAAAGTGTGATGAAATGCTCAGAGGCCGGGTGCTGGCTCACACCTGTAATCCCAGGACTTTGGGAGGTCCAGAAGGAAGGATGGCTGGAGGTCAAAAGTTCAAGACCAGCCTGGGCAACACAGTGAGACACAATGCCTACAAAAAAATTTTTTAATTAGGTCATGGTGGTACACGCCTCTAGTCCTAACTAATTGGGAAGCTGAGGCAGGAGGATTGCCTGAGCCCAGGAGTTCAAAACTGCAGTGAGCTACAATCATACCACTGCACTCCAGCCTGGGCAAGAGAACAAAACCCTTTCTCTTAAAAAAATAAAAATTAAAAAATTTTTTAAATAAATGCTATGAGAGCCTATAATACAGAATCTGACCTTGTCAGGTCAAAGAAGTCTTCTTGGAAGTGGTGGTTAAGGCTGAAATTGAAGGATGAGTGGAATAAACAGAAAAAAGGAGGAGAAGGAAAAAGTCCAGAGGGGGAAGCAGCTTGAATATAAGGTCTAGGGTCTAGGTTAGGAGAAGCATGTTGGGATGTTAGAAGGGACCTGAAGAAAATCAGTGTAGCCAGAGGAAGGGGGAGGGTGGAGGAAGGAGCCGCAAAAGGGGCTCAATGGGCCAGGCATGGTGCCTCATGCTTGTAATCCTAGCACTTTTGGAGGCTGAGGCAGGCAGATCACTTGAGGTCAGGAGTTCAACACCAGCCTGGCCAACATGGTGAAACCCCTATCTCTACCAAAAAAAATACAAAAATTAGCCAGCCCTGGTGGTGCATGCCTGTGGTCTCAGCTACTCAGGAGGCTGAGGCACAAGAATCACTTGAATGCAGGAGGCGTTCAAAGGTTGCAGGGAGCCGAAACAAGAGCAAAACTCCATCTCAAAAAAAAAAAAAAAAAGATTAGTGAATTCACTCTTGTTGCTCCAGGCTGGAGTGCAGTGGCATGATCTCGGCTCACTGCAGCCACCGCCTCCCGAGTTCAAGCAATTCTCCTGCCTCAGCCTCCTGAGTAACTGGGATTACAGGTGCCTGCCACCATGCCCAGCTAATTTTTTGTATTTTCAGTAGAGATGGGGTTTCGCCATGTTGGCCAGGCTTGTTTTGAACTCCTGGCCTCATGTGATCCACCCACCTCAGCCTCCCAAAGTGGTGGGATTACAGGTGTGAGCCACCATGCCCAGCCTGAAGATCACTTCTTAAAGAGATTATAGATATAAACTGGACTCTGCCCATATATGAAGTATTACCTATCTCTGTGGTCAGTATTGAATGAGTAGGAAAATGTAAAGTAGTGAAAAATGAGGACTGTCCCAGCTTCATTTTGGGCTAAATATTTTTAGAAAAGTGTTGACCATAAGCTATGAGGCTCACGGTGATCTTGTCTAAATAGCTGGAGAGACTTTAGGAATGAAAGCACAGTGAAGACACAAAGAAGCTGTAGGAAAAAGTAATTGTTCATTGACAAGCTTACAAAATTTGCTCACCTAGTGCTCAGTGTTGCAGAGGAAGTGAAGTATATCTTCTCTGTAACTAATCCAGTTTTTCTCATGAGTCCCCATCCACTGGGCATACAAAGGTAAAACAACAGATTCAATCCGATCTAAGGCAAAACCTTAAAACTGTGCTCTCAGGTAATTTTCACTCTAAGTAAAAATGGCTGCCTTTCAGATTTCCCAGGTCCTACCTCCCTCCCCAGCTCTCCTCTATGACTACATTTGCCAGGGGAAAGGAGGGCCTGGAAGCCGTGTAATTTCTGTCCTCTGATTTCTCTGACCTCAGAATGCTGAAATCGGCACCTGGCATCCTTGTGATCTGGCCCTGAAGGACCCTCCCAGGGCCTGGGGAATGTTCAGTGAGGACTCAGCCCCACTCAGGGCTCACAAGGGTACCCTCTCTGGAATAGCCACAAAATTTATGTGTGCCAGTTGTACCATAAATTATACGGTTATTCCAGAGAGTACCAGTGACAGAGGGTACCAACTGCAGAGAAGCCTAGGACAGCAGGTGAAAGCCAGGCTGCCCTAGGCAAACAAGCATACAGCCCCCTGCAGAGGAATCGCTGCCACACACTCTGCCCAGGCTTTGGCCCAGGTGCTCACTTTACAACTTCACTTTAAGCAGAACATCTAATACGGAAGCAAAGGGGCTTGGTGAGCAGCCAGGCATAGTGGCATGCATCTACCATCCCAGCTACTTGAAAGGCAGAGATGGGAGGATCAAGAACAGCCTGGACAACATAGGAGACCTTGTCTCTTAAAAACAAAAACAAAAAAGGGCCAGGCGTGGTGGCTCACACCTGTAATCCCAGCATTTTGGGAGGCCGAGGCGGGCAGATCATCTGAGGTCGGGAGTTCGAGACCAGCCTGGCCAACATGGAGAAGCCCCGTCTCTACTAAAAATGCAAAAAATTAGCTGGGCATGGTGGTGCATGCCTGTAATCCCAGCTACTCAGGAGGCTGAGGCAGGAGAATCACTTGAATCCAGGAGGCAGAGGTTGCGGTGAGCCAAGATCACGCCATTGCACTCCAGCCTGGGCAACAAGAGCGAAACTCCGTCTCAAAAAAAAGCAAAAAATAAAAAACAAATTATCTTGCTATAACCAGTAATTACAAAGAAAAAAAATTGTAAAACACCAAAAGCTTGGAAAGCAGACGACAAGCCCACTGCCTGGCCAGCCAATCTACCTAAATAACTAATTTATCTCAAAACCTGTTGTCTTTTTGGTGTCCTCAACTTACCACAATATTTCTAAAGTCCCATCTTCAAAAGCTATCCCCAAAGCAAGCTTTGGGGTTGGCAAGAGCGAATATAAAAACTGACCTCAGCCTGGCGCGGTGGCTTACACCTGTAATCCCAGCACTTTGGGAGGCTGAGGTAGGCGGATCACAAGGTCAGGAGATCAAGACCATCCTGGCCAACATGGTGAAACCCATCTCTACTAAAAAATACAAAAATTAGCTGGACATGGTGGCGCATGCCTGTAATCCCACTACTTGGGAGGCTGAGGCAGGAAAATCGCTTGAAACCAGGAGGCGGAGGTTGCAGTGAGCCAAGATCGCAACAGTGCACTCCAGCCTGGCGACAGAGCGAGACTCCGTCTCAAAAAGAAAAAAAAAATGACCTCTAACTTCCTCATCTCCTTCTCTCTCCTGGTTCTTTTCCCAATACCTAAGACTAAAAGACATAAGGCTGTCTCTTCTTCCTTCAACCATGGAGTGTCAAGGCTCCTGACCAAGCTGTCACCACTGGAAGCAGCACGTTCTCAACAGGAGAAATCTAAGCACTGAGTATTCTAATCTTCATTCTTATTATGTTAAAGGAGAAGCTAAAGAAATTTTTTAAATCCCTTCAAGGGAATGTCTGACTTTAGAAGGCTCTTATAATTTTATAGGAAAGACCTTATTATCAATGTCAAAATTGAGTATGAATGTCAAACTTCTCTCCTGCAATAGTCCTATTCTCCCCAAAACAGATGGATGCTTTAGACTAACTAACAAGGGAGATGGTAACCTATTCAAAAGAAGAAGAACTTTCCCCCAAAAAACCATCTTGATTAGTACAGCTTTTAAACATATTTGCTATGGTTTGAACGTGTCTCCCAAAAAGCATGTGTTGGAAACTTAATCCCCAACACAACAGTGTTGGGGGGTGTGGCCTAATGGGAGGTGGTTAGATCATTAGGGCTCCACCCTCTGAATGGATTAATGCCAATGATAAAAGGGTTTGAGACTATGAGTCCAACCTCTTGCTCTCTCACTCTTTTTGGCTCTTCCACCACGGGATGACATAGCAAGAAGGACCTCGCCAAGTGATGATCCCTCCATCTTAGATTTCCCAGCCCCCAGAACCATGAGCCAATAAATTTCTGTTGCATATTAATTACCCAGTCTCCAGTATTCTGTTACAGTAGCACAAAACAGGCTAAGACAATATCATAATCCTATTGCCACTGCTCTTTAACTTTGTACAGCAGCTCACCTGAACAAATGCATGATGCTAAGTCACAGGATACAACTTACTGGGCATCCACCCTGCCCCAGGCAATATGTTGTGTACTTTACATGAATTATACTCAAACCTTACAAAAACCCTAAAGAAAATGGTTTTCTATTTTCCTTTTACAAATAAGAAAAGAAGCTTAAAGATATTAAGTAATGATGCCAATGTCAGAGATCTAACATGTGGTGGAGATGAATTCGGCCCAATATTTACTGCAGTACTCTCGGACCCAAGGTCTTTCCATTACTCCAGTTTCTCAAGCAATTCAGGGTACAGAGTTTAGTTATGACATGCCTCACATCACCCCTCTCCCTGCCAAAAAAAGTCACTATTATCTCTGCAAAGTATAGAAATGTATAAAATTAGATCTGCCGTTGTGCATAAAGACAGAAGTTGTTTCTGTCAAACTGAGTATGTAATCATTGTTTGACTAATGTAAAATCAACTTTGGCTTCTTTCTTCCAAGGAATAATACAGTATAAAATAGATCATGTGGGGTATTACAAAGAAGATATGTACTTTCTATAATTCATGGCAGAAATGCATGAAGCAATTGAGGGGGAGGGCAGATGGAGGAAGGGGAGGAAGAGACAGACACAAAAAGCCGAGGAAGAAAAGGTACAGGAGGTACGAGTGCATGCAACCAACAATGAGGAGAAACACTTGATCTTAACTAAAATGAAAAAAAAAATGGGCCAGGCATGGTGACTCACACCTGTAATCCCAGCACTTTGGGAAGCCGAGATGGGCGGATCACTTGAGGCCAGGAGTTTGAGGCCAGCCTGGCCAACATGGTGAAACCCTATCCCTACTAAAAATACAAAAATTAGCTGGGCATGGTGGTGGGCACCTGTAGTCCCAGCTACTCGGGAGAGTGAAGCAAAAGAATCACTTGAACCCAGGAGGCAGAGGGTGCAGTGAGCCAAGATTGCACCATTGCACCCTAGCCTGGATGACAGAGTGAGACTCCATCTCAAAAAAAAAAAAAAAAAGAAAGACTCCAGTTTATATGTAAGCCTGGCAAACTTTCCCATGTGCCAAAACTCACCACCCTCTACTCCACCAACGCCATTACCAACCCCCATTTTACACCGAGGCTATGACTGAGAAAACCTACGACTTGTATGAGCATTATGATGTCCTGGTGCCAAATGTCATTATTACCCTTGAAAGACAGAGCACTGGCCAGGGAGATCAATGTTACAAGATGAGCAAAAGCCAAAGTAACTTGGTTGCCCCAAAAATCAAAAATGGTCCTTTCATCTTTATGCCTTCAACTCCTCTCAATCTTTTGGTGACTTAACCAGGGAGTGCTAGGAAAACCAAATTTAGAGGCTTAAAGGAAACCTGGGAATTTAGAGTGTGATCGTTTGCCTTTGCTTCAAACTATGGGACAATTTGACTAGGAAGGCTGCAAACTGCTGAACATCATGTATGAAAATAAAAACTAGGGTTTAGTCACCTTGAGAAAAAAGGGAATATGGACCACCCAAGCCAATCACGTGTCAAAGACTTGAGAAAAACCAGGAGTTTTACACTTATTGCTCACAGAGAAAATTTAAAGACATTGCTTTATTTATTTATTTTTGTATTTTGAGACAAAGCTGTGCTCTTATTGCCCAGACTGGAGTGCAATGGTGGGATCTTGGCTCACCACAACCTCCACTTCCTGGGTTCAAGCAATTCTCCTGCTTTAGCCTGCCTTAGCCTCCCGAGTCGCTGGGATTACAGGCATGCGCCACCATGCTCAGCTAATTCTGTATTTTTAGTAGAGATGGGGTTTCTCCATGTTGGTCAGGCTGGTCTCGAACTCCCAACCTCAGGTGATCCACCCGCCTCGGCCTCCCAAAGTGCTGCGATTACAGGCGTGAGCCACCGCACCTGGCCAAAGACATCGTTTTAAAGAAAACTAGGAACACCTGTATACTGTGGCAGACACTAACTCAGATGACCCCAGAGCCCCCTCAGCCTCAAGAGTTTTACGGTTTTATGGCAACATGCACACTTACCCTTGGAAAGTGTGCATTGTGGGTCTGTGTGGGCCTGGGTAGAGACGGTAGAGAAGGATTTCAAAGTCATCCCTCCTGGATCCATGCTTTTGCTCAGCATCAGCTAAGTATCTTATTCTAAGCAGAGACCACTCATTTTGACACTTTTAGATATCATCAGATGCCATATTAGTCAAATAATTAAGTGCTCCTCAAAGGCTAATCATGCCCATGTGGCTAAAAGTATACCCTAGTTGGCCAGGCACGGTGGCTCACACCTGTAATCCCAGCACTTTGGGGAGCCAAGGCAGGCGGATCACTTGAGGCCAGGAGTTCAAGACCAGCCTGGCCAATATGGTGAGACCCAGTGTCTACCAAAAAATACAAAAATTAGCCAGGCACAGTGGCATGTACCTGTAGTCCCAGCTACTTGGGAGGTTGAGGCACAAGAATTGCTTGAACCTGGGAGGCAGAGGTTGCAGTGAGCTGAGACTGAGCCCCTGGACTCCAGCCTGGGCAACAGAGCAAGACCCTGTCTCAAAAAAAAAAAAAAAAAAAAAAAAAAAAAAAAAAAAAAAGAATATCCTAATTGCATAATTCCTTTGAAGGAATCATCAAAATTCACATTCTTGATTACAAACAGTTTTCCAATTTCAACACAAAACATTCTTGGAAACTTTGTTACAGGGCTGATGTATTAAAGATGATTATATATTCCCAAAGGCATCATGTTGTAATTGGATTTTTTTTTACCAATCAAGGCTAACACCAAATAAATAATAGGCATATATGAGCAATAACAAGAGATAAAACCAAAGATACATCTACAAATTCCCATGATGAAGCTTAGAGATTTTATATTTAGTCATAAATATTAGCAGTGGAAACCACTTAAGAGATCTTCTAGGAGCTGTCCCCAACACATTCCCTCTGAGGGACCACACCATTATCTCCTGGGAAGCTTCATAAAGAGCACAAATTTGGGGACCTGGCACAGTGGCTTATGCCTATAATCCTAGCACTTTGGAGGCTGAAGTGGGCAGATTTCTTGAGCCTAGGAGTATGAGACCAGCCTGAGCAACATAGTGAGACCCTGTCTCTATTTAAAAAGTAAAATACAGCCAGGCACGGTGGCTCACGCCTGTAATCCCAGCACTTTGGGAGGCCGAGGTGGGCAGATCACATGAGGTCTGGAGTTCAAGACCAGCCTGGTCAACATGGTGAAACCCCGTCTCTACTAAAAACACAAAAATTAGCCAGGCATGATGGGCACCTGTAATCCCAGCTACTCGGGAGGCTGAGGCAGGAGAACTGCTTGAACCTGGGAGGTGGAGGTTCCAGTGAGCCAAGATCGCACCACTGCACTCCAACCTGGGCAATAAAAGCGAGACTCTGTCTCAAAAAAAAAAAAAAAGTAAAATAAAAAGTAAAAATAAAAAACAACACAAGTTCCCAGGCCTCATTCCTATTGGTATGGGTAAGAAACAAAATGCTGTCTCTTTTAATTTTTCCAGGTGATTCACATGTACATTTAGATTTGGGAATGCTAGATTGGTTATGTGAATTGTTCACAGTTACATGACTAGTATTAGAGCTGGATCTCAAACCTAGATATTCTGACTTCCAAATCAATGCTCTTTCCACATCAGAGTACCTGCTATACAGAAAGCCCAAATATGCTGCTTATATAAAGGCCTGAATATACTAAACATTATAGTGCTAGAATACATTAAAATGTGCAACCAAATAGAAATATTTAGCTATCAAAAAGATATATTAAAATATGTTAACTAATTCCACATGCATTTTTTATTATAAAGGAATTTTCAGGATGATAAAATAACCAAGGTCTAAGTAAGCTCTTCAAAGGAAATTTGCACTGCTCCTTTAAATTTTGATAAATTTTCTTGTAGCATATAGAAGTACTTAAAATCATTCATTGAGGCCAGGCACAGTGACTCACACCTGTAATACCAGCACTTTGGGAGGCCGAGGCAAGTAGAACACCTGAGGTCAGGAGTTCAAGACCAGCCTGACCACCATGGCAAAACTCCATCTCTACCAAAAATACAAAAATTAGCCGGGCACGGTGGCACACATCTGTAATCCCAGCTACTCGGGAGGCTGAGGCAGGAGAACCACTTGAACCCAGGAGGCAGAGATTGCAGTGAGCCAAGATCACAACACTGCACTTCACCTTGGGCAACCGAGTGAGACAGTCTCAAAAAAAAAAATCATTCATTAATCATTCTTTTCAAAAATAGCCCTGCAGAGTCTGGGCAACATAGGAAGACCTTATCTCTACAAAAACTAAATGTGAGGCTGGGCGCAGTGGCTCATGCCTGTAATCCCAGCACTTTGGCAGGACAAGGCAGGTGGATCACCTGAGGTCAGGAGTTCAAGATCATCCTGGCTAACACGGTGAAACCCCGTCTCTACTAAAAATACAAAAAATTAGCCAGGCGCGGTGGCAGGCGCCTGTAGTCCCAGCTACTCAGGAGGCTGAGGCAGGAGAATGGCATGAACCAGAGAGGCAGAGTTTGCAGTGAGGGGAGATTGTGCCACTGCACTCCAGCCTGGGCGATAGAGTGAGACTTCGTCTCAAAAAAAAAAAAAAATTGAAAAACTAGCCAGGCTTGGTGGCAGGTACCTGTAATCCCAGCTACTTGGGAGGCTGAGGCAGGAGAATCACTTGAACTCAGGAGGCAAAGATTGCAGTGAGCCAAGATAGCACCACTGCACTCCAGCCTGGGTGACAGAGCAAGATTCAGTCTCGGGAAAAAAAAAAACAAAAAACTAAATTTAAAAAATTAACTAGGCATGGTGGTATGGACCTGTGGTTCCAGGTACTTGGGAGGCTGAAGTGGGAGGATCGCTTGGGCCTAGGAGGTGTAAGCTGCAGTGAGCTGAGATTGTGTCACTGCACTCTAGCCTGGGCAACAGAGCAAGACACTGTCATAAAAAAAAAAAAAAAGCCGGGTGCAGCGGCTCATGCCTGTAATCCCAGCACTTTGGGAGGCCGAGGCAGGCAGATCATGAGGTCAGAAGATCGATACCAGCCTGGCCAACATGGTGAAACCTGTCTCTACTAAAAATACAAAAATTAGCTGAGTGTGGTGGCGCATGCCTGTAATCCCAGCTACTCGGGAGGCTGAGGCAGGAGAATCGCTTGAACTTGGGAGGCAGAGGTTGCAATGAGCCAAGATCACACCACTGCACTCCAGCCTGGGCAGCAGAGCAACACTCCATCTCAAAAACAAAAAAGCAAAAGTTGCCCTGCAGCAGGTCCACATTAAGCATTTTACTTGCAGGACCCTCTTGAATCTGATTCTCTTATTCATCTTGTCTTTGCTCTTCCTAGCTTTTTCTTTCCATCCCCCACCAAGGCACCCCTCCCACTCCCATATTCCCAAAGTGTGGAACAGAAAGGAAGTCCCAGAGGGCATGATGGAAAGGCAAGCTAATGGGAAGGCCACTACTGATTGCTCTTTCATGACCCTGCTACCTAGGACCTAGTGTTTAACACAGCTCTGTGGGTTCTTTAAAAACAAACCAAATAAGCATAAAAGCTATTACCTTTTTTCCCCTTCCCATGATCACTCGTGCCCCACTGTAGAACTGGAGACAGCCCCTTAGCAGGGCACCAGACCTCGGCTTTGGGTTCAGTGCTGCTGATGACTCCAGGAGGACCACCTGGAATCAGCTATGGCCCCAGAGAGGAGGTTCCAACCCTCCCTAGAGCGAGGCTCACTGATGTGCACCTCCACCCCTGCTAAAGCCACTGCAGGGCAGCTCCTCGCTCCCCGAGGACTCCCACATCGCCTCACAGGGCCTTGTTGCCTCCTGGGGTCTTCCCTGCCACTGCCACCAGATAACAAGAGGCTGGCTGGGCACAGGTGCAGGTGCACTGGCTCACTGGCTAGTGGTGCAGATGCTGTCACTGGCTCTAGTTTTCCCAGTGGCTGTCCAAGGAACAAAATAACATGACCCAGAGTGCTGGGGCAAACTTTGATCAATCAACAACAGGAAGGAGACAGGGAGTAACTGAAAAATATTTTCTTATTCATTCCTCCCCATCCAAGACATGTTTCCTTTCCAGAGACTTCTCATGACTATGCTCCCTGGTGAAACTGCCATCTACATGCTTTTTTCTTTTAATATTTTACTCATAATTTATTCATATCTTGCTTAATTTTATTTAGTTTTTAATTTAATTTTTTTTTTTTTGAGATGGAGTCTTGCTCTGTCACCCAGGCTGGAGGGCAGTGGCGTGATCTCAGCTCACTGCAACTGCCACCTCCCAGGTTCAAGTGATTCTTCTGCCTCAGCCTCCCAAGTAGCTGGGACTACAGGCACACACCACCGCACCTGGCTAATTTTTGTATTTTTAGTAGAGATGGGGTTTCACCATATTGGCCAGGCTGGTCTCAAACTCCTGACTTTATGATCTGCCCACCTCGGCCTCCCAAAGGGCTGAGATTACAGGCGTGAGCCACCGCGCCCAGGCAACTTTTTTTTCTTTTTCTGAGACAGAGTCTTACTCTGTCACCCAGGCTAGAGTGCAGTGTCATGATCTTGGCTCACTGCAACCTCTGTCTCCTGGTTCATGCAATTCTCCTGCCTCGGCTACCTGAGTAGATGGGATTACAGGTGTGTGCCACCACTCCTGGACAATTTTTGTATTTTTAGTAGGGATGGGGTTTCACCATGTTGGCCAGGCTGGTCTCGTACTCCTGACCTCAGGTGATCTACCCACCTCGGCCTCCCAAAGTGCTGGAATTACAAACCTGAGCCACCATACTCGGCCTAATTTTGTTTTTATATATTTTTTTTCAACTTTTTTTTAAAGTTGAAAAACCATTTATCTCACCGGAGAGAAAAAAAAAGTGATCAACTCTATAGGTCTAGCCTTTGGACCAAAAAAAGACCCAGGGGCAGTGAGACTCTTGCCACAGTCATTCCCAAATCCAACAGCTGCAGGAGGCAGGGAGGAGACAGCACAGCCCCCACCACAGTTTCTGCACACAATGAGGCCTGCTGGGAGAACAGAACATGAATGGGAAGCTACAGAAGTACTGAAGGACAGAAGAACAGGAAAATGGGCAGGAGAGGAAAGGAAAGGAAGAGAAGGTCTCAACTTAGCAAGGTAAATTAAGGTCCACGGTTCCTAAGGGACTGAATGCACCAAGCCGAGAACGTCCCAGAGACTGGGTACCACGAAGGGTGTATTCTCATGCACAACAACAGCTCGGAATTTCAGCCCACACACATCCCACTGTGAAACTCTGTGTTATCAAGGCCCTTGATGGTCTCCACTGCATCCTCTGCCCGCTCCATGTGTAAGAAGGCATCATCTTTCATGATGTCACATTCAACGACCGTCTGGACCATACTCCTCAAACTTGGCTGGAAGCTCCTTATTGGTACAGGTGGGACTGATGTTGCCCACATGCAACTTGGTTGAGGTTTTGCTCTCATTCGTGCTGGCTTCCACACTGATGTTTACCCCATAAAGCTTGTGATGGTGCAGGTTGCGTATGGCATCTTCCTCTGCAGTTCTGTCTTCTATGTGCACAAAGCCATAATTCTTAATGATGCCACATTCCAGCACCTTCCCATACTGCTAGAAGAGTGAGCGAATCTCCCGCTGTGTAGCCTCCCAGGGCACGTTTCCGATGAACAGCTTCACCATCCTGACCACAGCTAGCACAGAAATCAGCAGGGCCTCCTCCTTGCAGCACGGACGCTTCTGACAAAACGCTAAAATAGCGGCCAATTTTTTTCAACTTTTATTTTAGAATCAGGATGTCCATGTGCATGATGCTGAAGTTTAGGGTATGAATGATCTCGTTATCCAGGTACTGAGCACAGTACCCAACAGCTTTTCAACCTTTTCCCCCCTCCCTCCTTCTCCCCTCTAGTAGTCCCCAGTGTCTAATGTTGCCATCTTTATGTCCCTGGGTACCCTATGTTGAGTTACCACTTATAAGAGAGAACGTGCAGTATCTGCTCCTGCATTAATTCTAATTCGCTTAGGATAATGGCCTCCAGCTGCAGCTGCATTCATGTTGCTGTGGAGGACATGATTTTGCTATTTTTTATGGCTGTGTAGTATTCCACGGTGTATATGAAGATTTTCTTTATCCAATCCTCCATTGATGGGCACTTGGATTGATTCCATGTCTTTGCTCTTGTGAACAGTGCTATGATGAACATGCGAGTGCATTACATCCTTTTTCTTCCTTTCCAACATCACTTCCCTTCCCCCTCACTCTTGCTTCCCTAGCACTGTACCCATAATGGAGCTCGAACTCCCCTAGCTAAGACAGAGAGAACTGAAGCATCGGTCACACAGCAGAGGCTCAGTTAAAATAACAAATTAAAAAAAAAAAAAAAGCAGACTGCCAGCTTTCAAGACACTTTTATTGGAGGGGAAAAAAAAACCATATAAATGCCTCTGGATGTTTTTCTTCTAGATTTACTGATTAAATGGCTTCATCAGTTAAAAAAGGAGTCTGAAGGCAGGGCATGGTGGCTCACACCTGTAATCCCAGCACTGTGGGAGGCTGAGGCAGAAGGATCACTTGAGGTCAGGAGTTTGAGACCAGCCTGGCCAACAGTGTGAAACTCTGTCTCTATTAAAAACACAAAAATTAGCTGGGCATTGTGGCGCATGCCTGTAGTCCCAGCTACTTGGGAGGCTGAGGCAGGAGAATCGCTTGAACAGGGGAGGCAGAGGTTGCAGTAAGCCAAGATCATCCGCTGCACTCCAGCCTAGGTGACAGAGTGAGACTCCATCTCAAAAAAGAGAAAAAAAAAAGGAGTCTAAGGAATTTGTATTTACATTTCTAGATATAAAGTTTTGGGCTGTGAATTATATGACTGCCTACCAGTTGCACACTTAAATTTTTTCACTGGTCCTCACATGCAACCAAAATATATAGTTATCAATGATCTGATGTCAAATTTAGACACCTGTACTCAGGAAGGTAAAATATGTAGATGTCAATTACCTTAAGGATTAAATATTTACATGCCTATGGAAGCAAAATATTTTGTGATCAATAATTTACTGACGTTTTTATACCCATTAGGAAGGAAATGAATAATTGCATTTAGGTTGTTTATGCATCACAGTTGTGTTAAATTGATAACATGAGGTTGAACAAAGCATCTGAAAAGTCAAGGGGTTAAATAAATAAGCACAGTTAATTATTCTTTAGTACATATATACACCTGTATATATGAAAACAGATACCACTAAGCCATCAGCAAGACATAGATTCTGGCCAGATGCAGTGGCCCATGCCTGTAATCCCAGTACTGTGGGAGGCCAAGGTAGGTGGATCGTTTGAGCCCAGGAGTTCAAGACCAACCTGGGCAACATAGGGAGACCCTGTCTCTACAAAAAAAATTAAAAATTAGCCAGGTGCGGTGGCGCATGCCTGTAGTCCCAGGCATGGACCACTCAGGAGGCTGAGGCAGGAGGATTGCTTGAGCACAGGAGGTTGAAACTGCAGTGAGCATTGTTTGCACCATTGCACTCCAGACTGGATAACAGAGCAAGACCTTGTTCCTCCCCCACACCGTACCAGTCTGTTTTCACACTGCTAATGAAGACAAACTCGAGACTGGGTAATTTATAAAGAAAAAGAGGTTTAATAGACCCACAGTTACACATGGCTGGGGAGGCCTCACAATCGTGGTGGAAGGCGAAAGGCATGTCTTATATGGTGGCAGGCAAGGGAATGACAGCCAAGTGAAAGGGGTGAATGAGAGCCGAGCGAAAGGGGAAGCAGACAAGAGAGAATGAGAGCCCTTATAAAATCATCAGATCTTGTGAGATTTATTCACTACCATGTGAACAGTCTGGGGGAAACCGCTCCTATGACTCAATTATCTCCCACTGGGTCTTTTCCACAACACGTGGGAATTATGGGAGCTACAATTCAAGAGAGATTTGGGTGGAGACACAGTCAAACCATATCACCCACAAAAAATACATAGTATCTATCTTCAAATCACATCTCAAAGCTACCACTTCCTTCTGCTCTGCATCTCAACCTAATCCAGGACACCATCATTTCCACTTATTGAATAGAAACTGTGTTTTGCAGCTGGGAGTGGTGGCTCACGCCTGTAATCCCAGCACTTTGAAGGCCAAGGTGGGTGGATCAGTTCAGGTCAGGAGTTCAAGACCAGCCTGGCCAACATGGTGAAGCCCCATCTCTACTAATACAAAAAATTAGCCGGGCATGGTGGCGTGTGCCTGTAATCCCAGCTACTCGAGAGGCTGAGGCAGGAGAATCGCTTGAATCTGGGAGGCGGAGGTTGCAGTGAGCCGAGATCATGCCAATGCACTCCAGCCTGAACAACAGAGTAAGACTTAGTCTCAAAAAAGAAAGAAAGAAACTGTGTGGTTTCCATGTTCCTGTTCTAATCTGTTCTCCGTGGGAAAGTCAGAGGTATCTTTTTAAAGCATAAATCAGAATCAAACAAAATAAAAATCAGATCATATCACCCCTGCTTAAAACCTCCCGATATTTTCCCAAGGCCCTTAGAATATATCCTAACTTCAGCCGGGCGCGGTTGCTTATGCCTGTAATCCCAGCACTTTGGGAGGCGGAGGTGGGTGGATCACAAGGTCAGGAATTCAACACCAGCCTGGCCAAGATGGTGAAACTCCGTCTCTACTAAAAATACAAAAAATTAGTCAGGTACAGTGGCAGGCACCTATAATCCCAACTACTTGGGAGGCTGAGGCAGGAGAACTGCTTGAACTCAGAGGGCGGAGGTTGCAGTGAGCCAAGATCGCGCCACTGCATTCCAGCCTGGGTGACAGAGTGAGACTCTGTCTCAAAAAAAGCAAAAAACGAAAAAGAATATATCCAAATTTCCCACCCTGTCTGATGAAACCCTGATGGCCTGGCTCCTGACTCCCATTCAAATCTCATCTCATGCTGCCTTCTTTCTCTTCCTTCCACCTTCAAACTGCTTCCTCTTCAAGTCTCTGCCTCAAATGTTAGGTCCTCAGAGAGGCCTCCCTGATCACTCTGTCTAAAGTCAAAATGCGACAGAACCTGATGGCTCATACCTGTAATCCCAGCACTTTGGGAGGCTGAGGCAGGAGGATCACTTGAGCTCAGGAGTTCAAAACCAGCCTGGGTAACATATTGAGACCATGTCTCTGTGAAAAATTAAAAATTAGCCAGGCATGGTGGCATGCGCCTATAGTCCTAGCTACTCAGGAGGCTGGGGTGGGAAGATTTCTTGAGCCTGGGAGTTCCAGCCTGCAGTGAGCTATGATCATGTCACAGCACTCCAGTCTGGGCAACTGAGCAAGACCCTCTCTCAAGAAACTAATTAATTAATTAATTAAAGTCAAAATGCTCATCCCTGTCTGGTGGCATGCTGTGTACATATCTCATGAGCTCCATGAAGGCAGAGCTTGTTTTCTTTGCCACTATAACCCCCCCGCACCTAACCCATAATAGGTTTTTAGATGCCAGTTGTATAAATGAATAAAGCACAGACTCTGACAGTAGCAAGGGATACCTCCTGAGACACCCTCAAATTATCCCAAATCATAACTATTACAGCATATGATTTCTTCAAAAAAATGGAGTCACGTGAACCACTTCACACAGATGCAAACCATCAAGTTAGTCCAATGTTCTACAATTTAATCTATTTACATTGCTATCTGCTGCCTAATAAACTGCTATTTTAAAACACTTGACTTTTGTCTTCATTTCCATGATCAGTACATGTAGTTGACTTCCTTCTGAGGGGTCATTTTTTTCACTAGTAAGCAAAATTTTTAATATTTCAAGGGAGTTCCAACATATGCAAAAAGTATATAACACAAAGCTGGTTGAGAAATAGACACTGGTTCTCAACAGTGGGCAAGTGACTCTCTGGCACTCACATTTCTTAAAGGCCAGGGGACTCGAATCTGTGCCCTAGAACAATCTAGATAAGGTATATCAAACTATGACTGTAAAATTTGTAAAATAAAATATATATAAATAAATGGTTCTGGCCGGGCACAGTGGCTCACGCCTGTAATCCCAGCACTTTGGGAGGCCGAGGTGGGTGGATCACCTGAGGTCAGGAATTCGAGACCAGCCTGGCCAACATGGTGAAACCCCATCTCTACTAAAAATACAAAAATTAGCCAGGCATGGTGGTGCACGCCTGTAATCTCAGCTACTCAGGAGGCTAAGGCAGGAGAATCGCTTGAACCCGGGAAGCAGAGGTTGCAGTGAGCCGAGATCATGCCACTGCACTCCAGCCTGGACAACAGAGCAAGACTCCATCTCAAAAAAAAAAAAATGCAAGTTTAAGTTGTTTTAATATTTTTTCCTGCCTTTTTTTTTTTTTTTTTTTTGAGACAAGGTCTGGCTCTATTGACCAGGCTGGAGTGCAATGGTACAATCTTGGCTCACTGTAACCTCTGCCTCCCAGGCTCAAGCAATCCTCCCACCTCAGCCTCTGGAATAACCAGGACTATAGGTGTGCACCACCATGCCCAGCTAATTTTTGTATTTTTTGTAGTGATGGGGTTTCCATATGCTGCCCAGGCTGGCCTCAAACTCGAGAGCTCAACCGATCTGCCCTCCTCGGCCTCCCAAAGTGCTGGGATTACAGGCACGAGCCACTGCACCCAGCCTTGTTTTAATTTTTGACAGCAAAGAAAAACACAATTAAAGCTACATGGTTTTATTCTGCATGCCTATGAGAGATATAGTTGTCTGCTCTGCAGAATGGAGCTGCACGCACATCTCAGAGGATTTCTGTGGGTCGGAGAATATGCCTAGACCTGGATGGGGGCCATCATTTCCAAAGGCCTCAATTGCTGTAGCTGCAGTAGTGAAATCTGTGCCCTGCCTCCCAATGCCAGCCAGAGGGGAAGTGCTTAGGTTTGGGCACCTGTCACTTCTATTTTTTTTCTTTTTTGAGACGGAGTCTTGCTCTGTCACCCAGGCTGGAGTGCAGTGGCACGATCTTGGCTCACTGCAACCTCCGCCTCCTGGATTCAAGCGATTCGCCTGCCTCAGCCTCCTGAGTAGCTGGGATTACAGGCGCATGCCACCATGCCCGGCTAATTTTTGTTTTTCTGTTTTTTGTTTTTTGTTTAGTAGAGATGGGTTTCACCATTTTGGCCAGGCTTATCTCGAACTCCTGACCTTGTGATCTGCCCGCCTCAGCCTCCCAGAGTGCTGGGATTGCAGGCATGAGCCACCACGCCAGGCCTCATGTGTCACTTCTTTTTCTTTCTCTTTTTTTTTTGGGGGGGGACAGAGTCTTGCTCTGTCGCCCAGGCTGGAGTGCAGTGGTGCGATCTTAGCTCACTGCAAGCTCCAGCTCCCGGGTTCACACCATTCTCCCGCCTCAGCCTCCCAAACAGCTGGGACTACAGGCGCCTGCCACCACACCCAGCTAATTATTTTTTTAGTTACAGATGGGGTTTCACCATGTTAGCCAGGATGGTCTCCATGTCCTGACCTTGTGATCCGCCCACCTCAGCCTCCCAAAGTGCTGGGATTACAGGCATGAGCCACTGTACCTGGCCTCATCTGTCACTTCTTAACCAAAAAAAGGCTACCAGATTTTCAGCCACTTTTTTTTTTTGAGATGTGGGTCTCTCTGTATTGCTCAGGCTGGTCTCGAACTCTTGGGCTCAAGCAATCTGCCCGCCTTGGCCTCCTAAAGTGCTGGGATTATAGGCATGAGCCACCATTCCTGGCAAGATATTAATATTTCCTATAGCTATAATACTCATTTCCTTCCATGAAAAGATGACATATTAATATTTGATTTTTAATCTTTCCAGCTAAAAATGTAAGTTCATAAGGTTTTGCTAGATTTAGTTTGGTATAAGGACACAGGCTTTGGTGAGCCCCATAATGTTTAGCAACATGGCAAGACTCCATTTCTAATAAAATGCAAAAATTAGCCAGGTGTGGTGGTGTGTGCCTATAGTCCCAGCTACTCAGGAGGCTGAGATGGGGGGATCAGTTGAGCCTGAGAGGCAGAAGGTGCAGTGAGCCAAGATCACACCACTGCACTGCGGCCTAGGTGACAGAGCCAGAACCTGCCTACGAAAAAGAAAAGAAAGAAAGAATTATGTCTTTACATAATTAAAATTTCCCAAAAGTTATCTTGTAAAACAAAGAAGCCTAGGAATTACATCATTTATTAATAATTTTATTACCACCTTTCTGCGTAACTATCTCCTGAGACGAAATGTCTTTGTTAGTTAAATTTTCACTTATATCAAATTAATACCTGCACAGAGCTTTAAAGTGAAATCATTTTTTCAGGCCTATAACATAAGACAGCAGTGTCCTGCTTCATCCCTACTCCCGATTTTCACAGGCCAGAGCTCACTGCTCCAACGCTTTCAGGTGTTTCATCTGTATTCATACTTCAAAAATATCTAAATAACATGCTTACTGTGCTATGTTTTGATTTCTCAGCTTTATTTTATTTATTTTTTTGAGACAAAGTCTGGCCTGTCACCCAGGCTGGAGTGTAGTGGCACGATCTTGGCTCACTGCAACCTCTGCCTCCCGGGTTCAAGTGATTCTTGCACCTCAGCCTCCTGAGTAGCTGGGACTACAGATGCCTGCCACCATGCCTGGCTAATTTTTTGTATTTTTAGTAGAGATGGGGTTTTGCCATCTTGGCCAGCTGGTCTCGAACTTCTGACCTCAAGTGATCCACCCTCCTCAGCCTCCCAAAATGTTGGGATTACAGGCATGAGCCACTACATCAGGCCTAGGTTTAGGCCAGTTTCATGCATGCAATCATTTATTCAACAATGTCTACTGGCCAGGCATGGGGACTCATGCCTGTAATCCCAACACTTTGGGAGGTTGAGGCAGGAGAAGCACTTCAGGCCAGGAGTTTGAGACTGGCTTTGGCAACACAGTGAGACCTCATTTCTACAAGCTTTTTTTTTTTTTTTTTTAAAGAAAAGCAATGTCTACTGAGGCCTGCCATATGCCAGGCACTGTTCTAAGCAGTAGGGCTATAGCAATGAACAAAGCAAAGTCCCTGTTCCTACAACTGATAAACCAGTCACCAAAGGAGTAAGAGGGCTTCAGGGAGTGATAAGGGTTATGAAGAAAGAAAATACGGCAGGGGTTTATGTCCTCAGAGTGGTGAGGGAGGGAAGCACTATGTCAGAGAGAAGGAGAGGATGAGATCGCCTTGAGAAAATGTCATCTGGGCACAGATCTGACCGGTGTAAAGGAGTAAGCCAGAAATGCACCCCAGTTGGAGCAATGGCAAGTGAAAGATTCTGGGGCTGGAAAATGCTTCCATGTCTGAGGGCTGCGAGCAGAGCAGCATGGGGAGGAGGAACAAGGAGGACGGTAAGGGATAAGCATGGGCAGAACGTGTGTGCTCGCAGGCTACCATAAGGACTAGGGACTTGAATGAGGTGGGGTCACTGGAGGAGCCTGAGAGAACCCCCAGGCTGGATTACTTTATGTCAAATACTGTAAAAATAATTATCTGGGCCGGGCGCAGTGGCTCACACCTGCAATCCCAGCACTTTGGGAGGCCAAGGCAGGTAGATCACCTGAGGTCAGGAGTTTGAGACCAGCCTGGCCAACATGGGGAAACACCGTCTTTACTAAAAATACAAAAATTAGCCAGGTGTGGTGGCGTGTGCCTGTAATCCCAGCTACTCAGGAAGTTGAGGAAGGAGAATCACTTGAACCCAGGAGGCAGAGGTTGTAGTGAGCTGAGATCACGCCACTGCATTCCAGCCTGGATGACAGAGTGAGCCTCCATCCCAAAAAATAATAATAATTACTATTATTTATTTAAATAAAAATGGATGTCTATTTTAAACAAGGTATCTTATTGGAGCAGATATATATAAAATCTATTGTTCAGTTATGACCTTCATCTTTTTTTTTTTTTTTTTTGAGATAGGTTCTCACTCTGTTGCCCAGGCTGGGGTGCAATAGTGCAATCTCGACTCACTGCAACCTCCACCTCCCAGGCTTAAGCAATCCTCCCACTGCAGCCTCCAGAGTAGCTGGGACTACAGGCACGCACCACCATGCCCAGCTAATTTTTGTATTTTCTGTAGAGCCCGGGTTTTGCCATACTGTCCAGGCTGGTCTCAAACTCCTGAGCTCAAGCAATCTGCCTGCCTTGGCCTCCCAAAGGGCTGGGACTACAGGTGTGAGCCATTGCGCCTAGCCATGACCTTCATTTTTATGTCCAACTTTATTACTGCCAAACACTCTAATTAAGCCCATTTCTTTGCCACTTCCCAAAAAAGTCTTAAATCTGGCACACTATAAATGACAATTACCTACTATCTACATTCAATACACAGTTTCCAAAATAAAGCTAACCTCTGGAGAAAAAAACTAGTAAGAATCAACATGAAATGGATGAGATCAGCAGAAATCTCTACTCCTGAGAATGGGTCATAGATATGTCACTCATGAAGCCTTAGGAGACACCCAGTACAAGATGACCAGGGGTGGCGGTATAAGGAAATCTTTCAAGGTTGCTATCCCATCAATGGTGATATAATCATGTTGGACTGTACTTGTTCCTTTTCTGTGTTTCTCCAACACAGAAGAGGCCTGGCAAATGGTGACCCTCCAAAGAGCCATTCTAGAACTGAATGTTGAGATGGAACTAAAAGGACAGATATCAAGATTCCAAAGTAACCATGAGGACATAGAGACCAGAGACCTCTGCAGAAAGAAGCTGGCTGTGGTCTGCAAAATGCCAGGTGCTGGGAAGCTGTCCCATATGACTACCCACAGCAGAGATGCAGCTTCCTAGGAAAAGAAACTATAAAAGCAACAAGTCCAGCAAGGAAATTTCAAATGCCAGAAACCACCTCAGAATAAAAAAAAGTTCACTTGCATCACCTACCAGACCCACCCAAAGACACCAGCTCCAACCACCTGCCAGGTTCAGAGGACATAAAGCCACCCAGCCAATTAAGAAATGTCCTGTGCCTTCATTCTCCTTCCTGTCCTCACTGCAACTCTGACAGGCTCCAGAAAGCAGCTGGAGAGGGAGGGAGAAGAGGAACCAGGAAAGGGTATAGAGCAGAAAGACCATGGCAGCCTTCCAGTGGGGAAGGGGTCTGAGCTGGGGAATGCAAAAAGATACAACTGGTGGCCAGGTGCGGTAGCTCATGCCTGTAATCCCAGCACTTTGGGAGGCCGAGGTGGGTGGATGACTTGAGGTCAGGAATTCGAGACCAGCCTGGCCAGCATGGTGAAATGCCGTCTCTACTCAAAATACAAAAATTAGCCAGGTGTGGTGGCGCACACCTGTAGTCCCAGCTACTCAGGAGGCTGAGGCACGAGAATCTCTCGAACACAGGAGGCAGCAGTTGCAATGAGTCGATATCACACCACTGCACTCCAGCCTGGGTGACAAGGCAAGATCCTATTACAAAAAAAAAAAAAAAATACTTGGACAGTGTCCTTTGGCGCCTGGCACAGAGTAGGTACCAATTAATGACAGTGATCATTATTACTGCTCCTTTGTTAGGGACAAAGGAAGCTAATGAGGCTTTCTCATTTCTTGGATGGTCCATTGCTCAAGTGTTTACTGTAATTCTAAGCTCACTAAGCAACCTCATGATTCTAATGCCATTCTCTGTCTAACCTGATCATCAGGACTAGGTACCCTGAGCAATAAACATCAGTACTCCTGTTCCCATGCAAAGACACCAACAAGTTGGTTTTTTATTATAAGCATGAATCTCCTATGTAGGTCAATGCCATTCGGTTCATTAAAGTTTTACTGATTCTTTGTGAACTGAAAAAACTGACTAGATATTGAAGAATGAGGACTGCAGCAGAGGTCTGACCCTTGAGAGGCCCTGCCTGAACAGTCAGGCTCCCTCCTGGGTGTGCCTCTCTTTTTAATTACACGTGATCACATGAAGGCACTGAGAAATCCCGAAGCATCCTCTGAAACAAAGGAAGCATCGACTAGGTCTGCTCTCAGTTTTTCTTAATGTATTTCATTACAAGCCTCTGGGAATTCGTCATCCATAGATGGTGTATGGAGAGATACTTCATCGCTCGGGAGACCTTTTCAACCAGAACACCTGCTCTCTACCACATCGGGTCATGGAGGACTACAACAGTGATTCCAGGCCGGGCGCGGTGGCTCAAGCCTGTTAATCCCAGCACTTTGGGAGGCCGAGGTGGGAGGATCACGAGGTCAGGAGATCGAGACCATCCTGGCTAACACACTGAAAACCCGTCTCTACTAAAAATACAAAAAATTAGCCAAGTGTGGTGGCGGGTGCCTGTAGTCCCAGCTACTCGAGAGGCTGAGGCAGGAGAATGGTGTGAACTTGGGAGGCGGAGCTTGCAGTGAGCCGAGATCGTGCCACTGCACTCCAGCCTGGGCGACAGGGCAAGACTCCATCTCAAAGGAAAAAAAAAAAAACTTTATTCTTTTCCTCCTCACTTCAATAAACTAGTCTAAAAAAAATAACTCCTTCAGTGGTGGCTAGAGAATTGTTAATGTAGCTAAATCCTTGCATTTCTCAAAGACTCAAACCAGACACAGTATTCGCATATTTCACTGCTTAAAGTCTTTAACTAGTACCTCCAGAAACGTGTTTATATTCAGAAAATGATTCATCTCTAGGAAGAAGGAAAAACAAGGAGGTTACAAAGGTAACAAACAAAATTTAAAATGTAAAATGTTTGCAAAAGCTTCCAGGCCACATAATCCTGTGAGTTTCCTTTATCCTTAATTAGGTCAGCTTTTGATACTTCCATCATTTTTTCAGCATTTTCTTTTTCAATACTGCTGCCCCAGAATCCCATTTGCAGTTTTAATTGACCTACTTAATTAGGATTTGGAACACTCAGACAGAAGAGTGTGTTGTCTTCATTCTGTTTTGCTCAATAGACCTTATAAATAAATTGAATTTCTAATTCTGTTTGTTAAAAACCAGGCACCTTAGGCAATTCCAAGACCCAAATATTCAGGTTTAATTATGGTCATGAGTGTCTATTCAAATATGGTCTAGGCCAGGCACAGTGGCTCACACCTGTAATCCCAATACTTTGGGAGGGCGAGGCAGAGAGACTGCTCGAGCCCAGGATGTCAAGACCAGCCTGGACAACATTATGAGACCCCCGTCTCTACAAAAAAAAATTTTTTTTTATTAGCCAGATATGGCGGCAAGCACCTGTAGTCCCAGCTACTCAGGAAGCTGAGGCAGGACAAAAGGGAGTAGCCTTTTGTCCTTCAAAAGGTTATTCTAACTCCAGTGACTCCTCAACACTATCCTATGATGTGATGGAAAGTCTTAAACCAACATTTGAGTCCAGGAGTTGGAGGATGGAGTGAGCTATGATCATGCCACTGCATTCCAGCCTGAGCGACAGAGTGAGATCCTGTCTCCAAAACAAACAAAAAACAAATATGGTCTAGGTGAAGGAGCACACAGTCAGGAGTCAGTACACCTTGGTTCTCCACTGGTGTACTGCAATGGTACTAACCACTGCAATCTTGGCACATCCCTAACACTCCTGAGCCTCAGTCTCTCACCTTTACAAAAAAGAAGGTAGACTCTCGGGTTTAGAATGGGTCTCTCTATTCATAAAGACTCTAAGTCTCGGCAGGGCATGATGGCTTACACATGTAATCCCAGCACTTTGGGAGGCTGAGGCAGGTGGATCACTTGAGGTCAGGAGTTCAAGACCAGCCTGGCCAACATGGTGAAACCCTGTCTCTTCTAAAAACACAAAAATTAGCCAGGCATGGTGGTGCACTCCTATAATCCCAGCTACTCAGGAGACTGAGGCAGGAGAATCGCCTGAATCTGGGAGGCGGAGGTTTCAGTGAGCTGAGATCATGCCACTGTACTCCAGCCTGGGTGACAGAATGAGACTCCATCTTAAAAAAAAAGACTCTAAGTCTCTAAGAATATTTTCTGAGCACCTACTGTGTACAAAGCAGTGCGCTATATACAGTGGGTGGGAGGAGGAACAAAGATGAATTGATGTTGTCTATCGTGAACTCTACACTGCACTAGGGAAGAGAAGGTCATACAGTATAAGACCAAACGCCATAGCTGCCTTATTTATCTTCTGTATTCCTCATGATTGGCACTGTGCCTGATATACAGTACTCAATGAAATGACATAAAGGACATACAAAATGCTCTGTGGGCACTGAGAGAAGAAGGGCTTTATCTGATGGAGAGGAATCAGGAATGGTTTGTAGGTGTTATATCCGAGTTGATTTTTTTTTTTTTTTTTTTTTTTTTTTTTGAGACAGAGTCTCACTCTGTCACCCAGGCTGGAGTGCAATGACACGATCTTGGCTCACTGCAACTTTCTCCTCCCAGGTTTAAGCGATTCTTGTGCCTCAGCCTACTGAGTAGCTGGGATTACAGGCACCCATGACCATACCTGGCTAATTTTTGTATCTTTAGTAGAAGCAGGGTTTCACCATGTTAACCAGGCTGGTCTCAAACTCCTGACCTCAGGTGATCTGCCCACCCCAGCCTTGCAAAGTGCTGGGATTACAGGCGTGAGCCGCCGCGTCTGGCCTGAGTTGACTTTTAAAAGGTGGTTTTAACTCCAGGGACTGACTCCTCAACACCATCCTATGATGTGATGGAAAAATCTTAAGCCAACATTGAAGGTTCTCCAAGCTCTGGTCCCAATATGTCCTTCAATCTTTATCTTTCCCTTACCCAGAACTAAGCTATAGCCAACCACTCTGCTTGATGTACCTCAGATATTACTTGTAATTGTTTTCCTCCATGCCTCCATTCATGCTGTTCTTCATACTGAAATATCCTCCAATCTCAACGTTATCCAACCCCAATATCCTTCAAGGCCCACTTCAAATTCAAATTTCTTACTTTTTAAAGGAGGGGTTATGAAGCTTTTCTTTTTTTTTTTTTTTTTTTTGAGACAGGGTCTCACTCTGCCTCCCAGGCTGGAGTGCAGTGGTGCAATCTCGGCTCACTGCAACCTCCACCTCCCAAGTTCAAGTGATTCTCTTGCCTCAGCCTCCCAAGTAGCTGGGATTATAGGCATGATGCATGACCACGCCCAGCTATTTTTAGTATTTTTAGTAGAGACGGGGTTTCACCATGTTGGCCAGGCTGGTCTTGAACTCCTGACTTCAGGTGATCCACTTGCCTTGGCCTCCCAAAGTGCTGGGATTACAGGCATGAGCCATTGTGCCCGGCCTATGAAGCCTTTCTTGATCCTTCCAATAGTAGGTGCTCTCTCCTGTCTTTGAAACCCCACAAAGACTTGTTGGCTTTTCTCTCGTGGTACACGTACCATTTGCCCCTGCATTACAGTTGGGTCATATCTTTTTCTCAAGATAATAATCTTTGACATCAGAAACTATATTATTCATCTATATTGCCAAATAAATGGAAGGTATTCAGTAGATTATTCTGACAGGACAAATACGAAAAGGACAATCTAGGACATAGAACTATATGAACAATGGTGCTAAGTTAGGAATATTTCTGACTTATGCCTCAAATGGGGACTATTCCAGTTTGACTTTTGAATGTAAGGTTTAGTTGGTAGAATCAGAGGCGTTGAGCTTGGAAGGTAGGTTGGAGTCAGATTACACAGAGCCTTGAATGCCAAGGTAATAAACAGCATAGATTCGGTTCTCCATGAGAGTCACTGATAGTTTTGGGCACTGGAGAGTAACAGGATCTGAGGTATAGAAGGTCAAACCAGAAGTCTCCTTGGAATTTGGTTGGAGATTAAGTCCATCCCAGACAGAAAAACCAACTCTTAAGTGTACTGACAAAATTAAGTGCATGACTCTGTAGATCTGTGAGTCCCAAAAAAGTCACCAAGTTAAAGACTGTTTTGTAGGCTTCCTGGCAACCAGACATTTACGTTCCCACTTCAGTAAAAGGAGACAGACCCACACCAAAGCAGTTATTACTAAATTTCCAAACTGGTGAAACAGAGAAGATTCTATATGCTTCCAGAGAAGGGAGAGAGGAGCAAAAAAAAAAAGTACAGTACACACAAAGGAGGTGTATGTGTGTGTGTGTGTGTGTGTGTGTACACATACATGTACATACATACAGATTGAGTATCTCTTAACAGAAATGCTTGGGACCAGGAGTTTTTTAGATTTTGGATTTTTTTTTAATTTGGAACACCTGAATTATACCATTGAGAATCCCAAATATGAAATTCTGAAATCCAAAATGTTCCAATAAGCACTTCCTTTGAACATCACGTTGGTGCTCAGAAAGTTTTGGATTCGGGGGCATTTCAGATTTCAAATTTTTCAGATTTAGGATGCTCAATCTGTATATGTATATATAAATTACAGTATGTGTATGTATGTAAGTGTATGTATGTATATACATGTGTACATGTATACATGTGTGTATATACGTGTGTATATATGTGCATGTGTATATGTGTATGTATATGTGTGTGTATATGCATATATGCATATATGTAGATGTATATGTGTGTACATATGTATATGCATATGCATATGTATGCATAAATGTGTATGTATGTGTATATATGTATGTGTGTACATATGTGTATGTGTGTGTGCATGTGTATATGTGTATATATGTGTGTATACGTGTATATGTGTATGAACATATATATACATATATGTATATTGTATTAGTCCATTCTCATACTGCTATGAAGAAATACCCAAGACTGGATAATTTATAAAGGAAAGAGGTTTAATTGACTCACAGTTCTGCATTGCTTGGGAGGCCTCAGGAAATTTACAATCATGGCAGAAGGCAACGGAGAAACAGGCACTTTCTTCACAGGGCAGCAGGATGGAGTGAGTGCCAGCAGGGGAAATGCCAGATGCTTATAAAACCATCAGATCTCATTAGACTCACTCACTATCATGAGAACAGCATGGGGGAACAGCCCGATGATCCAGTTACCTCCACCTGGTCCCACCCTTGACACATCGGGATTATGGGGATTACAATTCAAGATGAGATTTTGGGTGGGGACACAGCCAAACCATATCAGTATATACGTGTGTATATATGCATGTATATATGTGTATGTATATGTATATATATATGTGTGTGTGTATATATATGTGTATGTGTAGGCATGTGTTTATGTATGTATACGTGTGTACAACTTGTTTTCCCTAGAGTAGCATCACATATTCTTAAATAAATTTCTACTACAGATTTCTAACAATAACATAAACAATGTAGAGTAGTGTTATATGTAACTTTCTATCTGTAACTTAGTTTTGAGGTTTATCAAAGTTACATGCTCACAGCTCTAGTCATTTTCATCATTGCATAGTATTCCACTGAATTTCTATATTACACTTATTTAATCATTTTTCTGTTATTGGACCTTTAGGTTACTTTAAAAGCTTTACTTATGATGAACAATGCTATAATGAACAATCCATGTATATATGTGACATTTCATGCGGTTATAAATTTAGTAGTGGAATTACTAAGTATGAATTCACATTTACTAGATATTGCCAAACCAATATCTAAAGTGGTTGTACCACGGTCAACGTTTAAAACATTTAAACATTTAAAAAACTTTTTTAAAAGTTTTAAACATTTAAAAAACTTTAACACACATGTATATATAACTCCTATTTGTCTAAATAACATACTTAGATTGTTACACAAACACACACACACACACACACACACACACACACACAATCATGATTCCCTCTAGAGTATCAGGGAGGGAAATGGGATCGGTCAGGGAGGGACTCATACAGATTTTCAATTATACATGTAATATTTTATGCCTTAAGCTATGTGATAGGTACATAAATGCCCATTATATTATCTATATTTTTTGTGAATGTAATGGAAATCTTTCTAGAAGCTTCTGCTACAATTTGGGAAATTAAACTCAACATTTAACTTTGCTTCATCTCAAAGCACAACTAGAAGATCATAATCCCTTATCCAACCCTTCAGAGATACAGGTGTTAGAGAATTCAGAAGCCACCACGCCCGGCCAGGCTTGTTTCTTTTTTGTGTCTGCTAAATGCTCAGGCCTTCCACAGAGCAAATGCAAAGGAAATCAGGGGTGTCAAAGTGTTTTCAAGGGGAGCTCCACCATCACTTTTCAGAGGTAAACTGTAACTCAGCTTTGGAGGAAGACCACAGCAAACAAGGGAGAAAGGCGAAAGTCCTGCTTACCATAGAAGAGGAATGCTTTGGTCATGTGATGATGGAGGTAGGTCCGGTTGATGGTGAAGAAACAAGCATCTGCTCCACATTGGCCTAACCTCCCAGTCTCCCCCGTCAGCGGGGACCACCAGAGCATAATGGGGTAGCTGTCCAATTCCCATTTTCTTTTCCTGTTGAAGGTCAATCCTTCTTTCTTAAGAAATGAATTAAGATGCGTAGGTGCTTCCTCCATTTTTGTATGTCCATCTTGCAAACTGGAACTTTTAAACTCCTTCCTTTCAAACTTCCCCAGCTCAACCATGACCTAAAAGAGAAGACAATTATTATCAGTGTCAAACTGTTTGATTTCCTTTTGCACATCTCTCATTAATCTTGATGATTTAGCCCCTGACTCGTTTTCAATTGCTGCTGTAACAAATTACCACAAACAGTAATTTAAAATAACACAAATTTAAGCAAGGTGCACTGGCTTATACTTGTAATCTCAGTGCGTCGTCAGGGGGGCAAGGTGGAAGGATCACTTGAGACCAGGAGATTGAGACCAGCCTGGCCAACATAGTGAAACCCCGACTCTACTAAAAAATACAAAAATTAGTCAGGCATGGTGGCGGCACACACCTGTAATCCCAGCTACCTGGGAGGCTGAGTCAGGAGAATCGAATCACTTGAACTCGGGAGGCAGAGGTTGCAGTGAGCCAAGATCGCGCCACTGCACTTGAGCCTCGGCAACAGAGCAAAGCTCCATGTCAAAAAAAAGAAAAGAAAAAAAAATTGGCCGGGCATGGTGATGCATGCCTGTAATCCCAGATACTCAGGAGGCTGAGGCAGAAGGATTGCTTGAGCCCAGAAGTTAGAGGTTGTAGTGAACTATGATTGCACCAATGGTATCCAGCCTGGGCAACAGAGCAAGACCTTGTCTCAAAAACCAATCAATCAATCAATAAATCACAAATTTGTTATCACACAGTTCTGAAGTCAGAAGTCTGCAATGGGTCTCACTGGGCTAAGACCCAGGGGTCAGCAGGGCTGCATTCCTCCCTGAAGACTCTAGGAGAGAAGCCTCTTTCTTGTTTCTCTTTTAGAGCCACCACCATTCTTGACTCATGGCCTCCTTCCTCCTCTTCAAAGCCAGCAACACTGCATCTCTCTGACTCTTCTGATATCACCTCTTCTCTCTGACCATGTCAGGAAAGGCTCTCCATCTTTAAGAACTCATGTGATTACATGGGGTCCACATGAATAATTTGGGATAATCCCCCCACCTCAAAGTGGGTCACATTGATCCCATCTGCAAAGTCTCTTTTGCCTCCTAAAGTAACATATTCACAGGTTTCAGGGATCAGGGAGTGGACACAGCCTCCAAATATCAACCAACAAGAATGGCCAACGATTCTACTAAACACTTAGAACAAATACATTTCCCTTCCATTTCATAAGTCTGTAGGATATCCAGAAATAGTTTTGCCTCTTTTTTTTTTTTTTTTGAGACAGAGTCTCGCACTGTCACCTGGGTGCAGTGGCGCGATCTTGGCTTACTGCAAACTCCGCCTCCCAGGTTCAAGTGATTCTCCTGCCTCAGCCTCCCAAGTAGCTGGGATTACAGGTGCCAGCCACAACACCCAGGTAATTTTTTGTATTTTTAGTAGAGACGGGGTTTCACTATATTGGCCAGGCTGGTCTCAAACTCCTGACCTCGTGATCTGCCTGCCTCAGCCTCCCAAAGTGCTAGGATTACAGGCATGAGCCACCACGCCCAGCCAGTTTTGCCTCTTAATGAAACCTATGACAGGATAATTACCTGACTACTACTAGAGAATGCACTCTAGGGAAAATGAGTTATAAATTATCAACTGGTTTCTTTTTTATTACAATTAAAGTAGTCATAACATGGGTTTTATGTTTCTAATAATACTCACTATAGCACTGAGATAGTGAAATAATACCTAATGTCAAAATTCCCTAGAGTCTATGTTACCAACATAGTAGACCATGAGTACTGGGCTTCCACTTACTCCCACTTAGAACCACATTTTTAAATTTATTCCAGGATAGTCTAAGTCTGGGTCACTGGACAGCTTGGACATCAGTAACAGTCATCTGGAGGGCAGGGTGAGTGTAGCAGAAACTCCAGAAGTGCTGCCTTTTCATCAAATTTTAAGATTTGGTATTGTGCTGAGCACAGTGGCATACACCTATAGTCCCAGCTACTCAGGAGGCTGAGACCAGAGGATCACTTGAGTCCAGGAGTTCAAGGCTGCAGTGCGGTATGATTGCACCACTGTACAGCAGCCTGAGCAAAAAAGGGAGACTCCATCTCAACAAAAAAACAAGATTTGGTATTAATATAATTGATATGGCACTAATTATAGAAATATGCTGGAGAAAGGGTTGATCTGCTCCATATGTAACTGAAAGTTTAGTAGACTATGAAACAAATACAGCGTTAAAGCAGTTAAAGTAAGGCACATTTACATTTCTATGTGTTAACTGCTCCACCAGTCGGCCATGGAGGCCATTCCCTGTGCAGCCCTCAGGTCCCGCTTTTAGCAGCCAAGAGTGTTACCTCTTTTATGTGCTCGCTGCTCCTGGTGTTAGATAAAGGCCGCTGATCATTGAAGCATTGCATGGAGTCTGTAACTCCCTGGGGAGGGCCCGTGACTTTCATTAGATTCTCAACGGTATCCAAGGCCAAAAAAGAAAAAAAAAAAAAACCACTGAGTGAAAGCCAAGCAGCACTCCAGAAGGAGTAAGAAATTATATTGGCTTTAAAAAGTCATGGATCACCTGAGACGCCAAAGTCAACACTAGAGCAGCAGAGCCATCACTGAAAACTAAAGTCTGCCTGTTGCCAATAGCTCTCTCAGCATTTTTATGATGGAACAATGTGGCTCTCCCCAGTAGTTTGATCCATGGGAGATGACTTGTAGCCACAAACTATCTTTTCATCTGACCTTCTTCCCCTGCAAATGTACAACCAGTCACTTAAAAGAAAGGCTTTTAGAAAGCCATAGGATACAACTCCAAAGGTAAAATTTATTCCACATTTCAGATCAATATCTACTATGTGAGTTATAAATTCATTTCCAAATAATAGGGATGCTTTTAAGGAGAGATTCTTCTTCTGCCATACAACTTATTTTTTTATTTATTTTTTATTTTTTTATTTTTTGAGACAGAGTCTCTCTCTGTCGCCCAGGCTAGAGTGCAATGGCGTGATCTCAGCCTACTGCAGCCTCCTCTTCCCGAGTTCAAGTGATTCTCCTGCCTCAGCCTCTGGAGTAGCTGGGATTACAAACGCAGGCCACCACGCCCTGCTAATTTTTTTGTATTTTTAGTAGAGACAGGGTTTCATCACGTTGGCCCAAACAGCTTTTTAAAAGGTATTACCTTCGGATATCACTACCAGATTGTAGGAAATATGGCAGAATAAAGGAATGCATTAAATAAAACCATAATCAGCCAATCCCACACTCTAGAAAAGTTAAAAGGATAAATGACCCAGTTTTTAAAAGTCCATGACATGGAATAAAAAGTGGGGCAGAAAAGCCTTTTATTTTCTTTTTTC
This sequence comes from Homo sapiens, assembly GCF_000001405.40. Classification (NCBI taxonomy): domain Eukaryota; kingdom Metazoa; phylum Chordata; class Mammalia; order Primates; family Hominidae; genus Homo; species Homo sapiens. Next base: position 33,456,772 of record NC_000008.11, read on the forward strand.
TTTTTTTTTTTTTTTTGAGACAGAGTCTCGCTCTGTCACCAGGCTGGAGTGCAGTGGTACAATCTCGGCTCACTGCAACCTCCACCTCCCAGGTTCAAGTGATTCTCCTGCCTCAGCCTCCCAAGTAGCTGGGACTACAGGCATGCACCACCACGCCCAGATAATTTTTTTGTATTTTTAGTAGAGACGGGGTTTCACCATGCTGGCCAGGATGGTCTCAATCTTTTGACCTCATGATCCACCCACCTCAGCCTCCTAAAGTGCTGGGATTACAGGCCTAAGCCACCATGCCCGGCCAAACCTTTTAAGAGTGAAAAAACAAAAACATAAAACTTGAGACTCACCAACCAAATGCAATGTATAGGTTTGCTTATCCCAAATTCAAACCAACTTGGGACAGACATGGTGGCTCACACCTGTACTCCCAGCATTTTGGGAGGCCCAGGTGGGTGGATCACCTGAGGTCAGGAGTTCGAGACCAGCCTGGCCAATATAGTGAAACCTCATCTCTTCTAAAAATACAAAAAATTAGCTGGGCATGGTGGCATGCCCTGTCTCTCCTAAAAATACAAAAATTAGCTGTGCGTGGTGGCACACACCTGTAATCTCAGCTACTTGGGAGGATGAGGCAGGAGGATCACTTGAACCCAGGAGATGGAGGTTGCAGTGAGCCAAGAACATGCCACTGCACTCCAGCCTGGGCAACAGAGGAAGACTCCATCTCAAAAAAAACCCCAACTCATTATGAAAATTCTTTTTTTTTTGAGACAACTGGGAAAAATTTAACATGGCCTATCATACAGAGAATATTCAGTAATTGTTAATTTTATTGGGTATAATAGTAGCAATATGGTTACATTATATTTTTCAAAGTTCCTAGCTCCAAAGTGAGAGAATCATATTAACATATATCCAGGTGAAATGCTATTATGTCCTGGATTTGCTTTAAAATACTCCAAAATATATTCCTAAACTATTTATGCAACTAAAAAGTAAAATTAAAAAATAAATATACATATATACCCAAAGAATTTACAGACAGTTTATACAAAATATAGTTAAATGTGAATGGAAAACAATGTCTAAGTTTTCCTCCAGAGAACTATGTTTTAGCTTAAGTGTAGGTAACTATAATATTTTCATGTTTAGATTAATATTAATTAAATAATTTATGTTATAGAATCTGCTATGGGCTAAATTGTATACCCCAAAAAAATTCATAAGTTGAAGTCCTTACTCCCAGTACTTTATAACGTGACTATATTTGGAGACAGGGTCTTCAAAGAGGTAACTGAGTTAAAACGGGTGGGCCCTAATCCATTAGGACTGGTGTCCTTATAAAAAGGGGAAATTTTGACACACACAATTACAGAGAGAAGGCAGTGTAAAGATACAGGGAGAAAACAGCCATCTATAAGCCAAGGAGAGAGGCCACAGAAGAAAGAACCCTGCTGACACCTTGATCTTGGACTTCCCAGTCTCCTGAACTGTAAAAAAAAAATTAATTTTGGTTGTGGAAGCAAGCGACTTCATCTGCAGTATTTTGTTACAGCAGCGCTAGCAAACTAACAAAGGATCCATGGCATGATTTTTTTCTATTTATCCTATCTTTACCCTATTCATATGGCAAAGTATTTCATTTGCCTAAAAACAGGAATGGAGGCCAGGCCTGGTGGCTCACGCCTGTAATACCAACATTTTGGGAGGCCAAGGCGGGTGAATCACTTGAGGTCAGGAGTTCGAGACCACCCTGGCCAACATGGTAAAACCCCATCTCTACTAAAAATACAAAAAATTAGCCAGGTGTGGTGGCAGGCACCTGTAATCCCAGCTACTCAGGAGGCTGAGGCAGGAGAATTGCTTGAACCCAGGAGGCAGAGGTTGCAGTGAGCCCAGATCGCACCTTGCACTCCAGCCTGGCAAGAGAGCAAGACTCCGTCTCAAAAAACAAAAAACAAAAACAAAAACAAAAAAAAACTTCCCACAGAAAGCAGCAGAAAGCTGAAAATGTCAGGCCTTCTGTGCAGCAGGTCCTAGATACCTCCAGCACAAACAAGGAAAGAGACACATGTTGCCTCTCACCAGAATCCCAATCTGGCAGAAGGCAGCAGTAGAAATACAGCACCATATTGTCTGCCAAAGTGCTTTTATAAGCATTACCTCATTCAATCCTACACAGAAGGGAGATCCTGCAGAGTGAAAAAGCCCAGAGAACACCTTAGCGTCTACCAGTCCCACAACTGTAACTACTCATATCCACAAATAACCTTTAAATGTTGTGTGGAGAACCAGGCGTGGTGACTCATGCCTGTAATCCCAGCACTTTGGGAGAACAAGGCAGGTGGATCACCTGAGGTCAGGAGTTCGAGACCAGCCTGGCCAACATGGCAAAACCCCGTCTCTACTAAAAATACAAAAATTAGCTGGGCATGGTGGCAGGCACCTGTAATCCCAGCTACTCAGGAGGCTGAGGCAGGAGAATTGCTTGAACCCAGGAGGTGGAGGTTTCAGTGAGCCGAAATCACGCCATTGCACTCCAGCATGGGCAACAAAAGCAAAACTCCACTCAAAAAAAAAGTCCTGTGGAAGCCAGGCGCAGTGGCTCACACCTGCAATCTCAGTGCTTTAAGAAGCCAGGTAGGCAGATCTCTTGAGCTCAGGAGTTCAAGACCAGCCTGAGCAACATGGTGAAACCCCATCTCTACAAAAAAATTAGAAAACTTAGCCACGTGTGGTAGTACACACCTATAGTCTCAGCTACTCAGGAGGCTGCGTTGGGAGGATTTTTTTGAGCCTGGGAGGTAGAAGTTGCAGTGAGCCGAGATCATGCCACTGCACTCCAGCCTGGGTGACAAGAGTGAAACTGTCTCAAAAAAAAAAAAAAAAGTTCTGTGGATTTTGAAATGGATGGCTGGTACCTGAATGGGTGCAAATTCTATCAGAGCTGATATCTATACTTTTACTATCACTGCCCAATTTTTATTTCAATTTGAAATCAGTGAAGGGGCTGGGAACGGTGGCTCACACCTGTAATGCCAGCATTTTGTGAAGCCAAGGTGTGCAGACTGCTTGAGCCCAGGAGTTCAAGACCAGCCTGGTCAATGTGGTGAAACCCCGTCTCCACAAAAAAATACCAAAATGAGGCCAGGTGTGGTGGCTCATGCCTATAATCCCAGCACTTTGGGAGGCCGAGGCGGGTGGATCACTTGAGGTCAGGAGTTCAAGACCAGCCTGGCCAACATGGTGAAACCTCATTTCTACTAAAAATGAAAAATTAGCTAGGTGGCGGAAGCCTGTAATCCCAGCTACTTGGGAGGCTGAGGCAGGAAATCGCTTGAACCGGGGAGGCAGAGGTAGTAGTGAGCCAAGATCGTGCCACTGCACTCCAGCCTGGGCAACAGAGTGAGACTCCACCTCAAAAAAAAAAAAAAAATTAGCCAGGCACCATGGCACATGCCTGTGGTCCCAGCTACTGGAGATGCTGAGGTAGGAGGATTGCCTGAGCCCAGGGAGGTCGAGGCTGCAGTGAGCCGAGACTGCGCCACTGCTCTCCAGCCTGGGTGACAAAAATGAGATCCTGTCTCAAAAAATAATAAATAAATAAATAGAAATCCATGAATGAAGTTCGGAATAACTGACTAAGGGATTACAGGTAGGAGAACTAAGCACACGTTTCAGTTCATTCATCCATACACAGTCCTTGGTCTAGAAGCACATGTCAAGATTTACTTATAATATAGATGTCTGTGTTCTACACTTACTACAAGATACAGACTATCTTGTTCTCAGAATAGTCCTTGCTTCTCCAAGAACGCAATCTTTCAAAAGTGATAACAATAGGAGATTCTGAGGAAGCCATCCAATTTTGACCCAGGAAGACAGACTGAGCTTTACTTCCTGTTTCTCTACAACCAGGAGCTTACGAGAATCTCAAACTCACCTTCTATTTCAATGACTTTGTTTCTGCCTGACACGTCCATTCACTAAACCTCAGTTTCACCTGTTTAAAAAAGGGGGGCAGGGGGTGAATTGGAAGGGTCTCCCTGCCAGAGGTTTTTTACTGGGAGGTATTTTCTCCCAGTAGAAAACCTCTGATCCTGGCTGGGCACAGTGGCTCACGCCTGTAATCCTAGCACTTTGGAAGGCCAAGGCAGGCAGATCACTTGAGATCTGGAGTTCGAGACCAGCACGGCCAACATGGTGAAACCACATCTCTATTAATAATACAAAAAATTTAGCTGGGCGTGGTAGCGGGTGCCTGTAATCCCAACTACTCGGGAGGTTGAGGCACAAGAATTGCTTGAACCCGGGAGGCAGAGGTTGCAGTAAGCAGAGATCGTGCCACTGCACTCCAGCTCGGGCAACAGAGTGGTACTGTGTCGAAAGGAGTGGTACTGTGTCGGAAGGAAGGAAGGAAGGAAGGGAGGGAGGGAGGGAGGGAGGGAGGGAGGGAGGGAGGGAGGAAGGAAGGAACCAACCCTGATCCTGAACACCCCTGATTCAGCAAAAAGTGAAATAATTGGAGTTTTGAGAAAATAGGGGGTAGGGGGACATGGCAAAGGCCCAGCTATCAACACTACACAACCCACATTCTTGGTACCTGGAGTGTGACAAGCAGAAAGACGGTGGCTGTGACGCACAGGCAAGATGCCAAAAGCTTCCTCCTCTGAATCCGCACCATGCTGCCCTGCCCTGGGTGACTGACAGAGGGCTAACCTGGTTACCAGGTGTTCTCTCGTCAGCCCAGAGCCCGAGACAACTTCACATGGAAGAACCATCTGGGCGCCAATTTCCTGCACTGCCATTCCTGCTGGGACCAGGTCTCCATGAAGGACTGAGATCCGAGGTTGTGAGAGGGTCTGGCTTGGCATCGAGAGGAAGCAGCATGCAGTCTTCTTAGGCTATCATCAGAGCAGCTGGAGATTTCTCCAAATAAGAAGGAATCAAAAAAATTCTGCAACAAAAGATCATCTTTTAGCCATAGCGCAGATTTAATAAATATAGTCTTGCAGCAGGGTGATCATGAAAAAACATAGACATTTTAAACTAAAAGGAAACATTGAGATCATGTAGTCCTAGTACCTCACTCATAAGTAAGGAAATCAAGGCTGGGCGTGATGGCTCACTCCTGTAATCCCAGCACTTTGTGAGGCCAAGGCAGGTGGATCATTTGAGGTCAGGAGTTTGAGACCAGTCTGGCCAACATGGCAAAATCCTGTCTCTACTAAAAATACCAAAATTAGTTGGGCGTGGTGGCACGCACCCGTAGTCACAGCTACTCAGGAGGCTGCAGCAGGAGAATCACTTGAACCTGGGAGGCAGAGGTTGCAGTGAGTAGCCTGGGTAACAGAGAAAGGAAAGGAAAAGAAAGGAAAGGAAGGGGAGGGAAGGGGAAGGGACCAGAGTGGTGAATTGACTTACTCATGGCCACACAGCCCATCAGAGGAGAGTGACAAATCTACAACCAGATCCCAAATCTCAAATTCTGCTTCCACTTAATGCTCTCTGCCATCAGAAGACTGAATTCCAAGACTTTTATATGAAGTCATTCCCTTCTAAGTTTCAAAGGAGTTTAGAAATGGAATAAAAATTACCAGGACTATCCACCCACTCCCATAAAATTTAGGAAGAAAATAAAAGATTCAGGCTTCAATCAAAAATGGATAATCATCATGTGGCCCCCAATGCCCACTAAGGAAACCAACTTTTGCCACAGCATAAGGAATTCTGAATATGATTTATTTGTCTTTTACAGCAAGTGAATAAAGCAGTGGGCTGTTGGAGCAATATTATTCTTTGGAAGTTTCCAAATAAAATTTTCATCTATCTGAAATGAATGATCTTTTCAAAAAAGTTGTAAAAATGAACTAAATGAGTGCCAGGTACAGTGGCTCATACCTTTAATCACAGCACTTTGGGAGGCCAAGGCAGGAGGATGGCTTGTGCCCAGGAGTTTGAGACCAGCCTGGGCAACATAGTGAAACCCTGTCTGCATAGAAAATTTTACAAATTAGCTGGGCATGGGGGTGTGCACCTATAGTCCCAGCTACTCAGGAAGCTGAAGCAAGAGGATTGCTTGAGCCCAGGAGGTCAAGGCTGCAGTAAGCCGTGACTGCACCACTGCACTCTAGCGTAGGCAACAGAGCAAGACCCTATCTCAAAAAAAAAAAAGGTAAAAAAAAAATGCCCCCATAGAATGCCCTTTATCCCTATGATATTCTATGAACTTCAATGTCCTGGGCAAATGGCACTGTGGAGCTCAGAGTGGAGGAAGGGTCAACTTTCCAGAGGAAGGGCAATGCTGCTGCACAGTACTTCACAGATCTGAGTCTAAGTCAGACCTACATCATGCCCCTGACATACAGAGTTAAAGATATAATTAGATATCATTAGTCCTATAAAAATAATATAGAATCCTGGTTAAAAACTTTAGTCTTAAAGGTGTGCTCCCAGGTGGGTGCAGTGGCTCACACCTGTAATCCCAGCACTTTGGGAGGCCGAAGCAGGTGGATCACTTAAGGCAAGGAGTTCAAGACCAGCCTAGCCAAGATGGTGAAACCCCGTCTCTACTACAAATACAAAAATTAGCTGGGTGCGGTGGCAGGCACCTGTAATCCCAGCTACTCGGGAGGCTGAGGCCAGAGAATCACTTGAACCTGGGAGGCAGAGGTTGCAGTGAGCCGAGATTGTGCCACTGCACTCCAGCCTGGGCGACAAAGCCAGACTGCGTCTCAAAAAAAAAAAAAGGTGGGCTCCCCTCTCATGAGTCTACCTTGATTTACTTTTTTTTTGAGACAGGGTCTTCCTCTGTCACCCAGGCTGAAGTGCAGTAGTGTGATCATGGCTCACTGTAGCCTCCAACTCCCAGGCTCAAGCAGTCCTCCCACCTCAGCCTCCCGAGTAGCTGGGACTAATGGCATGTGCCACCACACCCAGCTAATTTTTGTTTGTTTGTTTATTTGTAGAGATGAGGTCTCACCATGTTGTCCAGGCTGGTCTTGGACTCCTGGGCTCAAGTGATCCTCCTGCCTTGGCCTCCCAAAGTGCTGGGATTACAGGTGTGAGCCACCGTGCACGGCCTTACTTTTAAATCCAGGAATTTTTTTTTTCCTTCAACCACAAAGTAACACTTGGACTCAGAAATCACCAAAAGTGCATTTTTCTTCTTTCATCCATGAAATTCCCAAAACCCAGTGACTAAGAGAAGGTCTCAAGTCTGCCTGCCAGGATTCAAATCCCAATTCCCCAGCTGGCTTAACCTCACCTCTCCATAACTCACTTTCCAAAAGTAGATCCTCATGAGGCCTAATCAGAGTTGTGAGAATTTTATGAGCTATGATTGGTAAAACACTTATTTCAGACCCTGACACATAATACCCAATAAATGTATGTTATCCTTATATTTAAATATTATTGTAATTTATTATCCCTTTAGGTGGAAAATGAAGCATATAAAATAGATTGCTACCCCATCAACTGGAACGTTAAAAGGAAAAATGCTCACTTTGCCAAAGAAAAGGAGATTGCTAATATTTGTTGAGTAACCTATCATTGGCAAGGCCTTTCCTAAGTACTTAGCACACAGGCAGGCGCTCATTCAATCCTCCCAACAACTCCACTCTCATTTTCAAATATAAGAAAACCGAATCTGAATGAAGTAAAGTAACTTGACCAAGACTCTAACTTTGACGAGTATTACGATCTGAAGTGCACACATTCCTTTATATTTTTTAGCATTAATACTATAAAATTCCTTGACTGCACACAGTGGCTCATGCAGGTAATCCCAACAGCTTGGGAGGCCAAGGTGGAAGGACCCACCTAGGCAACACAGTAAGACCCCATCTCTACAAAAAATAAATTAGCCAGGCATGGCGGTGAGTGTCTGTAGTCCTAGTCCTGGGAGGCTGAGGCAGGAGGATTGCTTCAGCCCAGGAGATTGAGGCTGCAGTGAGCCGTGATTGTGCCACTGCACTTAGCTTGGGTGACAGAGCCAGGCCTGGTCTCAAAAAATAAAAAATAATTTTAAAAAAAGAAATACTATAAAATTACCACCAGACAATACCAACACTCACAGGTTACCTGCCTAAACCACAGAAAACATATGTAGTACAGTTGTCAGCTAGTATATCAGAGAAAAAAGGAATACAAATCTATAAGAACCTGTAAAGTACCTTTGCTCCTACTTAGTAGATGCTTGTAGCTATTAACCACACACAACATGGAGCTAGCACTTTGGGTCCCAATCCTGGTTCTTTTACTTAATATAAATTTAGACAAGTTACTGAATCTTTCTAAGCCTCAGCTTCTTCATAGTAAATAATAAATGTTAACTATCACTATTTCTTTCCCTTGCATAACAGAAAGATTACCAAATTTTCATTTAATGTGCAGAAGCAATTTATTATAGTTATCATTAACGTAACCCAGATTATGTAGTAAAATAATATCACCTACTAAAATGGGAATAAAACTATACTGTTTTCAAAAATGTTTAGATATATCACTCTACTCAACCTTATTTATAACCACTTTGAAAAGTAGGCAAGGTAGGTATTATTATTCCCAGTTCCCAAGGAAGCTGAGCCTTCTCAAGTTTAAGTGATTTGCCCAAGATCATATATATATATATATACACACATACATACATATATATATAGAGAGAGAGAGAGAGAGAGTTGTTGCTGTTGTTGCTTTTGTTGTTGTTTTCAGACAGGGTCTCGCTCTGTTGCCCAGGCTGGAGTGCAGTGGCGCAATCTCGGCTCACTGCAACCTCCGCCTCCTGAATTCAAGCGATTCTCCTGCCTCATCCTCCCGGGTAGCTGGGACTACAGGCGCGTGCCACCACACCCAGCTAATTTTTCTATTTGTAGTAGAGACAGGGTTTCACCATGTTGGCCAGGCTGGTCTCAAACTCCTGAATTATCTTGAACACCTCAAATGATCCACCTGCCTCGGCCTCCCAAAGTGCTAGGATTACAGGTATGAGCCACTGCACCCGGCCACAGGATCATATTTTTTAAAGACAGAAGTGAGTCTAGATATCAGCTCACTCAACTCAAAGATGTGTGGAAAGCAGATAAATGAAGGAACATAGTGACAGCTTGTGAAAAGTACAGAAATAATCAGTAATAAAGGAAAACAAAAGATACAATTTGAGGACAGAGTTTGGGATATTTTTATAGCTACTGCATAGCTCAGGTCTATCATAGGAGCTTTTTGGGACCTTCGCATAGCTTTATGAACTATGACAGAAGAATTTTAAGATTATGAATTCCCTTATATTTAAAGAATCTCAACCTAGGCTATCTTCCCAAAGCCAGAAGTGTAGTAGGTCTCAGGGAACAACGTATGGTTAAGTAACTACCACTAAAGAACAGAGCCAGCCAGGTGCGGTGGTTCTGGGAGACTGAGGCAGGAAGATCCCTTGAGCCCAGGGGTTCAAGACTAGCCTGGGCAACAAAACAAGACTCCGTCTCTACAAAAAAAATTTTTTTTAATTTAAAAATTAGCTGGGCATGGTGGTGCATGTCTGTGGTCCCAGCTACCTGGAAGGCTAAAGCAGGAGAATCACCTGAGCCCAGGAGTTCAAGGCTGCACTGAGCCATGATTATGCCACTGTACTCCAGCCTGGGTAGCAGAGTGAGACACTGTCTCAAAAAAGAAAACAAAAGAAGGAAAGGAAAGAGAAAGGAGAAGGGAAGGGAAAATGGAAGGAGAGAGAAAAGAAGGGCAGGGCAGGGAAGGGGAAAGAAGGGCAGGGCAGGGCAGGGCCCAGCCAGGGTAGATAGTAGTATTGTGACTTAGAGCATACAACCATTATCCAGGCCTCAGGGTACATTTATAACAGTAACAGTCAATCTAATACTGTATATGGTATTAGTTACCCAGGAGCCTGACATCAAGTCAGCAGTCCTCCAACTGGTGGGACAGGCAGACTTGCAGAGAGCACTATGAAGGACAGCAGGCTCCAATTCAATAGAATAGACCAAAAGAGAACAGTAAGGGAGAAAGGGACACTGGCAGCCATGTCAATCAAGACTGGTGATTAGGCCGGGCATAGTGGCTCACACCTGTAATCTCAGTACTTTGAGAGGCCAAGGCGGGTGGATCACCTGAGGTCAGGAGTTCGAGACCAGCCCGACCAATATGGTGAAGCCCTGTCTCTACTAAAAATACAAAAATTAGCCGGGTGTGGTGGCAGACTCCTGTAATCCCAGCTACTTGGGAGGCTGAGGCAGGAAGGATTGCTTGAACCCAGGAGGCAGAGGTTGCAGTGACCTGAGATCGTACCACTGCACTCCAGCCTGGGCTACAGAGCGAGACTCTGTCTCAAAAAAAACACACAAAAATTAGCCAGGCATGGTGGCATGCACCTGTAGTCCCAGCTACTCGGGAGGCTGAGGCAGGAGAATTACTTGAACCCGGGAGGTGGAGGTTGCAGTGAGCCGAGATCACGCCACTGCACTCCAGCCTGGGCGACGGAGCGAGACTCTGTCTCAAAAAAAAAAAAAAAAAAAAAAAGACTAGTGATTAATCAAGGTGTGGCCAGAGCACATTTCTATTACAGAACTGAAGGCGATGCCATTCTTAAATTCCAGACACATACTGAAGCACTTAAATTATGAGACTCCAAGACAAAAGCTCTCATTTCATCATTGCCTACAGGATGAATCTGAGTCCTGCAAGAGGGTGCCCTAGAATACTCCTTCCTGGGACAGAACAATATGTATATTCAGACATCCACGGCAGGTACCATCTGAAATGGACTCTCACTCACCAATCCTCTTACCCCTAGGAGCTGAGCTTCTAAAGTGCATTGCACGGCTGGCATGCAACACCAGGGTTGGCCATCTGCTGCACAGAGTGGGGTTTGGAGCTGAGTATGACTACCTCATACTCTTGCACGTGCTATGCCATCAAAACCAGCAACACTTTCATCCTAAAATAATTCCAAATTTTCAACTGTATTTTGAATTAAGATGGACAGAAGAGGGACTGAATATCTTACAGGTAATTAGCAGCTTGAGGGTGCCAGCTTCAAATTTTGGCCATTCAGGCCAGTTGAAGGTGTAAGAGTCTCAGAAATGGAACCAAGGGGTGATTTCTTTCCTGCGTGTCTGACTGTAAAATGAGAAACCAACCTTAGGTGACACTCTGAGCTTTCCGAACCTGGTAGTTTGTGAGGCTGGGTGCGGTGGCTCATGCCTGTAATCCCAACACTGTGGGAGGCCAAGGTGGGCGGATCACCTAAGGTCAGGAGTTTGAGACCAGCCTGGACAACACAGTGAAACCTCATCTCTACAAAAAATACAAAAATCAGCCAGGTGTGGTGCCAGGCACCTGTAATCCCAGCTACTGGGGAGACTGAGGCAGGAGAATCCCTTGAACCTGGGAGGCAGAGGATGCAGTGAGCTGAGGTTGCACCACTGCACTCCAGCCTGGACGACAGAATGAAACTGTGTCTCAAAAAAAAAAAAAAAAAAGAAGAAGAAGAAGAAGAACCTGGTAGTTTGTGTGCCCCTCCTCCTCCTCCCTCTCCCTAGTTGCAGGAGAGGCAAGGCAGAAGGCAGGGAGCTCTGGGAAGACTCCTTTGCCCATTTCTGCTCTGGTAATTGGGGAGTCAACTGGGTTAATAAGCTAGAGGTAATACCAAGGAGAGTTTTTAGAAGAAATGTATCTAATTATCAAATTTAAACTATTCACACTAAAGTGCAATGTATCAAATAGGTTTGACTCTCCCAAGGTGTTTTCACTGGATAACGTATAAATCTCCTAATGCCCCTTAAATGGTGACTGTCCTGGCGAAGACATGTGATAGGCTGAGGAGATGCCTAAAGGCCTTTGGACAACTCTTCAGGCACTTTTAAGTACCTCCTTTCAACTACACCTCAATACTCCTCATTCATTTCTGCCTGATTACTCCAAAGTGCCCAACAACTGGTGTTCTTCCCAGTGGTGACCCTTTTGCATTCTTCATGCAGCCATAAAGAGATGTCCCTAGAGTGTTGATTGGATATCTCTCCTGATTAAAATCCTTCAATGGCTGCCCAAAGACCTCAAGATAAAAATAAAACTGTTAGCTTAGAAAACAGGGAGCTCTGGGAAGACTCCTTTGCCCATTTCTGTTCTGGTAATTGGGAGTCAACTGGGTTAATAAGCTAGAGGTAATACCACGGAAAGTTTTTAGAAGAAATGTATCTAATTATCAAATTTAAAGTATTCACAGTAAAGTGCCATTTATCAATGTGAGGCCGGATGCAGTGGTGCATGCCTGTAATGCCAGCACTTTGGGAGGCCAAGGAGGGTGGATTTCTTGAGGCCAGGAGTTGGAGACAAGCCTGGCCAACATGACAAAACCCCGTCTCTACTAAAAATACAAAAATTAGCTGGGTGTGGTGGTGCGTGCCTATAGCCCCAGCTACTGGGGAGGCTGAGGCAGGAGAATGGCATGAACCCGGGAGGCGGAGTTTGCAATGAGCCGAGATCGCGCCACTGCACTCCAGCCTGGGCTACAGAGCAAGACTCTGTCTCGAAAAAAAAGCAAAAACAAAAACAAAAACAAAAATCTGTGTTAATGTGTACCTCGCTCATTTTCAGTGAACTTCATATTTTGCTGAGCATTTATTTTTATATAAAGCATGCTTTGGATTGTAGATTTCTATGTGGGAAAGTCATCCTCTTCATACTAGTGCAAATTTCAGGAGAGACCAGTAGAGGACAGTAAGGGAGAAAGGCACACTGGCAGTCATGTGAATCAAGACTGGTGATTAATGGGGAAAGAGGTGTAGCCAGAACACCTCTGCACTTCTATTGCAGAAATGAAGGCAATGTCATTCCTCAATCCTTAAATTCCAGACACATACTAAAGTACTTAAATTATGCAGTGTTAATAATACAACCTCACAAGAAAGAGTATTCAGTGGATCTACTTGATGTAGAAACTAAAAACAAATCCAAAAGACAGAGAGCCAGATAAACAGACAGACTGATACAATGCCTCAATTAGAAACACAGATTTTTTACTTTTTCTTTTTTTTTTTTTTTTTTTTGAGATGGAGTCTCACTCTGTCACCAGGCTGGAGTGTAGTGGCACTCACCACAATCTCTGCCTCCCGAGTTCAGGCGATTCTCCTGCCTCAGCCTCCCGAGTAGCTGGGATTACAGGTGTGCACCACCACACCCAGCTAATTTTGTATTTTTAGTAGAGACAGGGTTTCACGATGTTGGTCAGAATGGTCTTAACCTCCTGACCTCGTGATCCACCTGCCTCGGCCTCCCAAAGTGCTAGGATTACAGGTGTGAGCCATGGCGCCCGGCAAGAAGCACAGATTTTTAAAATGGAAAGCTTGGTGTCGTGGCTCATGCCTGCAATCTCAGCACTTTGAGACGCCGAGGTGGGTGGATCACTTAAGCCCAGGAGTTCAAGACCAGCCTAGGCAACACAGCAAGAACCCATCTCTACAAAAAAAAAAAAAAAAAAAAAAAAAAAAAGTTAGCTGGGCATGCTGGTGTGCACCTGTAGTCATAGTCCCAGCTACCAGGAGGCTGAGCAGGAGGATCCCTTGAGCCCTGGAGGTCAAGGCTGCAGTGAGCTGTGATCGTGCCACTGCACTCCAGCCTGGGTGGCAGAGCTAGACCCTGTCTCAAAAATAAATAAAAATTAAAAGTGGGGTGACAGCACAAGACTATGAAGTTTATGTGTCACAGTAAGAACTAAGGCAATTCTTCAAGAGCAGGGATTCTTTTTCATCTTTGTTTTTCCTATGAGGTCTTATACTAATAAGTATTAGTAACTATTCTTCCTCCAAGTAGGGCTTATAGGTTACTTTGTGGCAATTTCCCACCCTACAAGATACTCGAATTAAAATCCCTCATCTCTAGAAAAAATATAAATTAATAAATATTGAATAACTGCAGACTAGAAAAAACAAATAAAATCCCTGATCTGCTTTTATCATTTATATATTCATGAATGAGGAGCTGGTTCAGTAACACTGACAAAATGTAGCTAATATTTCACATGACTAAAGACAAATCCCTGAGGATCTTCTGAGGTTCCATCCCAAAACTAAGCTCTCTCATCCCATAAATTATATCCAGGAGTAAAAACTCTCCATAAAAGATTAATCAAGAGACAGTAATCCAGACAACTTGAGTCATCACAAAGTAAGATTTCCGGAAATTTTTTTTTTAATTGTATATAACAGGTTTAGGATTACTTTATCTTCATTTTCCTTGTTGGTAATTCTGTATAATCTTTTGAAAACTCCAATTTCATTATCAAAGAAAAAAATCTGAAAGACATTTTAAGATAAACTTAACTTCTAAAAATGTTCAAAAACCCATGTTCAGAAACATTGTAACAAATGTTCACTGTAGAATGCTGGTAATTGAATTAGATATTGAATATCTACCCGAAATCAACTCTTTACATTCCGAGGTTGGTTTTTTTGTTTTTGTTTTTTGTTGTTGTTGTTGTTGTTGTTTTGTTTTGAGACAGTCTCGCTCTGTTGCCCAGGCTGGAGTGCAGTGGCGCAGTCTTGGCTCACCGCAACTTCCTCCTTCCAGGTTCAAGTGATTGTTCTGTCTCAGCCTCCCGAGTAGCTGGAACTACACGCACACGCCACCACATGAGCCCAGCTAATTTTTGTATTTTTAGTAGAGACGGGGTTTCACCATATTGGCCAGGCTGGTCTAGAACTCCTGATCTCGTGATCCGCCCGCCTCGGTCTCTCAAAGTTCTGGGATTACAGGCATGAGCCACCGCGCCCGGCCGGCCTACATTCCAAAGTTTAAAGCATTTAAATATGGGTTGGAAATATCTGCCTACTGAACAACATTTGTACATATATAAATAACATTGTTTTTCCAAACTATATTCTTTTTACTTCCTGAATTTAACCATAGTTTGAAATTTTTCAAAAATATTGTTTGTAAGATAAAACTTGAAAACTTACTTTTTTTTCTTATTGTAGAAGACAAGCAATAACAACACAGTAAAAGTTGAGATCGTGTTTTTAATTCACTGTTACACACTGCCATCTAGCAGGAAGCGAGCAAGAGTTATTACAGCAATTTCGAAATTGGAAGACCTGAATGATCACCTGAGGCTACCCAATCGCCTCTGGCTTCTCCTTACTCAGAAGAAAGTTTTAAAACGGAGACTACGGTGCTGCTAGATTGGAGGCAGTGAAACTTCAGCGTTCAAAGAGCTGAGCTGCTTATTCAATGCGAGAAAGGCCTCCATTTGAGACTACGGTAGACCAGGGAGAAACCCTGCCCTAGTTGTAGTGTGACGTTACTAACAAGCCCAAGATTGGTCGTGAGTTTCCTGGGTGTCTCATTGGAAAGAAAGGTGTACGAAGGGAATAAAGTCCTGAAAGCCAACTTGCCTTATTCAAAACTGTGGCCAGCCAGAGCTGGATGCATTCCACAAACTAAATTAACAATCCAAGTCATTTCATGCACAAAACACTCTAACCAACTATTATTGCAGGGAGCTGCAGCAGGGAGCAGGGGGCAGGCTGTTGGGGCCGTGGTGTTAGAAAAAGTCATTCTGTGTGACATTTGCTTTATTTTAAAGAATCATTAAAAGATTCCCAGAAAATGTCATAAAATCACAGAAAAATTACTTCTATAGTTTACAAAAAATGAGCTCTGTTCTGAGGGTACTAATCGGGTGCAAAATACCTAACACATGGCTTGCAAATGGGATAACCCAGGCCTGCGGTTGCCGGTGCTTTCCTGGGGCATTTTCTCCATTAAATACGCCGTATTCTCTGCAACTAGAAAGTCACAGTTGCTACGACTTCAACACAACATTCCTGCAACAAGTGATTCTCTGGGAAGACCTGGGGGAGAACAAGGCAATTCGCGCCCCGCAAAGGCAGATTAGGTTCTGGAATGGACGGCCGCGGACCTGGGGAGGAGGCCGATCGGGGCAGGCGGGGAGGCGCCGGGACCCCGCGCTCCTTCTCCGGGCTCCAGCAGAGGCTCCGGCCCGGCACCCGCCTCCCGCCTGGTGGATCAGGCTTCAATCTCAGGCAGTGGCTCTGCCTTTGCGCCACTAAGTCTCCAAAACAGACTTGGATTATTTTGCACACACCATTCCGTCTCTTACACGCACCCCCTGCTCGGTACAGAGAGGGAGTTTCCTTAGGCTGTGACTCCCGGAGGTAGTGTCCCAGCTTCCGTGGGACCAGAAAAGCGTCTTTCCGTGTCTCAGCATCAAGCCCCTACCCCCACCAAGAGACCACAGAGGCCAGATGTGATGCGGCGCTCGCACTCACCTCGCGCGGAGCAGGGTTCGTCCCGCAGAATGCAGCGCAGCTTCCTTTCTCCCTATGAGCCCAAGCCTGGGCGCCGGGAAGACCCGAAGAGCCGATCAGGAGCGGAAGAGGCGGCCGCGCGGGCGAGCTCGGGGCGCGTTCCGGCGGAGCCAGCCTGGATCCGGGTTTTCACTCGTGCCCTGTTCACAAGCTCTTGGGACCCGGGTTCTAAGAACACCGGGCCGCCCCCTGCTGATGATCTTGGTTCGCAGTCCGCCTGAGGCCACGGCCCTATGGAAAGTTCTCGGGAAGGCTGCGGGGGCCCTCTTCTTTAAGACAGGGGAAACTCTCCGCTTCTCCAACTGGACTAGGACTGGAGCGCATGCAGTCACCTATTCAGGCCAGGCGTGGCAGCGGCTCACACCTGTAATCCCAGCACTTTGGGAGGCCAAGGCGGGCAGATCGCTTGAGCCCAGGAGTTCGATACCAGCCTGAGCAACATAGCGGGACCCTGTCTCTACAAAAAATGCAAAAATTAGCAGAGTGTGGTGGCCCATGCCTGTAGTCCCACCTACTGGGAGGCTGAGGTGGGAGGATCTCTTGAGTCCAGGAGGTAAAGGCTGCAGTTAACCGAGATCAAGCCACTGCACTCCAGCCTGGGCAACAGAGCAAGACTGTCTACAAAAATAAATAAAATAAATTTAAAAAAAAAGGTCAAAGTCATTTATTCAAGAAAAGATTGTACTGGTTGCTATGGTGTGAATGTTTGTACCCTGCCCCAAATTCATATGTGAATTTCGTGCCTTTATAGTCTATATAAATTTACAAATGTACTGTGTCTTTATGAAAGAGACCAGAGCAAGCTTCTGCCATGTGAGGACACATAGAGGGTCTCTTGTATGAGGCACAGACGCTAACAGATGAGGAATCTGCCAGCGTGTTTGTTGATCTTGGACTTCCCATCATCCAGACTGGGAGCAGTGGAGTTCCGTTGTTCATGCATTACCCAAACTAAGGTGTGTTGTGATAGTAGCCCAAACGGACTAGACACTGGTAAAGGAAAGCTAATTGACTTCAAGCTACTGAGTTCCAAATCCAAAAACTCAAATAAAATTATTGTGCCCTAGTCTAGGAGGTAATAAACCTAAGGAGGTAATTCAGCATTTTGGGAGGGGTGGGTCTAGGGCAAGGCAAATGAGGTACTTAGGGCTCAAAATCTGAGGAGGTGCTGACCCTGGGTGTCCTGCAGTGCTGGGTGCACTGCAGAAGCCTGAGAGCGATTTGCTGTTTCGGGCCTGCCTCCCTCTGGTCCCGACCCTGCGGAGCTCTGGTGCCAAGAAACTCAACTTTTCTATGAAAACAGGTTGATAATAATGGTGTCCACATCTAAAAAACATCAAACACACAGAAAAGATTGATAAATTAGATATGATTAAAAGTAAGAAACTCTATTCATCAAAAGACACCATTAAGAAAATAAGAAATGGGTGCAGTGGCTCACACCTGTAATCTCAGCACTTTGGTAGGCTGAGACGAGAGGATCACTTGAGCCCAGGAGTTGGAGACCAGCCTGGACAACATAGGGAGACCCCGTCTCTACGAAAAATTTTTAAAAATTAGCCAGGTGTGGTGGTGCACGCCTATGGTTTCCGCCACTCAGGAGGCTGAGGTGGGAGGATTGCTTGACCCTGGGAGGTCAAGGCTGCAGTGAGTCAGGATTGTGTCACTGCACTCCAGCCTGGGCAACAGGATTAGATCCTGTCTCAAGAAAGAAAAAGAATGAAAACTGATCTACGGAATGAGAGAAGGTATTTTTGATATATTGTATCTAACAATGAATTTAGAATATAACAAGAACTCCTAAAAGCAATAAGAAAGAAAAGCAATCAATAAGTACAGCACTTCACCGAAGACGAATCCAAATAGCCAGGCAGTATGTGAAAAAGATGCTTAATGTTTTTAGTCATTAAAGAAATGCAAATGAACACGATGATGATATATACTACACATCCACTAAAATGGCTACAGATTTTAAAACTGACAAGACAACACAAGGACAAAGCCGTGAAGCACATAGAACTGTTATGCACTATTGTTGGGGGTGCAGTTGTGACAGCCACTTTGGAAAATCATCTGTTCATATTTACTAGAGCTGAATATACACGTTGTGACCCAGAAATTCCTAGGTATAGGCCTAATACACATACCTATATATAAACATCAAAAGGCATGTATACTGGGCCATAAAACACACCTCGGCAGGGCACGGTCGCTTACGCCTATAATCTCAGCACTTTGGGAGGCCAAGGAGGGCGGATCACCTGAGGTTGGGAGAGCGAGACCAGCCTGACCAACATGGAGAAACCCCGTCTCTACTAAAAATACAAAAAAGTTAGCCAGGCGTGCTGTCAGGTGCCTACAATCCCAGCTACTCAGGAGGCTGAGGCAGGAGAATCGCTTGAACCTGGGAGGTGGAGGTTGCAGTGAGCCAAGATAGCGCCATTGCACTCCAGCCTGGGCAACAAGAGCGAAACTCGATTTAAAATAAAAAATAAAAAATAAAAAAAATTTAAAAAAACACACACACCTCAACAAATTTCAAAGAATGGACATCATACAAAGCATGCTATCAGACCACAAAGGAATTAAACCAGAAACCAGTAACTGAATGATAATTAGAAAATCTCCAGATACATGGAGATAAAAACAACACACTTCTATATAGCACATAGATCAAAGAAGAAAACTCGGGCGGGTGTGGTGGCTCACGCCTGTAATTCCAGCACTTTGAGAGGCCAATGTGGGTGGATCACCTGAAGTCAGGAGTTTGAGACCAGCCTGGTCAACATGGCGAAACCCTGACTCTACTAAAAATACAAAAATTAGCCAGGTGTGATGGCAGGCGCCCACAATCCCAGCTACTCAGGAGGCTGAGGCAAGAGAATCACTTGATCCCGGGATGCGGAGGCTGCAGTGAGCAGAGATCACTGCCGCTGCACTCCAGTCTGGGTGACAGAGTGAGACTCCATCTCAAAAAAAAAAGAAAGAAAGAAAATTCAAATTCAAGGTTGGCTCTGCAACTTGTGTTGGCCACAGAATGTAGCAGAAGTGACAGGATGCCATTTCCGGGTCCAGGCCTTAAGTGGCCTAGCATACTTCCACTTATTTTCTTGCCACTCTATGCAACTGCCATGAAACCAACTGCAGAATAGCCTTCTGGGCTATGAGGGATAATGGCTCAGTCACCCCTGTTGCCCCAGTCAATTGCTACCCAACTCTAAGATATGTGAGTGAGGCCATCCTAGACTAATTAGCCTCGAGTCAGTCCACCAGATGACCACAGATATGTGAGCAACCCCAGGTCAGCAGACTACCCACCGACTCATAGAAACACAAACATGAATAAATGCTTACTGTTTAAGCCACTGAGTTTCAGAGGCGTGTGTTATACAGCAATAGCTAACTGATACAGAAATTGGCATCTATGGCCGGATGCGGTGGCTCATGCCTGTAATCCCAGCACTTTGGGAGGCTGAGGTGAGAGGATCACGAGGTAAGGAGATGGAGACCATCCTGGCCAACATGGTGAAACCCCATCTCTACTGAAAATACAAAAATTAGCTGGGTGTGGTGGCGCGCGCCTGTAATCCCAGCTACTCGGGAGGCTGAGGCAAGAGAATCACTTGAACCCAGGAGGCGGAGATTGCAATGAGCTGAGATCATGCCACTGCACTCCAGCCTGGTGACAGAGCAAGACTCTGTCTCAAACAAAAAACAAACAAACAAAAAAAGAAAGTGCCATCTAGAAATGGGATGCTGTTTAACAAAAGCCTAAAATATGTGGCATTGGTTTAGGGACCAAGTCCTGGACAACACTGAAAAAGCAAGAAGCATGCTTGTGTTTGACAGACCTGATGCACTTACTGTCTGCTGCCAAGGTTTCCACTACAGATGCAAAAAGAAAAAAAGCAGTGCCATGCTCTCTGTTGGATTGTGGCAGCCAAGATTGAGTGGGGGAAATACAGGAGAAAAAACATGGTAATAAAGGGAAAAACATGGACAGAGAATTTTTGCAACTCAGAAATAATCTTGTAAATAGTAAAGAGCCTGTTTTACTCCAAAACGAATTTAAAATTTGAGGGTTTTCTTAAGGTGCTAAGAAAACTGCTATAGCAAACTGGAAGAATGATGACATGTTAGATAGCAGTAAAATACTTGGTAAAACTATTACCTGTAACAACTCACAAGATATAAAACATACTTAATTTGTATGCCTTGATAAAATGATTTCCAGGCAGAATGCTAAATGTGTTAGTTGGTGTCTTTTAGCTGCATATTGTAAGGACTGCCAGAAAGAAATAAGAGAAATAAGGAGAAAGGGGTGCTGTACAGAATTTAGAGGAACTATCAAGAGATTAAAATTGAGCAGATTGGAAAATAAATCCTGTTCTTATCTCCAGCCTCCCCAGCCAGTAAAAGATCCTCAAGATGAGGCTGGAAGATCTTTTGTTAAGACATCTAAAAGAGTTAAGTTGGTACTAATGGATCTTTTCAGTTAAACGAAAGAGCCAGTAAGAATCATAAAAATGTCTTCTCTTAGCTGCCGGTTACAGTCAAAGTAAGCTCAATTAAGTCTGGAAAGAAGTTTGTCTGAAAAAAAAAAATGATGTATACAGCTTTTGACCAGCGGAGTAGACTGAAATCAGACTCAACATAGAAAGTTCACAAAGTTTCAAAAGTTTTACATAGCGAACATGTTTTGACCAGGCACAGTGGCTCACGCCTGTAATCCCAGCACTTTAGGAGGCCGAAATGGGCGGGTTGCTTGAGGTCAGGAGTTCAAGACCAGCCTGGCCAATATGGTGAAACCCTGTCTCTACCAAAAATACAAAAATTAGCCGGGTGTGGTGGCACGCTAATTAGCTGGGTGGGGTGGGCCAAGTAGTAATCCCAGCTATTTGGGAGGCTGAGGCATGAGGATTGCTTGAACCCGGGAGGCGGAGGTTGCAGTGAGCCAAGATTGCACCACTGCAGTCCAGCCTGGGTGACAGAGTGAGACCCTGTCTCAAAAAAAAAAGTTTCTGAGGCCCCAAGTTTCTGTGGGCAAGATACAGACTTAGAAGGGCACTCAGCTGCCAACAGGAGTCATTTCTTCCTAAGAATCCACAAAGCCTAATGGAAAAGAAAGGTGCTTCAGAGAATCAATCCAAGAGCTTTGGTGAACCAGGTGTCAGGGAGCCATTCCTAGAAAGCAAAACTGGGCCCTAATAACAGAATGTTCCCTGCCCCTGGAGAAGAGGGACCTGACAACATTTGCTGGGTGGAATTTCAGTATTGCATGGAGCAGTGACTGCTGTGTGCTTACCGCCGGGTACTAACAACTCTAATTGAATATCTAGTGGGCAAATGAAAATCAACACGTTCAGGCTGGGCATGGTGGCTCACATCTATAATCCTGGCACTTTCAGAGGTTAAGGCCAGAGGACTGTTTGAGCCCAGGAGTTTGAGACCAGCGTGGGCCATGAAGCAAGACCCTGTATCTACAGAAAATTTTAAAAATTAACTGGGCCTGGTGCTACCCACCTGTAGTCCCAGCTACTCAGAAGGCTGAGGCAGGAGGATCCCTTGAGCCCAGGAGTTTGAGGTTGCAGTGAGCTATGACTGTATCCTCCAGCCTGGGAAACAGAACAAGATCCTGTCTTTAAAAAAATAAAGCGGCCAGGCGCGGTGGCTCATGCCTATAATCCCAGCACTCTGGGAGGCCGAAGTGGGCGGATCACGAGGTCAGGAGATCGAGACCATCCTGGCTAACACAGTAAAATCCCGTCTCTACTAAAAATACAAAAAAAATTAGCCGGGCGTGGTGGCGGGCACCTGTAGTCCCAGCTACTTGGGAGGCTGAGGCAGGAGAATGGCGTGAACCCGGGAGGCGGAGCTTGCAGTGAGCAGAGATCGCGCCACGGCACTCCAGCCTGGGCAACAAAGCGAGACTCCCTCTCAAGAAAAAAATAAAAAATAAAAAATAAAATAAAGTAACATGTCCAAAATTCAATTCTCACCACCTGTAAAATCTGCTCCTCCAGTTGGGCACGGTGGCTTACGCCTGGGTGGCTCACCCAGCACTCTGGGAGACCAAGGCGGGAGGATCACTTGAGGTCTGGAGTTCGAGACCAGCCTGGCCATCATGGCAAAAACCCATCTCTACTAAAAAATTTAAAAATTAGCCAGGCGTAGTGGTGCATGTCTGTAGTCCCAGCTACTCGGAAGGCTGAGGCAGGAGAATCACTTGAACCAGGAGGGAGGTGGAGGTTGCAGTGAGCTGAGATAGCGCCACCGCACTCCACCCTGGGTGACAGAGTAAGACTCTGTCTCAAAAAAAAAAAAAAAAAAAAAGAAAAAGAAAAGAAAAGAAAAGAAACAAGTAAAGAGGGAGCCTGGTGACCTTCTATAGGCAGCTTCAGTTCTTGCATTCCCCTGTTTCTAAGAGGGTACAAACTGTTTCAGAGCATTGCTTCTCAAATACAAGTTCTTGCACTGCTAATGTGTCTGGCACTATCTAATATGTGAATCATCTGGGAGCTCTACTCCTTGAGTTTCTGACACAGCAGTTCTGATGTTATCAATGAAATCTGTATTATTAATCAGTTAACAATTTGCTTCTGATGTTTGAACATAACCAAGTTTGAAAGTCATTCCTCTAGATTGTTTCCTCATCACCTCTTTCCTATTTCCCTTTTTTTTTAGATGGGAGTCTTGCTCTGTCACCCAGGCTGGAGTGCAGTGGCACAATCTCAGCTCACAGCAACCTCCACCTCCCGGGTTCAAGCAATTCTCCTGTCTCAGCCTCCCAAGTAGCTGAAATTACGGGTGCCCATCACCACGCCCGACCAATTTTTTATTTTTAGTAGACACGGGGTTTCACCATATTGGCCAGGCTGGCCTCAAACTCCTGACCTCAAGTGATCTGCCCGCCTTGGCCTCCCAAAGTGCTGGGATTACAGGCATGAGCCACCGTGCCCAGCCAAATATTTCCCTTCTAACATGGAATAAAAAGATAGATGAAGTAGATAAAGGAGGGAAGATGTGGTATGTAAAATGCTAGTTTTTTTCCACATCCTGGTCTATGTTCTGTGATAAACATACAGTCATCTAATGAACAAAGAATCACAAATATGTTCTACCCCAGGATCTGAGAGTTCTCAACTTCCATCCCCTTCCATCTCAGTATTTCTTCGTCTGTGAACAAGATATGAAGCAAATGTAAAACAAATAGAAGCAGATATTCCCCACTGCACCTTTTTTATGAGCAAAAGCAAATATTGAATCATTTAAGGAATATTCATGGAGAGGCAGTTAAAACACACTTCATCCACCGGTGCAAAACTCTGAATGATCGAGCTCATTGGCAAGACAGGAGGCTGCAGAAATGACCCTCCCCATAGGACTTCTAAAAAAAAAGTATTGTTTACATTTTATTTATTTGTGTTTTTAAATTGATATATCATAGTTACATATATTTTGGGGGTATGTGTGATACATGTATACAATGTGTAATGATGAAATTAGGGTGATAGAGGTATCCATCACTTCAAACATTTTTCTTTGTGTTGAAAACATTCTAATTCTTCTCTTCTAGCTATTTTGAAATATGCAATAAATTATTGTTAACTATAATTTCCCTACTGTGTTATCAAATACCAGACTTTATCCTTCTATCTAAGTGTTTTTTTTGTACTCATTAACCAACTTCTCTTCCTCCCCCTCCTCTCCATAGGACTTACAATCATTGTGTTGAACTCAAGATCATCCAGCTCCAACAATTTTCTTTCCTTTCCTCCTTTGCAGTTCTAGCTGCTCAATTATTATTTTGGCAACCTAAAAATCACATTAATAAAGAGATGCTAGACCAAAAGAACCCTGAAAGTTAATAAAGAAAAAAAAAGAAAGAAAAAACAAAATAAAGTGATGCTAGACCTCTGATAATGACTCCCATTTCTTCCAGCTAGTCATTACATTTACAGAGAGAGGTTCTTTTTTTTTTTTTTTTTTTTTTTTTTTTTTTTTTTTTTTTTTAATGAGATGGAGTCTCTGTTGCCCAGGCTGGAGTGCAGTGGCGCAATCTCGGCTCACTGCAAGCTCCGCCTCCTTGGTTCAGGCAATTCTCCTGCCTCAGCCTCCCAAGTAGCTGGGATTACAGGCGCCCAGCACCATGCCCAGCTATTTTTTTTTGTACTTTTACTAGAGACAGGGTTTCGCCATGTTGGCCAGGCTGCTCTCAAACTCCTGACCTCAGGTGGTCCACCTGCCTCAGCCTCCCAAAGTGCTGGGATTACAGGCGTGAGCCACAGTGCCTGACAAGATTTATAGAGAGAGGGTCTAAATTCATTCCTGCACATCTCTTCCTTTTGGGGAGCTCTGTGGTTCTGCTAAAACAACAACAAAAAACTATGTATTTTTCTTCTCCTTAAATGGTTTATTCCTCTGATTGTATACAAGCAAACACACATGCTTTACAGATGAGCAACTTTATTAGGTTTAATCCTCCAACAAGCTGCCTTCCACACTTCAGGGTTTCGTGTGTGTGTGTGTGTGTGTGTGTGTACACTTCATAGGAAACCTGACTCTGCCCAGGGTTAGCTCTGGGAAAAGTTGCTGTGGGAGTGGCTGAAGGTGGCAGAGGCCTGGAAGGTAAGACAACGGAGACCCTGTCTCTAAATAAATAAGTAAATAGAGACCTAACAACTAATTTATTGTGAATTTATTATGTACCAGGAACTGTACAGGAGATTGTGGATAAAGAAATGAAAAGACATCATCCTTAATCTTGAAAAGCTCAACGTTGGCCTGGCTTGGGCGCTCACACCTGTAATCCCAGCACTTTGGAAGGCCAAGGTGGGCGGATCACCTGAGGTCAAGAGTTTGAGACCAGCCTGACCAACATGGTGAAACCCTGTCTCTACTAAAAATGTAAATATTAGCTGGGCATAGTGGAACACGCCTGTAGTCCCAGCTGCTTGGGAAGCTGAGGCAAGAGAATCGCTTGAACCCAGCAGGTGGAGGTTGCAATGAGCTGAGATCGCACCACTACACTCCAGCCTGGGCAACAGAGTGAGACTCTGTCTCAAAAAAAAAAAAAAAAAAAAAAAGAAAAGAAAAAAAAAAAACAGAAAAGCTCAAGGCCTAAGAGATAATAAACCAATAACAATAATACAACACTAGTGAGGAATACATAGTGCACTGTGGTAACAGAGGAGAATGCGGGTATGTATAGAGAATGTTGAAATAGCATTACATTTTCTTATCTTTTCTTTTCTTTTTTTTTGAGACTGAGTTGCGCTCTGTCACCCAGGCTGGAGTGCAGTGGTGCGATCTCAGCTCACTGCAACCTCTGCCTTGTGGGTTCAGGCAATTCTCTGCCTCAGCCTCTCGAAGAGTTGGGATAACAGGCACCCACCACCACGCCCGGCTAATTTTTGTATTTTTAGTAGAGACAGGGTTTCACCATCTTGGCCAGGGTGGTTTCGATCTCCTGACCTGCTGATCCATCTGTCTTGGCCTCCCAAAGTGCTGGGATTACAGGTGTGAGCCACCGCACACGGCTAAATTTTCTTTCATTCTTCTTTTGAACTGGAGATTACTTTTTGTTTGTTTGTTTTTTTAATGAGACAGAGTCTCGCTCTGTCACCCACGCTGGAGTGCAGTGGCGGGATCTCGGCTCACCGCAAGCTCTGCCTCACTAAATACTACATAATATCATGATAAATGCTTTTAAACTTTATATCAAATTTCTCATGTGTTTCAGTTGCAGTCAAATCCAGGGTATCCCTAGGGTGACCCCAGTGAGTCCCACTCCCTGGTGTTCATGTCTTGTATCTTCTCCTCCCCTCCAGTGAGGGTGGCACCTGTGACTTGATCTAACCAATGGCATAAGGCAAAGTCTATGGAAAGTCACTGCCATAATTTTTTAAGATTATTTAAGATTATTTAAGATTAACATTATTTAAGATTCTGTTTTAGCAGACTGGAATTTAACTCGTTGCTGGCTTGATGAAGTAAGGAGCTATGTTGAGAAATCCCATGTGGCAAGAAGCCACAGGCAGCCTCTAGGACCTGTGGGTGGCCTCCCGGACACACGCCATCCTTACTGAGACTGTGTCCTTCTTACACTTTTGTTATTAAAATGGTCTTGTTACTGGAAAGTGGTCCCCAATCAGACCCAAGAGAGGGTTCTTGGATCTTAAGCAAGAAAGAATTTGAGGTGAGTCCATAAGTTTCGTAAAGTGAAAGCAAGCTTATTAAGAAAGTAAAGGAATGAAAGAATGGCTACTGCATAGGCAGAGCGGCACCGAGGGCTGCTGGTTGCCCATTTTTATCGCTATTTGTTCATGTATTTTTTGAGACTGATTCTTGCTCTGTTGCCCAGGCTGAAGTGCAGCGGCTTGATCTCAGCTCACTGTAATCTCTGCCTCCCAGATTCAAGTGATTCTCCTGCCTCAGCCTCCCAAGTAGCGGGGACTACAGGTGCCCACCACCACGCCTGGTTAAGTTTTGTATTTTTAGTAGAGATGGGGTTTCACCACGTTGGCCCGTCTGGTCTTGAACTTCTGACCTCGGGTGATCCACCTGCCTCGGCCTCCCAAAATGCTGATTACAGGCGTGAGCCACCAAGCCCAGCCTATTTATTGATTATATGCTAAACACGGAGCGGATTACTTACGCCTCTCCTTTTTAGACCATATAGAGTAATTTCCTGATGTTGCCATGGCATTTGTGGCGCCAGTGGGAGTGTAGCAGTGAGGACGACCAGAGGTCAAACTCATTGCCATCTTGGTTTTGTGGGTCTTGACTGGCTTCTTTACTGCAATCTGTTTTATCAGCAACATCCTTATGACCTGTATTTTGTGCTGACCTCATCCTGTGATTTAGATGGCCTGACCCTCGGGAATGCAGCCTAGCAGATCTCAGCCTTATTTTACCCAGCCACTATTCAAGATGGGGTTGCTCTGGTTCAAATGCCTCTTGACAGTCTTTCTTTCCTTTTCTTTTTTCTTTTTCTTTTTTTTTTTTTGAGAGGTAGTTTTGGTTGTCACCCAGGCTGGAGGGCCACAGCATGATCTCGGCTCACTGCAACCTCCGCCTCCCGGGTTCAAGCGATTCTCCTGCCTCAGCCTCCCAAGTAGCTGGGATTACAGGCACCTGCTACCACGCCCGACTAATTTTTGTATTTTTAGTAGAGACGGGATTTCACTATGTTGGCCAGGCTGGTCTGGAACTCGCCCGCCTAGGCCGCCCAAAGTGCTGAGGTACAGGCGAGAGCCACCGCGCCCGGCCCGGCCGACAGTCTTTCTTCTATAATACGATACAAACTAGTAAAGATTTTCTTTTTCCCCTGGCGGAAAAGAGCTGTTAGGCTTCCAGATTTGTTTTTGTGGGTTATTAGACCTCTACTTTTCTTCTTGGTATTTTCCCTCCCTTATCAACTTTGTTTGTTGTCTCAAATAGGCAATGAGGAAGACACAGGTGTTTATTATTATTGGAATGCTCTTTCCATTTGGTCAGTGGTTTCTCAAAGCAGGAGGAATTCAAGTTCTGAGTTTCTAAAGTCAGGACCCGGTGCCGCACCCAACGTGGGCGTGGGGAGTGGCTAAGTCAGGGTCTGAGGGGCAGGGCCGGGGCCTGGCTGCGAGCTGGGGCCGGGGGACTCGGAGGAGCGGGGACCCAGCCCCGCCGCGCCGCCTGCAGCTTTCCCCAGCCTCCTCCCAGCAGAGGGGAGGCCCGACAGGGAGGGGTCCCATCCTCATGAACGGTCACAAACAGGGCGCTAGGGAAGCACGCCCGACCCCCGCGGTCCCCGCGCTCCAGGATTCGGCAGACTGCGCGCGTCCTGCCTCCCGCGGATCGCACTGGGTCCCAACAGGGTTCCCAGCTCCAGGCTGCGCCCATGAACAAGCCCAGCATTGCGGACGGGCGCGCGCAGACGCCAGCGTGGTGAAGACGCGGGGGCGCGCGCGCGGCGACGAGACTGCCAGGGGACGCTTCGCAACACCGAGAGTCTCAGCGTTTCTCGAGATAGGTGAGGCTGCGCGTTCCGGAACTGGTTTCCCGGAAGGAGCATGTCTGCGCCCGCGATCCGACCGGAAGTTGCACGCTGAGCCGCGGACACCATGCAGTCGGATGATGTGAGTCTCCTCCGGTTGTTCTTACACCCGGGGTTTGCGCAGGGAATTTTGCCCATTTTCGGACACTTAGAAAACGCGTACGCAGCGGGTCTGTTGCCTCGTGCCGCTCTGGATGTGAGGCTTCCGGAACCCCGATTTTCCAACATAGGTTCTCACGCGTGTCTAGCAGGGGTTTACTGCCCGCTGCCCCGGCCGGGTTGTGAGCACAGGACTCCGTCACCTCAGCCCATGGGGTCGATGTGTCCCGTCCTTCGTGCCTACCAATGCAGGACGTCGCGTCATGCTGTCAGCTGTCAGCTGTCAGCTCCGGACTTGGGGTGGGGGGCGGCCCGGGATTTGGCGAAGCTGACTCCAAGTTTAAGCGTCCTTCTCATCCATGTGCGCGTTACTCTTCCATCTGCGTTTCCTGTGTAGGCTTTTCTTTACATTTGCTCTACTTCTGCCTAAGTCATAATTTCGGAAGTATCCTAGATTCATTCATTGAGTTTTTTGTTGGAGAAATAACAGTGTGCTTACAGTGTGCCAGGCATTGTGGTAATTATTGAGGATTTGGTTAACCAGAAAAAATGTCCCACCTCTCCTGGAACACTGATGGGGGAGACACAGTAAACAAGTGAACAAATAAGTTAACAATTACACTATATAATCATACTATGAAAGAAAGACCAGAGATGATGAAGGACACTTCAGATAGGGTTACTCAGGGAAGGTTTCTCTGAACAGAAGATGTTTGAGTTGAGATCTAAAAGATAAGAATAAGCCAGTCACTGAGGAGCTGAGGAAAAAGCAATCCAGGCAGTAGGAACAGTAAAGTACAAAGAGTTGAAGATATGAGAGAATGAATATAAGGGTCATCAAAGTGACAATGTAAGACAGGTAATGAAATTAGATATGCTTGCCAGGGCGAGGTCATGCAGAATCTTGTAGGAAGTGTTTTTTAGGCCTTTTAATGATCTATGTTTGTGAAAAGTTGTCTAGTTGCTGTGTGAAGGACTTTTGGAGGGAAAAAATGAAAGCAAGGAGACTAGGGTATGACAAAGGTTGCTTCAAGCCAGACACAGTGGCTCATGCCTGTAATCCCAACGCTTTGGGAGGCTGGGGCTGGAGGATCGCTTGAGGCCAGGAGTTCGATTCCAGCCTAGGCAATAAAGTGAGACTCCATCTCTACAAAAAATAAAAAATTAGCTGGGCGCGGTGGTGTTCGCCTGAGGTCCCAGTTACTTCGAAGGCTGAGGCAGAAGGACTACTTGAGCCGAAAAGTCCGAGGCTGCAGTGAGCTATGATGGCACCACTGCACTCCAGCCTGGGTGACAGAGAGACCCTATCTCTAAAGTAAATAAATTTTTTTAAAAACGAAAGTGGCTTCGCCTAAGGTAGTAATTTAATGGTGGAGATGAAAAGAAATTGATGAATTTGAGACCTTTTACGTCAGTATAATTGACAAGACTTTGGTGATGGATTAAGTGAAGAAGAAAAGGAAGAAATCAAAGGATTTGGGATATAAATACATAGTTAAATGGTGATTTTATTTATTGAAGTGGGGGAACTCTAGGGAAGACTGTTCTTACGAGGGATGTGGAATTGAGAACTCCTTGTGGATATGTTAATATTTATGTTGCCTTTTAGATATTGAAGAGATGTCATATAAAAATCTGGTGCTCAGGAAAGAAGTCTGACCAGAAAATAACAATTTAGGAGTCATCCATTTAGAGATGATACTTAAAGCCACAAGCCTAAAAGAGCTCCCTTATTCTTCTTACCTGTTTCCTACCATCCCCCACCAGACACACCTATAAAATTCTTAAAGTGTGTTTTATTCTTTTGCCCTCTTCATATTTTTCCTTTAACAGTGGTAAAGCTTTTTTTTACCCCAGTTCCTCAAGGCAGCGCACTCAAAGGCTGTCATACTCTTACGCATGCTATGTGGCCTTTAGACCTGCTATTTTGTGATACTTTGTTTACATATCTTTCCCCTAACTAGATAGACGAAACTCTTTAAAGAGTATACTTTCTTTCATTCAGCAAATACTTAAGTGGCTACTGTGTGTCAGGACTTGGAGATGTCAGTGCCTTACATAAATTAAGTATATAATGCTGAATGAATAAAGAGCACATTAAGTACAGGAGGATAGCAGTAGATAGTTTTCTTTGCCCTCAATGAGATAAAATTATGGTATGTATATCTAAAAATCTAATACCATGAAGCCTTTTTTTTTTTTTTGGAGATGGATTCTCACTCTGTCGCCCAGGCTGGAGTGCAGTGGCGTGATCTCGGCTTACCGCAACTTCTGCCTCCTGGGTTCAAGCGATTCTCCTGCCTCAGCCTCTCAAGTAGCTGGGATTACAGGCACCTGCCACCACACCTGGCTAATTTTTCTATTAGTAGAGATGGGGTTTCACCATGTTGGCCAGGCTGGCCTCAAACTCCCAACCTCAAGTGATCCGCCTGCCTTGGCACTCAAAGTGCTGGGATTACAGGTGTGAGCCACTACACCCGGCCCATGAGAGCCTTTAATAATGGATAATGAACATAAGTAAAAAGGGAAAGTTACGAAGTATATAAAATGTGATTTCACAGAGTATGTCAAAAAAAGTCTGGAAAAATATTTACAGAATAGTAATGAAATTTTATCTCTGGGTAATGGAGTTATGATTATTGCTCATCTGTATTTAGCTTTTCTATAAGAATCTGCTGGGCTTTTTTGTTTTGTTTTGTTTTGTTTTGAGACGGAGTTTCACTCTTGTTGTCCAGGCTGGAGCGCAATGGCACAATCTCGGCTCACCGCAACCTCCCTCTCCTGGGTTCAAGCGATTCTCCTGCCCCAGCCTCCCGAGTAGCTAGGATTACAGGCATGCGCCACCATGCCCAGCTAATTTTGTATTTTTAATATAAACAGGGTTTCTCCATGTTAATCAGGCTGGTCTCAAACTCCTCACCTCAGGTGATCCGCCCAACTCAGCCTCCCAAAGTGCTGGGATTACAGGCGTGAGCCACCGTGCCCGGCCTTGCTGTTTGTATTTTAAAAAGTAAACAAGTCAGGCTATTTTACAAAACATTTCTTCCTCTCATTCCTGTCCTTGGGCATTGCCTTCTTGAATTAATATAGTATCTCTTGGGGCAGAGGATTTGAAATGGGCTTTTACTTTGTCTTGCAGGTTATCTGGGATACACTAGGAAACAAGCAATTTTGTTCCTTCAAAATAAGGTGAGTCTCAATTTACAACTTGGTCAAAGATTCCTTCAGTTGCCTCTTTGGCAACCCATTTTATAATCTTTGTTTCTTTTCTCCCATTCTAGAACCAAGACTCAGAGCTTCTGCCGAAATGAATATAGCCTGACTGGACTGTGTAATCGGTCATCCTGTCCCCTGGCAAATAGTCAGTATGCCACTATTAAAGAAGAGAAAGGTAACTCCCCAGTTTTAACTTCTAGAAGAACTGCTCCACAGCTTTTACAGGGATGTTCTTTAGTTTCTGTAAATAACACTAAAGCTATTTTACTTTATCTTCAGGACAGTGCTACTTGTATATGAAGGTTATAGAACGAGCGGCTTTTCCTCGGCGTCTCTGGGAACGGGTAAGCCTTACAACAAAACTACAGTGACCGCTGATCAAGAGCATCAAAGCCACATGCTTGACCATGATGCCCAATTCCATGACCATTAACTTTTGAGGCCATCCTCATTAGGCCATGGGTGTCACTGACAGTGAAAACCTAATGAATCATTTACACTTGCCCTTCAAACTTCCTGTTTCTGTTTGGTAGGTCCGGCTTAGTAAAAACTATGAGAAAGCACTGGAGCAAATAGATGAAAATCTGATTTACTGGCCCCGTTTCATTCGACACAAATGTAAGCAGAGATTCACCAAGATCACCCAATACCTAATTCGAATTAGAAAACTTACACTAAAGCGACAGTAAGTATTTGGATCATTCATTATTTTTAAATCTCTCTTTTTATGGAGCTTGTTTTGAAGTTGAGAAATTGTGAAACTTCGGGGCTTTCTATTCAACTTTGTGGAGTCTGTTATGATGTACTAAAGAGAAACTTTAGCTTTGACTAAAGGTGTGCCCTTTGATATGGCAGGACTTTTAAAACAGTAGAATACAACTTGATTATCACCCTCCTTGTCTGAAAATCTTTCAGAAAATTTTATTTTCTTTTTTGTTAAGACGGAGTCTCACTCTGTCGCCCAGGCTGGAATTTGCAGTGGCGCGACCTCAGCTCACTGCAACCTCCATCTCCCCGGTTGAAGCAATCCTCCCACCTCAGCCTCCTGAGCAGCTAGGATTACAGGCATGGACCACCATGCCTGGTTAATTTTTTTTGTATTTTTAGTAGAGATGGGGTTTCACCATGTTGGCCAGGCTGGTCTAGAATTCCTGACCTCAAGCGATCCGCCTTAGCCTCCCAAAGTGCTGGGATTACAGGCATGAGCCACCATGCCCAGCCTTCAGAAAATTTCCTCTATGACCCCCGAGGGAATCTTAACTTTAGAGATTTGAAAATGATCTAAGACATGTGACTATACAGGAATGTAAGAACTTTACTCTGGATTCACTGAAAACTAATTTTTAAAAGTGATATGAAATCCCCAGAATTAACAGAATACCTTCTCTAGGACTGTTAGGCCCTAATGCTTTTTGACTGTGATCTACATAGAATGCTAAAGATGATGTCAGACTTCGACAGAAAATTCTTTTTTCTTAGTTCACTGAAGTCTTAATTTTAGCATGGTGAATGCCCTGAGAATCCCAGAATGCCTGAACAAAAATGGCCGGATTAAAATACATGTAAAAATATATGACTTTTTATAGTATTAAATTTCTAGAAGCGTTTAGTGTATCTTGCTGTATTGAGCTGAGCCCTACAGCACCAACCTTGGGCTCCAAGGCTTGTTTGAATCGCTAGCCTCCGTGAATGCCTGAAGCTCAGCCATCCTGCCCTGCACATGAGTAGACTTCCATTTTAGTCACCAATTCCAATCCTTTTTTCTTCTCATCCTTAAAAAGGAACACAGCACATGACAGTGGATTTTCTGATATATTTTCTTTCCCTTAGGAGGAAACTTGTTCCTTTGAGTAAGAAGGTGGAGCGTAGGGAGAAAAGAAGAGAGGTAACTTATTGTTGAGATATTCATACCTTCTACATTTTCTTTCTGGGGGTCTCTTATAGATTCAGTCACCATCATTATGTAAACTGTTGAGGCCTTGGATAATGGTTCACTAATAGATAACTATTAGTTGCCTAAGACATTTAATTTTTCATATTTTAAGATTATGATTTTCAGCACAGGTTAAAGTATGTGTGCTTTGGGGATATATGTAATGGAGAACAGAAAGAATCCACAACTCCTTTTTCTGAATTTCTTGTGGTCAAATATTTCAGACTTCAGAATTTTGATGTTGCATATTTTACATACTACATAAAACCTTTAGTAGATTTTGAGCATTCTAATCAAATGGAATTTCTGCAGTGAAATACAATACAGGCATGCAGTGAGTAATAACATCATGGAAAATTGGGTATCCGTCCCCTCAAGCATTTATCCTTTGTGTTACAAACAGTTCAATTATCCTTACAGTTATTTTAAAATGTACAATTAAATAATTGACTATAGTCACGCTGTTGTGCTGCTAGCAAATACTAGGTCTTATTTCATTCTTCCTATTTTTTTTAGCGGGGGTACCCATTAATCATCCCCACCCCCATTACCCTTCCCAGCCTCTGGTAACCATCCTTCTACTCTGTATATCCATGAGTTCAATTGTTTTGATTTTTTGATCCCACAAATAAGTGAAAATGTGCAGTGTTTGCCTTTCTGTGCCTGGCTTCTTTCACTTAACATAATGACCTCCGGTTCCATCCATGTTGTTACAAATGACAGAATCTCATTCTTTTTAATGGCTGGATAGTACTCTATTGTGTATAAGTACCATATTTTCTTTATCCATTCATCTATTGATGGACACTTAGGTTGCTTCCAAATTTTGGCTGTCGTGAACAGAGCTGTAACACACATGGAGTGTGGGTATCCCTTTGATACACTAATTTCCTTTTGGGTCTGTACCCAGAAGTGGGACTGCTAGATGGTATGGTAGCTCTAGTTTTAGTTTTTTGAGGAAGCTCCAAACTGTTCTCCATAGTGGTTGTACTAATTTACATTCCCACCACCAGTGCACAAGGGTTCCCTTTCTCCACATCCTCTCTAGCATTTGTTATTGCCTGTCTTTTAAAAGATAAAAGCCATTTTAACTGGGGTGAGATATTTCATTGTTTTGATTTGCATTTCTCTGATGATCAATGATGTTGAACACCTTTTCATATGCCTGTTTGCCATTTGTATGTCTTCTTTTGAAAAATGTCTACTCAAATCTTTTGCCTCCCCAATCCCTGCCCCCTGCTTTTTTTTTTTTTTTTTTTTTTTTGAGACAAGGTCTCACTCTATTGTCCAGGCTGGAGTGCAGTGGTGCGATCTTGGCTCACTGCAACCTCTGCTTCCTGGATTCAAGTGATTCTCATGCCTCAGCCTCCCAAGTAGCTGGGACTACAGGTGCATGCCACCATGCCTGGCTAATTTTTATATATTTTGTAGAGACGAGGCTTCACTATGTTGCCCATGCTGGTCTTGAACTCCTGGGCTCAAGCAATCCAACCACTTCAGCCTCCCAAAGTGCTGGGATTACAGGTGTGAGCCACCATGTCTGGCCCTTTTATTCACTTTTTAATCCAATAATTAGAATTTTTTCCTATAGAGTTGTTTGAGCTCCTTATATAGTCTGGATTTTGTTTTGTTTTGTTTTTGAGATGGAGTCTCATTCTGTCACCCAGGCTGGAGTGCTATGGGGCAATCCCAGCTCACTGCAACCTCTGCCTCCCAGGTTCAAGCGATTCTTGTGCCTCAGCCTCCCAAGTAGCTGGGATGCCAGGTGTGCACCACCATGCCTGGCTGTTTGTTTTGTATTTTTAGTAGAGATGGGGTTTAGCCATGTTGGCCAGGCTGGTCTCGAACTCCTGACCTCAGGTGATCTACCTGCCTCAGCCTCCCAGAGTGCTGGGATTACAGACGTGAGCCACCGCGCTGGCCTGTATTCTGGTTATTAATCCCTTGTCAGGTGGATAGTTTGCCCAGTCAGTGGATTGTCTCTTCACTTTGTTGTTTCCTTTGCTGTGCAGAAGCTTTTTAACTTGATGTGCTCCCATTTGTCCATTTTTGCTTTGGTTACCTTTGCTTGTGGGATATTAAGAAATTTTGCCCAGATCTATGACCTGGAGTTTTCTCAGTGTTTTCTTGTAGTTTTGTAGTTGGAGGTCTTAGTTTTTTAATCCATTTTGGTTTGATTTTTGTATATAGCACAAGATAGGGGTCTAGTTTCATTCTTCTGCATATGGAGATCAAGTTTTTCCAGCACCATTTATTGAAGAGACTGTCTTTTCCCTAGTGTATGTTCGTGGCACGTTTGTCGAAAATGAGTTCACTGTACGTGTGTGGAATTGTTTCTGGGTTCTCTATTCTGTTCCATTGGTCTCTGTGTCTGTTCTTATGCCATTACTATAGTGTTGTGGTTGCTATAGGTCCATAGTATAATTTGAAGTTAGGTAATGTGATTCCTCTAGGTTTGTTTTGTGTTTTTTTTGTTGTTTTTTTTTGTTTGTTTTGCTGTTTTGTTTGGGATAGCTTTAGCTATCCTAGATCTTTTGTGGTTTCATAACAATTTTAGGATTTTTTTTTCTATTTCTGTGAAGAATGTCATTGGTATTTTTCTTTTTTTTATATTTATATTTGTCATTGGTATTTTGATAGGGATAGCTTTTCTTTTGATGCTTCTGTCCCCATTAATCACAGTTATGTATCTAAAATCTGTATCATTGGTCTGCAAAGTTGTGCTCACCTCAGTAAAATTTTTGAACATGTATTCCCCAATGTTATTTATAAATATTTTATTTTGAGACAAAGGTTCATTCTGTTTCTCAGGCTGGAATGCAGTGGTGCAGTTTTGGCTCACTGCAACCTCTGTCTCCTGGATTCAAGCAATTCTTGTGCCTCAGCCTCCCAAGTAGCTGGGATTCCAGGCATGCACCACCACACCCGGCTAATTTTTGTATTTTTAGTAGAGATGGGGTTTCACCACATTGGCCAGGCTGGTCTCAAACTCCCAACCTGAGGTGATTCACCCGCCTTAGCCTCCCAAAGTGCTGGGATTACAGGCTATAAATGTTATTATACATACACACTTCCACTAATAATACAATGTGTATTATAACTAATTGTGATGTAGTGAAACAAAAGTCTGCTTCTTAGCTGAGTATGATTTTGTCTTGAAGGGCTGTCATACATAACTGAGGGATTGTAGAGAAGTGCATTGTTGATAGGTGGTCTCAAGTACTTTAATTTTTCATTATGCTCCATTAGTTATGGAGCGGCTTTTTTTCAAGTCCAGTTAGTGAGTTTTCATCTCCAGTTGTCAAACAGGTGTTCCTACAAACCTTTCAGAAGAAATTAATTTTTTCTATTTTCACCAATTGAGTTTGTAACCCTCTGAAAAATGTAGATTTGGAAGAGTTTTAAATGCATTACAATATTCTGTTTCCACATTTTTAAAGTGTGTGATTGCAATTTTTATAGGAGACATGTTTTCAGCAGTGCCATATGTAGATATAATCAGTTTTCTTTTCACAACCTTCACAGAACAAGTTTTTTTTTTTTCAAAAAACAATTGTCTTCCTCAAACTATTAAAATGTTGCTTTTGTTTGGAAGACACAGATTAAGCGTATTTATTTTTAAAAATGTCTACTGGGTTACATAAAAAGATTGGCAAATTTGGAATATTTTTCTTTTTGTGAAAAGTGCATGGATCATCTTTAGGTTCTACAGCTTTTGCTCTGTCGCCCAGGCTGGAGTGCAGTGGCGCCATCTCGGCTCACTGCAACCTCCACCTCCTGGGTTCAAGCAATTCTTGTGCCTCAGCCTCCTGAGTAACTGGGATTACAGGCATACACCACTCTGCCCGGCTAATTTTTTGTGTTTTTAGTAGAGACGGGGTTTCACGACGTTTGTCAGGCTGGTCTTGATCTCCTGACGTCGGGTGATCTGCCCACCTCGACCTCTCAAAGTGCTGGGATTACAGGCATGAGCCACCTTGCCAGCCTGGTTCTACAACTTTTAAAAATACTAACCCATTAGATAACCAGCATACTTTTATAACTACTCTCTATCTTTGGCAGAATATTCAGTGTCATCTATGAATCCGCTTAACTAAGCAAACATAAACAGTTAAATAGTCGTCTAAATAAACAAGTGAGACCACCACTTGCAAGCCCTATCTGCCGTATTCCTCCCTTGAGATATCTGGCTCACTGTATCTGACACACAACTATTTACTTTATAGACAGAGTCAAGGCACCAATGTCAGTGTACAAGAAAAGTAGTAATGATGTTAAATTTTTTAAGGAAAAAGAGATATGTGGAAGTTTTGAATATTTTCTTCCTACACTTCAGCGGATACCCTTGAAGTGTAAACACCCCACTCTAGAGAACAACATGGAACATCGCTGTAGCCCTTTTTTTTTTTAAGATGGAGTCTTGCTCTGTTGCCCAGGCTGGAGTGCAGTGGCGTGATCTCGGCTCACTGCAAGTTCCGCCTCCTGGGTTCACACCATTCTCCTGCCTCAGCCTCCCGAGTAGCTGGGACTATAGGCGCCCGCTAACATGCCTGGCTAATTTTCCATGTGCCCCTACACAGTTTTACGTAATCATTCTAACATAACTTACAGATATAACACTTTAAAACCCTCTATGACTTTCACTATCAAATTAATGCACCATCCTGGGCTATTGTGTGGTAGTACAGGTTGATGTCATGTGTCATCTCCAATGAGAGATCACTGGAGGAAGAGATTTTTACCTATTCTGTCACATGGAATCTAGCATGATTTTAGAAAATGTAAACGAATGAAGATTTCTGTTCTCTTTTCTCAGCTTTTACAAAGTCTGGCTCCAGAGTTGCTAGATTATTTCTGAGACACTTAAATGTATATAGACTTACATGCTTTGTATCTATCAAAGCCTGTGTTAGAATTTAATTTAGAATGTTGTTTACAAAACCATAGGAATTTCAAAATGGAAATGTTCCCAAGGAAGTTTACAAGAGAAAGAAGAAGAAATCTATCTCGTTGGAAAGGCAAAAGCCAGTATTAGCAAGGAGGGGAAATAATTACATTGTCTTTCTTATAAACAACTTGGTAGTTTCTTCCATTTTTATAAGATGAGTAATGAGCACTGATGAATTAAACAGATTTGCTCTTTCCCCCTTATAGGAAAAGGCATTAATAGCTGCTCAGCTGGACAATGCCATTGAGAAGGAATTACTGGAGAGACTGAAACAAGATACGGTGAGAAAGCCATTAGCTTTGGGGTACTGAAATTTTAAGTGGTAGTATGTTGCTAAGACATATTGGGAATTTTTTTTTTTTTTTTTTTTTTTTTTTTTTTTTTTTTTTTTTTTTTTTTGAGATGGAGTCTTGCTTTGTTGCCCAGGTTAGAGTGCAGTGGTGCAATCTCGGCTCACTGCAACCTCTGCCTCCCAAGTTCAAGCAATTCTCCTGCCTCAGCCTCCTGAGTAGTTGGGATTACAGGCACCACCACTGCACCCAGCTAATTTTTGTATTTTTAGTAGAGACAGGGTTTCACCATCTTGGCCAGGCTGGTCTTGAACTCCTGACCTCGTGAGCCACTGTGCCTGGCTGGGAAATGTTTTTTAACATGATATGAAGATCTCCACTCGAATTTTATCCCTGGAATAAAATAAATCCATATCGGCCTGGCTTCCTTGCTTTAATTAATGCAAGCACATAAAATGCTTTGGTTACCCTTGATACTCCATTCACTATAAGAGACCTTTCCCTTTTTGCCATTATTCTCAGCTCCATTCCCCAAGACAACAATTCCAGATTTCTGTATAAAAGCCATGGGGTTTTGCTTCTCCTGCATATTACCCTAGTCTTTTAAGGCTCTTTGAAATAAGTTTTTATTCTCTTTTTAAAAATTAGTGTTGTTTATACAGACAACATGACTAAAGTATGCTTTTTCCTTATTATTTCCCCTTGTCAGCAAAATGACATTTGTCCCAATGCATGGGTTTTGTAGACTATTACATTTTAAATTATTTTAAAATGTAACTCCATAGAAGTTACCTATTTGATACTAACTGCAGATGATTTAAATGTTCAAAAGAACATGCTT